>NC_000008.11:28647981-28951011 GCF_000001405.40 Homo sapiens | reverse complement strand
CTTAGAGCTTTATCAATAAATACAGGTAATCAGAAAAGCCATATGACTGCCACATACCCTCTAGAATTTACTATAATAGCCTAGTACAGGAATTATAGGTCTTGATTACTTTAAAACACATGGTGGCTTTTACTGTTGATCTCAATTATGTTCCCTACTTTTTCCTATTCTAAAATATGTCATCTAAAATACAAATATATATTTCTCTATTATTAATAGTGAGTAACTGGTAAACTCTGTTGAACTATGCTAGGAAATGTCAGAGAAGACTTATCCCTAGGTCGGAGCTGAGCTACCATCTCTACCTCTATACAGTTGTGCCTCTAACGTACTGACTCCAACCATGATCACCTTCAAGCATAGTCAGTTTAAATGTCACTTCCCCTGTGGCTTCACTGTTTCAGAGTTGTAACTGTACAATCTGTGGTTTGACTTCAGATCTTCAGATTCGTTTAAATTCAAAACATATCTAAGGAGCCGCCACTGTTTACAATATACTACATTTAGCATTCCCTTCTATGGAAATCTCAGAGTGCTCTACTCCCATGGGGTCATTACTGTTAAGTTACATGTGAACCTATTCCATTCTTACTGAATTACAGTACAAATGTATTACAGCAGGTAGAACTTTCTCTCCATGTCAGTTTAGTGCAATTGTTCCCAAACTGTGCTGTACATCAGAATCACATGTAAGTCTTTTATAAGCATAGAATCCCCAGACAACTCTGGACTTACTGAATCTAAACTAGAGGTGGGGGTCCAAGAGTATTTTTAAACGGCTTCTAAGATAATTCCACTTGGAAACTATGTACTGGTTGACAGTACAAGAAAAATTCTCATGATGCAATGCCATATCTCCTGGGTAAAATAGAATGTCAAGGCATAAAGACATACATACTGGCATTCCGAGCTGAATACTTGATGAAATACATTTAATGATTTAATCATAATTGAAGATAAACTTGACAGCACTTAGGATATGCCTACTTCAAAGGAATTCATATATGATATTGGTGAAAGTAACTCATAAGAATTCCCAAACTAGTCTCTAACCTCTGTTGCTCTCATCCCACATAGTAATTACTTGCCCCAGCCAATCAGGTCCCTTAGCCCTTCTGAACCAGAATACCTTCCTCCCCTTTCTTTTCTACTGGCCTCAGGACAGCAAATAAACTTTACAAAACTCTGCTAGTACAGCACCACACATATATTTCTGTTATCCTGTATTACAATAATTTGTATACCTATCTGTCTTTCCCTACTAGAATGTGAGCATAAGAGCAGGGATTGTTTCTTATCAATTGCTGCAGCCTCAGCTGCTACCAATGAGCTGGCAACAAGCAGTAAATAAATCTTTGCTTAGTGAAGAAATGAAAGAAAATGCCCATTTTGAAGTCTTATTTAAGTAAGATCATCTTAAGGGTTCCAGTCCTAAAAATTAGTACCAAAAGATTCTGTGATACTAAATTTAAAAATAACATAATTGGAACATTTTCCAAGATAATTAATAAGAATTTATTAAGTATCCACTGCAAGCCAAAATGCTAAAGTTACAAAGATAAATAGGCTTTGTTCTTGATAATCGGGTAAATAATATGTGTTCTCAGGATGAAAGAGTTACCACCCTACCCTGTCACTGATTTATGATCTACATCACAGTGCCTTGCAGGCCAAACTCTGTTAAGCCTGCAGGTGCCCCACCCCTCCACCAAGGTAGCTAAAAAATACCAGACTGAGAATCCAGATCAACATCTCTATGTTGCTTAGCCCATGACAGCTCTCCAGAGTTGACTCCAACAGGAAAACTTAAAAAGCTGAGTTGCAGAGTCTCCTATCATCATCATAAATAATTTTAATGTCTGTGTAACTATTATTCAAAAAAGGAAACTATCTCCTGGACTAAAACAAACAAAAACTATTCCTACTGGCATACATCGGGAATATTTTCATGTTAAAAAATTAAAGTTTACTCATAGAACTAATACAGATGCCCTGATTTATTACTCAAACATTCATGTGGCTTTGAAACCTCTACTCTCTTTGCTTTGCAGGCAGAGTATAATAAACAATTACTAGAGCAAAAACTTGTGGTCTTGAGTTTCTGGAAGATTTAATGTCTTCCTCCTTATTTTGCATTTCCCTTACCCCAGAAGTTTCCCAACCCTTAATAAAGGAAATATTATAGAATTGGAGAAAGAGATTTCATTAAGCTAGAATAAGGTAAATAATAAAATCTTATATTAAGCTAGAACTGATATTAACAATCATGTTTTCCAGTCACATCAATTTATAGATGAAAAAAAATCTGATCATAGGAGCCAGAAACTCTGATTCCCAGGTTAGTGCTTACACTAATTTGCACAATAAATAAAAGCAAAAATTCCAGACATTCAGAAACTCAAGATCTACTAAATGCATGTCATTCAAAGGTTTTGTTAAGAGTTCAGAATTGTTATAAATGCGCAAACAGAAGCCCTCCATAGCTGGCCATAGACAAGGATTTCCTGTAGAAGGGGAAGAAAATAAAATTTTAAAACATTATTTTCACAGAATATCATCTTTAAAAAACCTGTAACATGAGATAAATGGTATCCTCTCTACATAGGCACTTCTTTTATGCCTCAATCCTGCGAGACCCATGTATACATTCATTTATGCACTCAGCAAATATTTACTAAGCACCTGTTGCATGGGTAACTGGGAAATACAGCAATGAACAAAACAAAATTCCTGCTCACATGGAGGTTACATTCTTGTGGTAAAAAAATGTATTTTCAGGTCATGATAAGTACAATGGAGAAACAAAAAGTGGGGAAAGAAGATAGAGACAGTGGATGGTAGGATAATGAATTTAAATAGAATGCTCAGAGAAAGTCTTACTGAGAAAATAAAATCTTAATAAAGATTTAAACAAGGTTAGGTTAGGCCTGGTACAGTGGCTCAAGCCTGCAATCCCAGCACTTTGAGAGGCCAAGGAAGGAAGATCACTTGAGCCCAGGAGATAGAGGCTGTAGTGAGCATATCTGCACCACTATACTCCAGTCTGGGCAAAGGAGCAAGACCCTGTCTCAAATAAATAAATAAATAAATGAAATTAGGCAGCAAGCCATGTAGATATAAGGGACAAAGCATTCAAGATCAAGATCTCACAGCCTATCAGTTTCAAAGAAACTGCACGAAGACAATATGGTTAGAGCTGTATGAACAAAGTAACGTGAGAACATGAAATCAGGGGCGGGGGCAGGAGGGACAGATCAAAGGAGAATCTACATTAGAAAATTTCTATTAAAAATATGAAATATTATCTTAGCTAACGTGGATTAAGTCAACAGCCTTAGTAGGGATAATCCAATTTAACAAGAGATTTAGCATGAATTGCTAACGGTAGAATTTCTGATAATATCAACAGGTTACTTGAGACATTATTTTTAGACAGTCCCAGCATCCACTAAATTGTACTTCAGAGTATTATCAACTACTCTTCTAACTAGCTTTGATGCATCATCAGTCAATTTACTAGGTAGCGAGTGCTGAAAGGAAGAAAAGAAGGCAGAGGATGAAAGAATTCATATGCTCTCAATTGCAAGAGAAGTGGAGGAGTGTTTTACTTTCCACATCTCAGGAGGATATGCTAATATATAATTCAGAATAACCAGGTGGGCAGTCAGATAGTGGTTCACAACTAAAAGCTGAAGTCTAACAAATTCCACAGAGCCAACTTATCCTTTACCCAATACTCATGATACTGTAAGCAACTCAAGGACAACAGTTTATTTCTCTGAATTCCTCAGAGTCTACTATAGAGAGTTATTTTAGGGCCTCACATTTTATATTGCCTTGCTAACAGACATAAAAATTACCTCAATTCATGAAAAAACGCTCTCCATCTGAGTTGTGGAACATACATCTTTCTTACACACCCGTCTTTAAAAACCTGGGCTACAGATAAGCATCACATTTTCTCTCTTTCTTATGTTCCTCAAGATAATGTATTCTACTCCAAAATGACAAGGGTTTATCTCAATTTTATCTTCTAAAGTATCCATATGTTTTAAATCCCTTATCCTGAATTATTTTCCTCAGATACCTACTGACAAGCTCCTGGGTTCTCAAACTATAATGATAATTATAAACTACAATGTGCCATACAAATATACAGTGTTAATATTTGTTATTTATTGTATGCAACCAAATATAACGAGGTCTCACAAAGTACCCATTGTACTATGGATTTATATGTAACTACAGGTGGCAAGACCTCTTCAATCTTTGGAATAATTTCCAGACTCAAATTGGCTTTAAATTCTTTTATGTTATTTTTAACCAGCATTTTTAAATGAGCTAAATTTATATCGCATGCTCTTTTTATCTGAGCTAAGACACATAAAAATAAAGATTTGAAAATACATATCAAACACAATTGTATATATTTTTTTTTTTTTGAGACGGAGTCTCACTCTGTCCCCCAGGCTGGAGTGCAATGGCACCATGTCAGCTCACTGCAACATCCACCTCCCGGGTTCAAGTGATTCTCCTGTCTCAAGCTCCCAAGTAGCTGGGATTACAGGCATCCACCACCATGCCAGGCTAATATTTTGTATTTTTAGTAGAGACGAGGTTTCACCATGTTGGCCAGGCTGGTTTCAAACTCCTGACCTCAAGTGATCCGCCCACCTTGGCCTCCCAAAGTGCTAGGATTTCAGGCATGAGCCACCCACCACGCCTGGGCAACACAATTGTATTAAGAATATCCCCTATGGGCCGGGCACGGTGGCTCACACCTGTAATCCCAGCACTTTGGGAAGCCGAGGCGGGTGGATCACCTGAGGTCAGGAGCTCGAGACCAGCCTGGCCAACTTGGTGAAACCCCATCTCTACTAAAAATACGAAAATTAGCTGGGCATAGTGGTGGGCACCTGTAATCCCAGCTACTTGGGAGGCTGAGGCAGGAGAATCACTTGAACCTGGGAGGCGGAGGTTGCAGTGAGCCAAGATCGTGCCATTGCACTCCAGCCTGGGTGACAGAGCAAGACTCCGTCTCAATAAAGGAAAAAAAAAAAAAAAAAAGAATATGCCCTATGGATTTGATGATGGTTACACAACTGTGAATATAGTAAAATTCTTTGACCTATATACTTTAAATGGGTAAATTGTACGGTATGTGAATTGTATCTTATTAAAGTTACTTCAAAAAGTGGAAAAAAAAAAACCTTTTCCCCATGAAAGGCAGAGAATAATGGACTCTTAAAATTCTGCCTTTATACTTTATGTTGTGTCATATCCCAAAATACTGTTATTAGATAAATTCAAAATATAATCGATAGGTCATCATTTTAAACTGAAATTCACAGCTGGAAAAATTCATTCTTTACATGATAAACTAAAACAAAATACAAAAATCCTACACTAAGTGGTGCCAACTGCCCTCCTTAGCAGGTTCTTTTATTTATAACCTTCTCTCCAATCCTACTGTTATCTTACTTGAGACCTTCTCTTTCTGTTATACTAATGCAATGGTTTTCAACCACTCTCCCTACCTTCAGTCCTATTCTTGTTATACATAGTTAACAAAGTAATCGTCCTAAAATGAAAAACTTGGAGTTGGATAAAGTAAGAGATCACAAAGAATAAGATTTTAAGCAAGACTGCTGTGTATTTGACCTCAGGTTCTACCACTTGTTAGCAGTTTGATCTTGCACAAATTTCTTAATCTTGTTAAGCCCTCATTTCCTCTTCTGTAAATTGTGGACAATGATATCTTCCTCAAGGGATCAGTATGAGAACTAAAGATACAGTAGAAGAAGCTCCTAAAGTAGGCACCTAGAAATGTTAGCACTTTTGCCTCTTTGAAAGTTTGAAGCATTAACCTTTCTAAAAGCTATCATATCTTTAGGGAAACCTCTTAAGGACGGTAAAGTCACACAAAATAGTATTTGTAACAAAAATAACAACATTGGAATGGCTTATTGAGAACACTTGCTTTTGAGTGGGGGAGTTTGCAGAATCAAACTATGATGAGAAAGTTGTTTCCTAAATGCGCAGAAATCCAGAGCTAGGCAGGTATCTCTCAGCCAAGAACTGCTTGGATGAGGCTTGCTTTCCCCCAGCAACTGCAGGGACTCATTGTCCCAAGTTTCTTTCCAAAATTCAGTTTTTTACAGTGCCTCTAACAAACCTTTTAATTATTCTAATTATGAATAAATTACCATTTGAGAAAAAGAATCAAAGCAGTAGTTTCTAACCATCTTGAAGGAATTACCTTTTTCTTCCTAATAGCTGTGTAATCACTTTTGATGGATTGGAAACAGGTCCAACAAGAGGAAGAGGAAAAATGATTAGTGACAACTGTACACCTCTCTCCAGTGGGAATTTCTAAAAAATAAAATAAGGATGTAGTACTGGAGACCCACCAGGTTAAGATGTTTGATCCAATGGGAATAGTAATCCAACGTTTGGAGACTTTAGCTCAAGTTATTAATTCCTCTTCCAGTACCTCACAGAACAAACCACATTCAAAGGATGCCATGAATGACTTCAGACAGAAAAACTTTTCTTGGTAAGCTTTATTTTATTAATAATACTTAACCAGTATCAATGATCATGCTCTCCTGCTCCTTCAAATAATGACCAGACTCTAGAAAGAATCTTGGTAGAGATCATGAAGAGAACATAACAAATGTCTGTATTTTCTGTTCCTAGTTACTAAAATTCTAACAGTCTACACTTAATAATAAAAATGCTTGTTGGATTCATAGGATATGGTGATTAAATGAACACAAATGCAGTATTCGAATCTCATGATTCTGTACGTTGTGACTAAAAAACATCAAGGGTAAAGGAAACTGCAAATAAAGATTTCAGAAGACAGACAATGATGATATGCAGAACTGAATATTGTAAAAATCAGTGGACCATCTAGGGGCAGTATCTAGCCTGTAGCAGATGATGAGAGACTAGAATATGTAGAAAGTCAGCGCTAGAGAAACAAGCCAAGAAGGTGTCTCTGTATGTACAACAGTAGAGGGCAGAAACTCCTGGCTTATGGGGCTGGATCAATCCTGTGGACGTATTTTGACCTACACAGTATTTAAAAGTTGGGAGGCTGCATATAAATATTGAGGCTTCTGTTTTTACAGAAGAAGTGCAGCATCTGTCACCACTGACTTTGTAATCCCTTATGTAATCCCTTGATACAGGACATGCACCTTTCAGTTCACCACAGGGCAGAGTGACAGTGGTAACCCCACCATCTCTAGACACCAAGTATCAACTCTCATTTATCATTGAAGGTTATACTGTGAAAGAGACATAATTCTTTATACTTATGTCTCTATGAAAAGTGTTAACAGGGTTCAGAGCATGCCACCCCAAAATACGTCACTTTGGCATATTGATTATCTTGAGTTAAGGGCACTAGAAAAACAGCAGATACAAGAAGGCACTCTGACCTTCCTTTCCTTCCTGAAAGCAGAAGATAACATTTCCATGTGAAAGGTGCCCTCCCTGTACCAGGAGGAAGGAAGACATTCTTATCACCAGAGCCTGAGAGCTGAGGACGAGAAATCTGTACAAACAAACCTTGTTAAACTAACCCTTATCTGCCTAGTCAGTTTTCCACGACAAACTGCTCTAGCCCAAATCCCTTTGCCTTGTCATGTTTTCACAATTTACTACTCTTTGTCCACTCAGTATATAAGCTTTTGGTCCTCACTGCTTCCTTGGGTCTTCATTTTCTTGTGAGGGCTCCCATGTACATGTAAATTATTGAATACAATTTGTATGCTTTTTCTCTTGTTAATTTATCTTACATCAGTTTAATTCTTGGGTCCAGCCAGAGACCCTAAACGGACACAGAAGAAATTTTACCTCCCCTACAGCGTGAAACACAACAACCTATTTTTTTCTCCTTATACCTGGTCTACTTATTCATATTGCCTGGGCACTGCCTGATCAATCATCAAATAAAATCAGATGGTGAAGAAGCGGTTCACAAAAAGCAGGAGTCTAGAGTAGAAGCTAGGAATCAGAGACAAAACAAAAGCCAAAAAGCCAAACAAAGCCCCTCAGAGTTTAGTAACTGAAAAGGTAGCAGGATCCAAATTACAATGCAAACAACTTTTAACCTAGCAATTCCAGTAGTAGAGATTTATGCTACAGATACACTCATAAGCAAAATAATTTATGTTCAGTATTATTCTTTGCAGTATTATTTGTAATACCAAAAGATCAGAAACACCCTAAATGCCACCATTAGGAGACTACATAAATAAGTTATAGTATAGCCATACAATGCAACTATTAAAAAAAATAAGAAAATTCGTTATGTGCTAATATGAAACAGACTCCGAGAGAAAAGAACAAGGAGCTGAATATACACATGTCAGTTATGAAGGAGCAGCAGGAGGAGGAAAGTAGGGAACAATATAAATAACTATATATAGATTTGTTTTTACACATGCATGAAATATTTCTGGAAGGATACAAAAGAAACTGGTAGTATTAATTCCCTCAAGGAGGAGAACTTAATAACTGAGGGATGGGGGCAGTAAGGAGACTGTCCCCTGGATACATTTTTGTACTTTTTGAATTCTGTAGCAGGTTAAAATTATGTTTTAAAAATGTAACAAGTTGGCTGAGCTGATTCCAAATATGACTAAGAAATTAAGTAACTACTAGAACTGGTGTGGCAATGACCCCCTCCCTCCACATATATGCTATTTTGCCTTGTTCAAGGATGCTGGAGATTTCAGCAAGAACCTAGAGCGGGTGAAGGGGTGAGCAGAAGGAGACTGCGCTGAACTACGGACAATGGAATAAATGGCATGGTGTCTTTTTCCATCTGGCTCCTTGAACTGGTCTAATTCAGCCTGGCACCTCCGGGGCACCCTGAAGACTGGCAGCTCTGAAGCACTAAAGACAGCATTTCTCACACTGCTACTATCCCTCACAGAGGACCCAGTAGCAGTGGCATTGATAGGTACCACACTGGGGTGGCCTGAGGGCGGATGGACTTCCCAAGGAGGCTGTAAGGAAAGAGTATTCGTTTCTGTTCTTGAACACATGTCACATTCCATTCAAGGGCTCCTAGAAATACTGAAGAGGACTCTGAAAGGGCTGGGGGGTTTGTGTAAGCAAGAGGAAACTAAAAGTTATTCTCCATCTCTGTCTATAGGTAATGAAGCCTAGAAGCAATCAATCGACAAAAATATAACAGTAGTATGTAGAGAAGTAAAAGAACAGAAAACAATACTCTGGCAAGAGCGCCAAAGGAAATTCTTACTGAATTTTTTTTTAAACTTAGGCTACTGCTCACTGAACAGGAAGTAGAACAGAAAAAACATGAGGATGGCTGGAAAGAGGTTACTCAAGGCTCTGCTGGGAACCAACACACTTAGTTATGCAGTACCTACTTTCTAAAGTGAAATCTTTCAACTGCTTTAAAATGTTTCTTTTCTAAGCCATTGAAAGCAATGAGATCATGTTCTTGATTAAGTGCCAGGTTTTTTTCCTCTGCAACCCAGATTGTTGAAGTTAAAAAGAAGAAAAATTAGAAAAATAAAAAAGTAAAGGTAAGATTTGGAAACAGAAAATAAGGGGAAAACATAAATATATTTTAATAACCTAGTGGTAGAAAATTATGTAATGACCCAATATAGAGTTATTTTGTTTTTTAAATTGAGGACATCTTGCCCTGTTCCCAAAATACAATAAAGTATTTATTTCAATTCAATTTATCTAACTGATGTTTTCCTATTCCATTTTAACCAGAGTTAACATATACAATCTCTTTATGCCCCACAGCACAAAATATTTATAAATACACAGATGAGCCATTTGTAAAAGATAGTTTGTGCTGAAACCATAGAGCTTTCTGAACCATAGAAAAGAAAAAAATATGAGGACTAGGCTTAGGTAATTTTTCTTTACATGCTTTTCACAAGGGGAAATAATATTCACTACTCTAAACAATGAATAGTAAGATAATTTCTAAGATAAGCAAAAAGTAAAATATAAAAGAATTAGAAACTAAACTCCATCTTGAAATACAACTCCTATAGGTTATAGAATAAATAACAATAACATGATCCATGTATTAGTATTATACTTTGTATCCACTACAGTGCCTTCCACTTAAATCAGGAGCTATTTAACGTAATTTTATATGTGAATAGAACCTTTATACTTTTCAAAGTACCTTCACTTTTCTCATTTGATGCTCACAATGACCTGTTAAGTAGGTAGGGCAGGTTTCATTCAGTTTTACAATACTAAAAGAGACAGAGAAAAGTTAAGAGATAAATTACGTATCAGTTGGAAGCCAGAGACAGAATGCAAGGGTCCAGAACTCCTGGTCCATTGCTTGTCCAAAAGATGTCTGCAAACCATTATTCCTCCACCCACTCAATATTTATTATGCAACAACTGTGTTCCAGGAACTATTTTAGTCATTAGGAATATAACAGAGAAAAAGAACATACATATTTCTACCCTTAGGAAGCTTACAGTGTAGTGAGAGTCATTACATAAATAACAATACAAATAAATGCAAAGTTGCACTTGGGATAAACATTCTAATGGGGTATTGAGTGCTATGAGAGCATATAATGTGGGAGAGTTGACTTTGTCAGAGAGGTTGGGAAAGGATTCACCTTAGGAACTAATGATAAAGCTCATTAACTAGTCTTTTAAAAAAAATCTAAAACAGGCCAGGTGCGGTGGGCTCATGCCTGTAATCCCAGCACTTTGGGAGGCTGAGGCAGGCGGATCACCTGAGGTTGAGAGTTCAAGACCAGCCTGACCAACATGGGGAAACCCCGTTTCTACTAAAAATACAAAATTAACCAGGTGTGGTGGCACATGAATGTAATCTTAGCTATCAGGAGGCTGAGGCAGGAGAATTGCTTGAACCCAGGAGATGGAGGATGCGGTGAGCCGAGATAGCACCATTGCACTCTGTTTCCAAACAAAAAAAATACAAAAAAAATCTAAAACAATTTTTTTTTAAAAGATAAAGCTCAGATCTGAAGGGCAGACATTATATAGACAAAGAAGCAAAGGGAACATCATGCGTAAAAGACCTACTATGGGAAGGGCCAAAATACAAGAGATTTTTTAAAAAGCAGCCTGTTTGACACTGCCTGATCCCCAACTTACTGCAATCAGAGTGTGAGGTTAGGGCTGGTGTTTTTTAACAAGTTCCTCGGCCGGGCACGGTGGCTGACGCATGTAACCCCAGCACTTCAGGAGGCCGAGGCGGGTGGATCACCAGAGGCCAGGAGTTCGAGACCAGCCTGGCCAACATAGTGAAACCTCGTCTCTACTAAAAACACAAAAATTAGTCAGGCGTGGTGGTGGGTGCCTGTAGTCCCAGCTAATCGGGAGGCTGAGGCAGGAGAATTACTTGAACCCAGGGGGGGCGGAGATTGCAGTGAGCCGAGATGGCACCACTGCACTCCAGTCTGGGCGACAAGAGCAAGACTCCATCTCAAAAAACAAAAACAAAAACTAAACTAAACAAAAAACAAAGCAAGGTTTCAGTGACTCCTGCCCTATTCCAATGACTATTTCAGAGCATCAAAGATGTTTCACTCAGGACTAGAGGGTGACTGAAAACAATGCAAAAATAGAAGAACTGCTACATCCATTCAAAAGCTGCTGAATTATCTGCATTCTAGAGGGTGATATCATGTTTTGTTCTTTCCTTTTTTCTTTTTTTTTTTTTTAGACGGAGTTTTGCTCTTGTTGCCCAGGCTGGAGTGCAATGGTGCAATCTCGGCTCACCGCAACCTCTGCCTCCCAGGTTCAAGCAATTCTCCTGCCTCAGCCTCCCGAGTAGCTGGGATTACAGGCACATGCCACCATGCCCAGCTAATTTTTTGTATTTAGTAGAGATGGGATTTCACCATATTGGTCAGGCTAGTGTGGAACTCTTGACCTCAGGTGATCCGCCCACCTCAGCCTCCCAAAGGGCTGGGATTACAGGCGTGAGCCACCACACCTGGCTTCTTTTGTTTTTTTAAAGAGACAAAGTCTTGCTTTCTTGCCCAGGTTGGTCTGAAACTCCCAGCCTCAAACAATCCTCCCACCTTGGCCTCCCAAAATGCTGGGATTGCAGGCCTGAGCCCCCATCATTTTTAATTTAGAAAGGAAGAATTTATGAAGGTGGTGCCATCTGCCCTAGGCTTTTTGGGGTGAATTGAATTTCCACAGATAGAAAAAGACTACTCCAGATAAAGAAATGAAGTGAATGAAAAGATACCCCTGGCCAGGTGAGGTGGCTCATGCCTGTAATTCCAACACTCTGGGAGGCCAAGGCAGAAAGGATCACTTGAGGCCAGGAGTTCAAGACCAGCTGGAGCAACATAGCGAGACCCTGTCTCTACCAAAAAAAAAAAAAAATTGCCAGGAGTGGTGGTGTGCGCCTGTAATCCTAGCTACTCTTAAGGCTGAAGCTGGAGGATGACCTGAGCCCAGGAGTTTGGGACTGCAGTGAACTATGATTCTATGATCGTGCCACTGTATTCCAGTCTAAGCTAATGAGCAAGACCCTGTCTCTTAAAAAACTAAAAATAACAAAAAAAAGATACCCCTTGCTGCTTCATATGAGTGTGAATATTTTATTTTACTGCAGCCCTTCCTAAGTGGCACTTATTTCTAGAAATATCCTTCCCATAATACCTGAAAATTGCAGAGGTCTTGCAGCTTACAAATCTTTAATTTTATACTCACAACAAATTCTATTACATTGCAAGAGCAGATATTAATTTTCTCGATTTTGCAGATAAAACTAGCTGAGGTAGGTTTACTTGTGCAAAGTCACATTTCAACACTGCTCTTTGTTTTTAACATATAGATTCCTGACCAACATGATGTGGAAAAGTTATCAAAGTCTGTTATCTGAAACATGGAGAACTGAGGAGGCCTGCAATACCAGACATATAAGAACTCTAGTATGACAAATTGAAACAAAAGCCTGTTATCCTGGCTTAAATTAATAAAGGTCATGAGCAAGAGGTCTCCTGAGGCAATCAAAAAGAGAAAATGACAGATGGAGATTCAATGAGGGATCTGTGATGACACCTAATAACTGAAGTATAAAAAAAATTATGGATAAGGGAGAAAAAACTAAGTATCATAATATACAGAGGGACAAAAATGAATAGATGGCAGACACATGCTTCACCTTCAAAACTTTCTAATTTTTAAAGTTATTTTTCAGTTTTCTCCCATAAATTACCTTCAAGAAAACTCTGATGATCGATCACATTTTCTAGGTCTATGCTGTTCTTGGCCATGTTTATTCTTCTCTTCCTTTTCTAACACAGGGGGACTCTAAATGATAAAATAATAGTCTTGCCTTTGAGATTAAACCTCCACTTTGTGCAAAATATTACGGAAGATACAAAGATGAGATCTCTAGTCTCAAGGTTAGTATTCTGGCAACACCAGTAGGTACTAAGAATACTTCCCAAGATTGTATTGAAGAAAATGTGTTGGGTTGCACTCTATTTTCATAAACAAAAAGGACTTTTTTTAATGGAAGAACAAAAATTTCAGAGCCATGATGAAAGAATTCCATGTCATACAGAAACTGATCCAAGGAATTGGAGGTCTTTGGGTTATGAATCTATCTGGCCTATAGCAAGTACTCTTATGAGATAATAATGTTGTACACATAAGAATAATTTTCCTTTAGGGTGGCATAAAGTAACAGAGATTAGGAATAAACATTAACTGATAATGAGAAAAACAGAATTTCAATGACTATGGATAACAAACAACTTATTACTACAACCCAAAAGATTTAGGACATCTGTACAGAAATGCTGACACCCACTTCAAAACCACTAGAACCAGTTTATAAGTCTCTTTTTCCATCCCAGCTATGCCAACCTCACTAGCAATCTCACATCTTCCTTCCGGTCTGGCTGACTGGAAAGGTGGTACACTGACAACTGAAAAATATACATACAGAAAGATGATGACAGCTGATTTTTTTCTTTCACTCTTTTCAATACTACCATCTTATATCCTGTACCACCTAAAATGAAGAACAATATTGTACTTTAATTGTATTAATTGAACAAAATTCTATATTCCTGTTTTTATATTAAAAGTAGAATGAACATTTTTTTTTTAATCTTTCTTGCCCCCAAAACCCTCAGCACAACTCTTTGAAAGTGGCCTTGGGGGCTGTTTTTTTTTTTTTTTTAACCCTCTGGTTCAGTGGCCCTTGATGGAAAAAATATTCTTAACCTGTGTAATATAATAAGTTTAAATTTATAATGGATGAATCTCTATAACCTAACTCTCAGATATTAAAAAGATTCATTTTCCCTGTGCCAAAGACAAGTGGATTTGTGAAGCCATAGAGTTCATCTCATTTGACATGAAATCATTCTCATGTTAGCTCAAAGTGTCTAATATGTTCTTGGGAACCACTTAACTATCTTTTATTTCTCACAGTGGATAATTACATGTTTTAGAGTACAGCTGAATCTCACCACAATTAAAAAAGTACACGGAGGAAATTTCTAGGCAAAAAGTACTCTAATGACCAGTTTTATTATTATTATAGTTTAAATGTATAATACATAGTATATATTTATAATGTTATATTACTTCATAAATGATATTATTATTAGTTCTATATTTTAATTGCTCATAAAAGTAATACTGGTGAAAGGGACTGGTCTGGCATAAAACTACAGAGTGTAACAGTGTGAGCAGTTCTTCTGAGAAAAAAAATGTGATTACACCCATGTTTGATTCCTACAGTCAAGAATCAGAGGGTTAAAATAAACTGGAGTTTATACATCTACTGAAACATTAAAAAATTTTACGCTTCCCTTAGGAGATAATTACAGTTAGTATTGTGAAAAAGAGACATCTTTTCATACTTAGCATTTTTCAAGGGGAGGAACTATTAAGGACCAACTATGTATAATAACAATGGTGATGATGATACATTAAATAAGAATAGCAAGAGCACTTTATATATATATTCTTTTCTATTTTTTTATTTGACCCTCAATGTAATTCTAGAGAGTAGGCATCAGTATTACCATTTTACAAAAAAAGAAAGCCAACACTCAGAGAAAATAACAAAACACTAATTTACTAAATAGTATCTCTGACAAGTGTCAGAGTCAAGATTACACATTAGAGGTTCCTAAGCTCAGTACACTCTTTTCTATACTATACTGGAGTAATGCATTGCAAAATAAAGCCGCGAATTATACCCATCTTATGGTGCATGTCCTTTTATAATGCAACCTTACTACTCTTCCATCATGTCTTTAGAAGTTTATAATTTGATAAAATGGAATTTATCAATATTCTCTTATTGTTCATGTTTTTTGGTTTCTCTCTAAGAAACTTGGCCTTAGCAAAGTTACATTTTCTTCTGTATTTCTTCTAGAAGCTTTATCCTTCCACCTCTTAGGTTTAGGACTATAATCTACTCAACTTAATTTCTGTATATAGTATGAAATAAGAGTCAAGAAATGCTCCCCCTTACCCTCAAATGGATATCCGGTTCTTCCACCAACATTTGCTCAATGAATTACCTTAGCATATTCGCCAAAAATTAATGAGCCATAAACAAAAGTCTTTCCAGTCTCTATTCTGTTCAACTGATCTATCCTATGCTAACATCACACAGTCTTAAGTTGTGTAATTCCTCTACTTTTTTTTAAATTGGCTTATTATAGGTATTCTGAATTTCCATATAAATGACAGACTAAGCTTATCAAGTTCTATAAAAGCCTCCCAGGGATTTGATTGAGATCGGGTTCAACCTATCAACAATTTGGAAAGAACTGAAAATTACAAATTATTGAGTCTTCTGATCCATCAACATAGTATATATCTTAATTTATTCAGGTTTTCTTTAATTTATGTCAGCAGTGTTGTATGTTTTTCAGTACCAGGTCTTGTATACATTTACTATTTATTCTTAAGTATTTCATTTTTTGATGCCACTATAAGTGGCAATGTTATTGTGCTTTCCCTTTCCAGTTGTTCATTTCTAATATAACGGTGTACAGAACTAAAAATGATTTATGATTTTTTTTTTTTTTTTTGAGACGGAGTCTCGCTCTGTCGCCCAGGCTGGAGTCCAGTGGCGCGATCTCGGCTCACTGCAAGCTCCGCCTCCCGGGTTCACGCCATTCTCCTGCCTCAACCTTCCGAGTAGCTGGGACTACAGGCGCCTGCCACCGCGCCCAGCTAATTTTTCTTGTATTTTTAGTAGAGATGGGGTTTCACCGTGTTAGCCAGGATGGTCTCGATCTCCTGATCTCGTGATCCGCCCGCCTCAGCCTCCCAAAGTGCTGGAATTACAGGCGTGAGCCACCGCGCCCGGCCAATTTCTGTATATTATTTCATGTATCCTGTGACTTTACTAAACTAACTTAATAATTCTAAGAGTTTTTACAAACATATCCCTTAGGATTTGTTTTACAAGCACAATTAGGTTGTCTGTGAATAGAGACAGCTTTGGTTCTTTTTTCTGTAGTCCATATGCCTTTTATTTTCCTATTTTACTGGTGAGGAGCTATAGTATATTATGAATAGCAGTAGTACCTGCAGAAATTCTTGCCCTGCTGCCAGTCCCAAGAGAAAAGCATTCATTCAGTCTTTGACCATCAAGTACAATCTAAGTTTTGGGTATTTAGTAGAAACCCTCTATCAGTTTAAGAAAGTTCTTTTCTATGCCTAGTTTGTTAAGTTTTGGTTTGCTTTTACATTACGAATGATGTCTTTCTGCATCTATTGAACTGATTAGTTTTTCTACTTGAGTCTGTTAATATGGTGAATCATATTGATTTTAGATTGTTAAACCATTGTTACATTTTTTGATATACAAACCTTTTAGTCATCAGGTATTAACCTTTTATTTTTATACTGCTGGATTCAATTTGTTATTTTATCATTTTCTAATATTTTATTAAGGATTTCTGCATATGTTTCTAAGGGACACTGGCCTACAGATTTCCTGTAATGTCTCTGTCTTAGCATTCTAGTAATGCTGGCCTCATGAGTTGAGAAGTGTTACCTTTCTCTTCTGTTTTCTGAAAGAGTTTATATGAAATTGGCATTCATTATTTCTTCCTTAAATATTTGGAAGAACATTAATTAATTCACCATTAAGCCATGCAGTTTTCTTTGCACGAAAGGTTTTTAGCTATAAATCCAATTTCTTTAAAAAACATATTAAAGTCCACTATAGACTTTAATAGGGGTTTTCAGATTATTTCTTCTTGAGTGAGCTTTGATAATTTGTGTCCATCAAGAAATCTGACCATTTATCAAAGTTGTCAAATTTACAGGAATAAAGTCGTTCATAATATTCTCTTATTATTCTTCCAACGTTTGTAGATTCTGCAGTAATATCACCTCTTTCATTCCAGATATTGGTAATTTGTGCCTCTTCTTTTTTTGTAGATCAGTCTACCTAGAGGTATATCAATTTTATTGATCTTGATTTCAAAGCACCCAGCTTTGGGAGGTTCACTGATTTTCTTGCTTTTCTATTTTATTGATTAATGTTCTTGTATTTAACTCCCTCTGTTTACTTTGGGTTTAATTTGCTCATTTTTATCTAGTTTCTTAAGCTGGAAGCTCAGATCGCTTATTTGGCAGTCTATTTAGTTGACAGGTCTCTGAATCAAGAGTTGCCATACTGGGGGAACTGAACTTGAGAAGCCTTATTCACATAGGGACCTGATGTAGATCAAGAGATCATGGACTTGGAGAGTGTGGTTGCAAACAGGTATGGTTTTTTGGTATTTAGGGAGAGGATGAGTGTCTGCATGTGGGAGAAATATGAATTGCAGTGGCTAGAGGGTAGACCATGATAGATTATTTACATAGATTATCATAACTGCTCCTTCACAATGTGACTTTCCCCTTCTTTCCATCAAAAAAAAAGAGTACAGGATCTGACTGGACTTGGACCCGCTTTTATAAACAGAATGTGACAAAAATGAGGTTATATGACTTTTGACTATAAATCTTGAGCCTCTGCTAGCTTCTGCTTTTCACTTTCTTGGAGAGCTACACAGAGATCACCATGTAAAGAAAATGATCTAGTTTATTGGAAACTGCCTTGGTTCTCTGATTTAATACCAGATCTCCATCATCAGGGAGTATGAAGGCACTCCAAGCAACAGTTAGACATGTAGTTAAGGCCATTTTGCACCTTCTAGCCTAGCCACACCTCTGCCTAAATGCAGCTCCTGAGGAAGCACAGACAAAATCAACAGAATAACAACCCAACCAAACTTCAAAATCATAAGAAATAGTAAATTCTTGTTGTTTTAAGTCATGTAGTTTTGAAGTGGTTAGTCAGTCTACAAATAAACTACTGAGTGCTGATAAAAAAATAGATGAAAAGGTTTTGTTCTTGAAGGTTTGATAATAAGGGGAAAACATATGGAAGATTAAAGTCGACTGAAATACTGCTAACCCTACTTTTTTAAAACCACGAAAGTAAAAAGAAAAAAAAGATGAGTATGAGGCAGAAAAACTTAAATAAGGGCTTCCTATAATTTATACACTAGCTTTACACTGTCTATCAGTGTCTACTAATCCCTCTCTTTAGAAAGCAGAATTTACAAGCCATTCTCAATGGTAGTCAGAATCACCCTTCAACCATAACTCAAATAATGTCATACTCCCACTTAAAATCTTGCAATTGGCTTCCTACTGTACATAGGATAAAATTTAAATTCCATCTCATGATCTATACTGCCTTATAAGATTTGGCATCTGCCCTTCACTCACCATTCCCTAGGCACAGTTGCCGTCTTTCTGATCCTTGAATACCCCAAGCCCATTCCTCCTTTTAGATATTTCAACTGTTCATTCTGCCTAAAATATTCTTTTCACGTTTGATTCCTTCTTATTACTCAGGTACTAGTTTAAATGTCACATCAAAGAGACCTTTCTTGAGCCCCTAAGTTTAAAATACTATCATAACCCTGACTTATATGCTTCTAGCACTTACTACTATCTAAAATTATTTATTATATATGTCCTCCCAACCTTATCAAAGTAGAGATTGTTTCAGGCTCATTCACCATTCTATCCCAGGATCTTACACAGTGCCTGGCACATAAAAGGTGCTTGTTTTCCTAGTAATTACATTATGTAAAGATAAGGTATTGGCTGGGTGCAGTAGCTCACGCCTGTAATCCCAGCACTTTGGGAGGCCATGGCAGGAGGATCACTTGAGTCCAGGAGTTCCAGACTGGCTTGGGCAACATAGGGAGGTCCCATCTCTACAAAAATGAAAAAATAAGCTGGGCACAGTGGTACACTCCTGTGGTCCCAGCTACTTGGGAGGCTGAGGTGGGAGGATCACTTGGGCCTGGGAGGTAGAGGCTGCAGTGAGATGTGATTGTAACACTGCACGCCAGCCTGAGTGGCACAGCAAGATCCTGTCTCAGAAAACAACAACCACCACCAAGATAAGGTATTAGTTTTGGACTTTCACTCTATCCCACTGAGAAGGGGGATAAGAAAGATCAAGCTCCCTATTAATGGAAAACTAAGTATTTTGAAAGGTACAAGTATTAGATTATCTAATAAGTTGTCACACTTAACTAAATATGGTCTTCTCTAGTACAACCCCCGCACTTCATGCTACAGACCAGGACTACGCATGAGCACAGGAAGCAAAACTAGTGTTTCCACGGACAAAGTTTAGACTATAACTGTCTTCACAGAAGAACTGAAAACACAATCTAAACTGTCACTATATAACTTTCTACACTTGTTATTTTTCAATCACGAAATATATATTAGGTGTTGAAAAATAATCTAGCTAGATTTTTAAATCTGCTCACCTGAAATGAGATGTAAAAATTACTATTAAGTTTAATGCAAAAAAATCACTTTTTTAGTTAACATTTCATACCAAAAGTCAACATGATAACAACAACAAAAAAGAGAGTTGAGGAGAAAGGGCAGACAAATCATTCCCAAAATGATTTCTGATGACTCTCTCAGTACCATGTCATATAATCATAGATCATTTACCAATCATTTATATTCAGAATACACAGCTAGGTGCTAGGTGACATGTTCCCTACCATCAAAAGTTTCACAATCTAAATGTCGAGATAAGACAAATATAGTTAACACAAATCAAACAATAATTTAAGGATGCACAGGCTAAATAACACATGGTATAAAAAATATATGTTACAACTGATTCAAAGAAGTGAATGATCACTGAGACTCTGATTTCAAAAAGTAAGATTTCAAAAAGGATATAGGAGGAAAGAAGGGAGGGAGAGAATTCCAGGGAAGTGGAATTGCTATAACAAAGATGCTGAGAAAGAAAAAAACACAAAGTATGCTTAAGGATACTGATTAGACTGGTTTGATTTAAACCTGGGGCTGGTAAAGGTAACAGTGAGGGAAAAAGACAAAGCCTAACAACCACAGTGATATTTGCATAATACTTCACTTATGTTATTTGACTACCAAAACAGCAGCACAAGAAAGGGTAGATTGTAGAGGGCCTTGAATACCAGGTTATAAATATCTAGCAGCAGTATCTACACGTCTAAGATGGAATACTCCATCATTAGAAGATAAAGAAACTAGAGGCAGGGAGACTAGTTATGACAGTTCAGCAATAAGCTAAAAAGGACCCAGGTTAAAGTGACAGCAGTGGGAACAGAAAGGAAGAAATTTATAAGGCTATAGTGATAACTGGGGAAGGAGATAAAAAGGCTACCAGGTCTTAGACCTCAGTTACTAGGAGAAGGATGGCAGAATTGAGAGAAATATTTAAGTCCAGATGGGGAGGAGCTGTTTTTAGTAGTAAAGAGTCTGGTTCAGACATATGAGTTTGAAGCAACAGCAGCACATCCAGTTTCTAGAACCTCTGTCACTCATTCCAAAGACAGTCTTCTATGCCCACCATCACCCTAACCAAGAGAAATATGTTTCCCTGACATTAGGCCCAGTGCCCTTCTTTCTCAAAAAGACTGCTGATGTAGGAGGCAGGAATGAGGAGTGACTTATGATTACAGAGTCTCCATTGGCGGGGCGGGGGGCGGGCGGGGGGCGGGGTGTTAGAAACGTTCTGAAATTAGAGGCAATGGCTATTCAACATTGTGAACACACTAAATGCTACTGAATTGTACACAGAGGTACAGTAAAAAGGATCAAGAGTGTGGGTGGCAGGGGATAGCAGTGCTTCACTTTAAAATAGTCAAGAGTGGGCCTCACAAATTTATTTCTCCAACTCGGAAATTTCCTGTGAGCTCCAGACATGCATATTCAACAGCTCATCAAATTCAAGCAGGTCCAAAGGGAATGCATAAATGCCTTTGCCATCTCTCTATCCCAAACAAATACAATAAACAATAACAACCATCCTAGTTCAATAAAGAGAAATAACCTCCAAGAACACTGTAAAAGCCAGACCTTGAAGCTATTTTAGTATCTTACACGCTCTCATTCTTCCCCATATCCAATTCAAAGTCCTGTCAATTTAACATCCTAAATATTTCTGGCATTTGTCATCTGTCTCTATCAATAGCCATCACCACTGCCACCACTACTACCCAAATGCAGGCTACCATCACCTTTATTTGATCAGTCTTTATTCAACTTGCCTTCTCACTTCCCTTCTCACAATCATTCTTTACAGAGCCAACAAGAATGAGATTTTCCAAACATACCCTTCAACTTGCTTAAAACACTTCATATGCTTTCACTGCTCTTACGATGAAGATTAATTTCCTTAAAACTTGATACAAAAAGCCATGGGTAATCTGACCCCATCCCACCCTTTCATACTCATTTTGTACCACGCCTCTCAGATTTATTTCCCCAAAACTTTATTGGGGCATAAGAGACAAATAGAAATTATATGTATTTAAGGCATGCAATGTGATGTTTTGATATATGTATACATTGTGAAATGATTACCACAATCAAGCTAATTAACATATCCATCACCAAACATCATGTAGTTACCATTATGTACATTAAGTCTCCAGAACGTATTCATCTTATAACCAACAGTTTGCACCCTTTGACCAACACATCCCCATTTCTCCCCCTGCAACCTACCTTTGGTAATTACCCTTCTATTCTATTTCTATGAGTTCAACTTTCCCTTCTATTCTATTTCTATGAGTTCAACTTCTAAAGATTCTACATACAAGTGAGATCATGTGGAATTTGTCTTTCTGTGCCTGGTTTATTCCACTTAGCATAATGTCCTCCAGGTCCATCCATGTTGCCACAAATAGAAAGTTATCCTTATTTTCTCTTTGATGCAACAATATCCTTGTTTTCTAATGAATAATTTTGCATTGTGCATATGTGTGTCATACACACTCTACATTTTCTTTATTTATCTGGGGACAGAACTTAGGTTGTTTCCATATCTTGGCTATTGTGAATAATTCTGAAATGAACCTGAGAGTGCATGGATAGTGACTTTATTTCCTCTGGATATATAACCACAAGTGGGATTGCTGGCTCTTATATAGTCATTCTGTTTGTAATTTTTTGAGGAATTTCCATATTGCTCTCCATAACAATTGTATATATATGTAACAATTTGCATTCCCAATAGACCTCTCAGATTTCTTGAGTCTAATCATACCAGCTGATCCTTATACTTGTCAAATTCCAACTAACTACTGGGCTTCTGCTTTGATTGGTTTTCTCTTCTCTCTTAGACTGGTTAACTTCTATTCATCCTTCAGATATTAGCTCAAGAGGTATTTTCTTGGGAAGTTTTCATTGACTTCCCATACTAGGGCAAACTGGTATGCATAACACCCTGCATCTTTACTTTAGAACAGTTGTTTATGGTAGTAGTAGTAGTTCTTTTTTTTTTTTGAGACGGAGTCTTGATCTGTCACCAGGCTGGAGTTCAGTGGTGTGATCTCGGCTCACTGCAACCTCCACCTCCCGAGTTCAAGTGATTCTCCTGCCTCAGCCTCCCAAGTAGCTGGGACTACAGGTGCACGCCACCACGCCCAGCTAATTTTTGTATTTTTAGAAGAGACAGAGTTTCACCATGTTAGCCAGGATGGTCTCGATCTCTTGACCTTGTGATCCGTCTGCCTCAGCCTCTCAAAGTGCTGGGATTACAGGCGTGAGCCACCACGCCTGGCTTTTTTTTTTTTTTTTTTTTTTTTGAGACTGAGTTTCGCTTTTGTTGCCCATGCAACAAAACTCCCAACCTCAGATGATCTGCCCACCTTGGCCTCCCAAAATGAGTAGTAGTTTTTTATAAAAGTTGTTCCAGTGGGTACATATGGTTTGTTTGTACCTACCAAGTCTCATGTTGAAATCTGATCCTCACTGTTGGTGATGGGGCCTAGTGGAAGGTGTCTGGGTTGTGGGGGCAGATTCCTCATGAATGGCTTGGTGTTATTCTCAAGGGAGTGAGTGAGTTCTCACTCAGCACCTCCCTCTCTTCCTTCTCTTTTTCCTCCTCCTCCTACTACCTTGCCATGTGATCTCTGCACTCAGGCTAGCTTTTGCCTTCCACCATGAGTGGAAGTAGCCTGATACCCTCACCAGATGCAGACGCTGGTGTCACGCTTCTTGTATAGCCTGCAGAACCATGAACCAAATAAACCTCTCTTCTTTGTAAATTACCCAGCTTCAGATATCCCTTTATAGTAACACAAATGGACTAAAAGTGATAAGTTTACTATTTTAAAATATATATTTTTCTTTTTAATTTTTGTGGATACACAGTAGGTATATACATTTATCGGTTACAAGAGATATTTTGATACAGGCATGCAATGCATAATAATCACATCAGCATAAATGGGGTATCCATCCCCTCAAGCATTTTATCCTTTGTATTTCAAGCAATCTGATTATACTCTTATTTTAAAATGTACAAATAAGTTATTTTTCACTATAGCCATCCTGTTGTGCTAGCAAATACTAGGTCTTATTCATTCTTTCTAACTATTTTTTTAGTACCCATTAACCATCCCTACTTCTTCCCTAACCCCCTACTATTCTTTCCAGCCTCTGGTAATCATCCAACAATTTTATATTTTTTGAATGGATCATGTGATTAAAAACTCCCTACCTCACAAAAATTGCTATGGAAAAACTTAAAACAGACTATTGAGTTCATAGTACTAAAACCTTCTTTTACAGGCCAAGTGTGGTGGCTCACACCTGTAATCCCAGCACTTTAAGAGGCCAAGGTGGGAGAATCCATTGAGGCCAGAAGAGTGACCCCATCTCTACAAAAAGTTTTTTTAAATTAGCTAGGCATGGTGGTATACACTTGTAGTCCTAGCTACTTAGGAAGCTGAGGCAGGAGGGTCACTTGAGCCCAGGAGTTTGAGGTTAACAATGACTGCGCCACTGCTCTCCAGCTAGGGCAATACTGCACCCTTGCCTGGGGGACAGAGTAAGACCCCATCTCAAAAAAGAAAAAAATTTAAAAAGCTCTACTTTATAAAGTTTACTCCAGTCAATTACAGATTAAAGTTAACTATGCCTCTTAGGCTAGATGTGGAATAAGTCATGAGGTTGTTAGAAGCATTCAGTTTTTTCTGGCAGAAGTATTCTCTCAAACTCAAAGGTAAAATTTGAACATTACAAAGATATTTAATACATCTAGTCTATCTACTTCTAAATGAATATTTGTATTTTATGTATCTAAAATATATGTGTGTGTGTGTGTGTGTATATATATATATATATATATATCTGCCATGAATAAATACATATATGTTTATCTCTAATAAAGTCACACTGCAGCCTCAAACTCCCGGGCTCAGGTAAGCCTCAGTCTCCTGAGTAGCTGGGACTACAGGCATACGCCACCATGCCCGGCTAGTTTTTGCATTTTTTTTGGTATAGACGGGGTTTTGCCATGTTGCCCAGTCTGGTCTCAATCTCCTGGGCTCAAGCCATCTGCCTGCCTTGCACTCCCAAAGTGACAGGATTACATGCATAAGCCACCGCACCTGGCCCAGGTTCATTTTACTGTAAGAAATCATTATAAAAAAAACCTGAAGCTGATGAAGTGTTTATGCTTTGAGTAAATAAACATCATTTAACCATCAAGACACCAGGTTTTAACTGTTTCTAATCTTTCATTTATCACAAGTGTCTAAAAGTAGTAGATTCAAGGTCACCAAAAATAACAATTGAGAGAAAAGTCATTAGCTACTTTTATATTATTTTTAATACATTATTTTTAAAATATAAAAAAGCCTTTATGAGGATCAAATAAAAAGATTTCTTGAAATAAAAGTCTCTCATTAAAAAGACACAAAAGAAGCAACATAATGAGGAAGAAATGGAATAGATGGATACTTGTAAAATAATGAGAGAGATTTTTTTTTTCACTGCCAGGGTCAAAACCTCAAGGCTGAGTCTGTATTTCTGACAGGGTCAAGGTGGTTTACCTGCAGTGCTTTACTAAAAACAACACATCTTATTTTCAACTATAGAACTCTATGTGCTTTCAAAACATTTTCCCCATTACCACCACATAACTGAGAGCAAACAATAATGAATATAGTGTTTGCCAATAAACAAAAGAAAGGATTAAACAATAACTACATGGCTGCCATTTAAAAAGAACAAAACTAGAACTAAAGAACACCCTGAAGAAAAAAAACAAAACAGTTTTCTCTGCAACCAGGCTGATCAGATGCAAACCTTGGGTTATTCTCCCTTTAAAGTATTCTTATTCAGGAGCTAAGTTCTTAGTCACTGGTACAAAACACCCCATGCACTCTGAACCACAGACAATACACCAACAAAATGTGTACGCCTGTGTTCTACTAAAACCTGATTTGTGGACAATGAGATTTGAACGATATAACTTTCACATGTCACATAATATTATTCTTTTAATTTTTTAATTAAAAATTTAACATCATTCTTAGGTTATGACTGAACAAAAACAGATGGTGAATCCAATTTGGCTTTAGGCCATAGTTTATCAACTCCTAGTAAAAAAAAAAAAATCACTAATAGGAAAGATAACAGGTTCTGCTCTTATATGTAATTCATAACTTCACTGAACTTCACTTTCTTCAACTATTAGAAAAAAAAAAAAAAAAAAGAGGCTGGGCGCGGTGGCTCATGCCTGTAATCCCAGCACTTTGGGAGGCCGAGGCGGGTGGATCACCTGAGGCTGAGAGTTTGAGACCAGCCTGACCAACATGGAGAAACCCTGTTTCTACTAAAAATACAAAATTAGCCGGGCACGGTGACACATACCTGTAATCCCAGCTACTCAGGAAGCTGAGGCAGGAGAATCACTTGAACCCAGGAGGCGGAGGTTGTGGTGAGCTGAGATTACACCATTGCACTCCAGCATGGACAAGAGCGAAACTCTGTCTCAAAAAGAAAAGAATACCATATACAAGAATCACCTCAAAACGGATCAAATACCTAAACATAAGAATTCAAATTATAAAACTCTTAGAAGAAAACAGGGGAAAATCTTTATGACATCAGATTTAGCAAGGATTTCTTGGGCAAGACACCAAAAGCACAGGTAACCAAAAAAAAAAAAAAAAAAATTAGATAAATTGTATTTCATCAAAATTAAAAACTTATGTGCAGGGCCGGGCATGGTGGCTCACACCTGTAATCCCAGCACTTTGGGAGGCCGAGGGGGCAGATCACGAGGTCAGGAGATCGAGACCATCCTGGCTAACATGGTGAAACCCCATCTCTACTAAAAATACAAAAAAAAATTAGCCAGACGTGGTGGCGGGCACCTGTAGTCCCAGCTACTCGGGAGGCTGAGGCAGGAGAATGGCGTGAACCCGGGAGGCGGAGCTTGCAGTGAGCCAAGATCATTCCACTGCACTCCAGCCTGGGCGACAGAGCTAGACTCCATCTCAAAAAAAAAAAACCAAAAAAAAACACTTATGTCCAAAGGCCACTCTAATGAGACAAAAAATAACCTACATAATCGGAAAATATATTTGCAAATCATGTATATCTGAGACGAGATTATCCAAAATATATTAAGAACTACTAAACTTAACAACAACAACAAAAAAACAGCCTAATTAAAAAATGGGCAAAGGGTTTAAACAGGCATTTCTCCAAAGAAGATATATAAATGACCAATAAGCACATGAAAAGATACCCAAGGACATTAGTCATTAGAGAAATACAAATCAAAACCTCAATGAGATACCACTTCACACTACGATGGCTAAAATTAAAAAAAACAAAAAATACAAAAGAAAAAAATGTTGGTGAGGACGTGAAAAAGTGGTACCCTTGTATATATTGCTGGTAGGGATATAAAATGGTACAGCCACTGTGTAAACAGTTTGGGAGTTCCTCAAGAAGTTAAACAGAATTACAAGATGACCCAGCAATTCCACTTCTGGTGTACTTTAAAGCATCTCTAGATTACTTATACTATCTAATACAATGTAAATGCCATGTAAATAGTTGTTATACTGTATTGCTTAGGGACAAATGACAAGAAAAAAGTATTGGTACATATCCCAAAGAAATGGAAACAGGTGTTCAAATGTAAACTTCGTTAGCTCCTGGTTTTAGCTCTTATTTCATAGCAATATCCATCAATTTGGACAATTTGAATGGATAAAATGTGGCATATCCACAAAATGGAGCATTATTCAACTGCAGAAATTAATGAGTCATGCTACAATATAGATGAACCCTGAAAACCCTGGCTATGCAAAATAAGCCAGATCCAAATAGTAGTATACTGCGTGATTCTGTTTATATGAAATGTCCAGAACAGGCAAATCCATAGAAACAGAAAGTAGACCTGCAGTTGCTAGGGGATGAGGGCAGGAGAGAATTAGGAGTGACTGCTTAATGGGTATAATTTCCTTCTAAACTGAACCCTAGATGAAAAACTTCTGAACCAGACAGTGGTGACAGTTGTGCAACACTGTAAATGTATTTAATGTCACTGAATTGTACTCATTAAAATAGTTAAAATAGTCAATTTTAGGTTATGTGTATTTACATAATTTTAAATTTTAAGAAAACAAAAGAACAAGTACAAAAAAGGGATAATGCCCATCTACCTGTAGGCTTTTTTATAGTATTACTTGATGTGTAAAGAGAGATCAGACACATAGCATCACTTTAATCACAATAAATTATTATTATTCCAGGAAACTATTATTATGCCACAAAAGTATGGTTGCTACCAAAGCACACTCTGGATAAATGAGATTTCACAGTAGTAACTCATAGAATATATTAGAAATAATATATTGTTACTCCTCTTCAAACACAACTTAATGTGTTCAAAGTCTCCATTACAGATTAAGAATAATTTAAGAAAATAACATAAAATTAATGCCTGGTGAGTTAACTAGAGGTCTGAGAACTGTCTGAAATTATGTGGAAATTGTGTATGTGTATTACTGTAAGAATTCATAATTTTTAGATTTCAACGGTACCCAGGTTAATAACTACTGATAAGCCACAAAGAAAACATTAAACAAAGAATGTTTTGCTTCATTTCTCAAAGCACAGATTTGATTTTGCAAAGATAAAAGTACTTTAAAAAGTAGAATTCAAAAATAAAAGCCCAACAAAGTGTTGTCCTATTACAGTTGTCCCTTGGTATCTTTGGGCGATTGGTTTCAGGACCACCCTCCGTCCCACCTCCCCACAGACATCAAAATCCATGGATGCTCAAATCCCTTATGTAAAATAGCGTAGCATTTGCAAAGAACCTACGCACAACCTCTGGTGTACTTTAAAGCATCTCTAGATTACTTATACTATCTAATACAATGTAAATACCAC
Source organism: Homo sapiens (assembly GCF_000001405.40). Taxonomy (NCBI): domain Eukaryota; kingdom Metazoa; phylum Chordata; class Mammalia; order Primates; family Hominidae; genus Homo; species Homo sapiens. The sequence goes on along the minus strand of NC_000008.11, from coordinate 28,922,214 downwards.
GTAAATGGTTGTCTGACTGTATTGTTTAGGGAATAATAAGGAAAAAGTCTGTATTTGTTCAGGACAGACACAACCTTTACTTTTTCTTCCCCATATATTTTTGATCCATAGCTGCATAAATCCATGGATGTGGGACCAACAGATATACAGAACCAACTATATTTCCAGGCAAAATTTAAGTTTGGCCTCCTCCCTGTAGCTTTTCCTGATGACATTAGTTCATAATTGTCTCCCTTTTCTAATACTCCTCTTCTAAGTATTACTTTTGTGATGGTTAGCTTCTTATGTACTCATTTGTTGATTTAGCATAATTCATCACCTTAGTATGTACTACCTTGATCCCAAGCATTTCTGCATATAGGTCTTCTCTATCTCCATAAATGAGAAGCTACTCAAGTGATAGAGCTTTTGTATTTTACTTATTTAGTAGCCCTACAACATAAAAGACAACACATAACTATTTTATTTTTATAAGCTTCCTATGTCTTTTAAAATTAAATATAAGCATGTTTTATGGTATATGTTCTGTACTTCAAATGAGGATGTGTATTTTGGAGTAATTTTGCAGTTATCATAACACTGAATAATGAATGAAACATATGCAGTTATCAAATCCATCATTAAAGTATCTCGTAATCATGTTGGTTCATTTGGTCAACCATATCTACTAATACTTTGTGGTATTATTGGTAGTATTCATTCTTGCCTATTTTACTTACATGTAGAGAAGCTTTATTAAAATCTTTCTCAAGTCTACAGGTTTCCTTTATACAGTATATTCACTACATGACAAACTAAAAATAACAGGTCATAATCCATCATCCTGATATCAAGTGATGGTCAAACGTCTATGGAAATATTTTTGGTTTAGGTATGATTGAGACAGGGTCTCACTCTGTTGCCCAGGCTGGAGTGCGGTGGCATGATCTCAGCTCACCGCAACCTCTGCCTCCCAGGCTCAAGTGATTCTCCTGCCTTAGCCTCCCGAGTAGCTGGGATTACAGGCATATGCCACTACCACCTGGCTAATTTTTGTATTTTTAGTATAGACGGGGTTTTACCATGTTGGCCAGGCTGGTCTTGAACTCCTGATCTCAAATGATCCACCCGCCTCAGCCTCCCAAAGTGCTGGGATTACAGGCGTGAGCCACTGTGCCTAGCCAGGTTTAGGGATGATTTTAAATGCTTATGAAATGTTTGTTTTAAAGATTTATTTATATCATAATGTTATAGTGCATTTAGTACCACTTATTACAAATCATTCTGGAATCCATAAAAGTTTTCTTATATTTTTTGTCTGGTTTATGTTAGAGTATGTTATTCTTTAAGTCAGATATAAAGTAAAATAACATAAATCTCTACTTAAATTTCACTTACCCTAGCTTCTCCACTATGATTATTTCATCTACTGATTGTCTGGTCTCTCAAAAGATAGATGAATACTTTTCTGACACTCTCCTCTAAAAAATCAAGGCAGATTAAGCACTTTCCTTCTACACCACCTTGAGCATGTTTCTATTATGGCAACAATCATACTTCTTGGCTCGTTTATATTCATATCTCTTTCATCAGACAGTAAACCTAGCCACAGTCTCCAGCATGGTAGGTACTCAATAAATGCCCATTAATTTCTTTGAGGAAATATTTGGGTATGAGGGCACTATGCATAAATGAATACATGCTTACAGAGAATCATTTAAAAAGATAAATCTCACGAGATAATCTAATCATATAATATCTTAACAGTTACATCTTTTCCATTATGGCAACACAAAAAATTCTCATAATAAAATGTAATATATTTAAACTTCAGGCAAATACTGCCTAGGGTTTTAATTTATAAGCAAATATGAAGGGCTTATGAGTTTGGATGACCAATTGTATTATTCACAACTATATTCCAAGGCCCTACCATAGTACCTTGTTTATAGTAGGAACTCAATAGTGATTTGATAAATTAGTTAATAAAAACAGGTTAACGAATTTGATGCAGAGAGGCACAAGTTAGTAAATGGTATCTGGAGCTAAGAAACAACGAATATAAATAAAAGGTTAACATATAAATTTGAAACTAGGTTGTCAAGTTTACCTGGTTGATGTAAAATCTTGGAAGAAGTGTAGAAAAAAATGCTGCATCTGTCACAATAAATGTTCTTGTTTATTCATAAGCCAGCCCTGTGTGCAATACATCTCTAGGTCTAGCTATTGAAAAACACACACACACACACACACACACACACACAAAACTTCACTTGTTCTTTATAATATTTAGCATTTGAAATACACTTTTGACTATGGCTTTCATTTTAAAATTAAGCTATAACACTGATCTCTTGAGTATTCATTTTACAAAAGAATTTAAAATAGGATTTTATTGTTTTAGCTTTGCTTGTTCTTGCTTAGGTCATGTGTAACAAAATTTGATTTACAAAAATACAAATTATATACTACCTTCCAAGGAAATGGATTTTGCCAAAAGAAAATAAAAATGTGTGTGGGTATTGTGTATTACTATGACATCCAAAATTATAAACAAGTCATTCAAGTTGTGGACATCTTACATCTTTTGCCTATACAGTTGGCCCTCCATATCCATGAGTTTTACATCTGAGGATTCAATCAACTATGGAAATCTGCAGCTAATAAACAATCCACTGTATTGTTTATTGAAATTATTGAAAATACAGCATTGTGCTATCTGTAACGCAATAAATACTGAGATTAAGTATAGACCAAATATTCAATAAAGAAATAATGTCAATTCTACTCAATTTCTTCCAGAAAATATAAGGGAAGAAAACATTTCCCGAATCATTTTATGCAGTCAAAATTATCCCAATAAAAAGGCCAGAGAATTAAATTACATGAAAATACAGTATTGTGTTGGCTATAATACAATAAATACTGAAATAAATACAGTGTTTTCCATCCATGGTTGGTTAAATCTGCAGATGAAGAACCCTTGGATACAGAAGGGCCATCTAAGGGACTTGAACATCAGCAGATTTTGGTAGCCAAAGGGAGTCCTGGAACCAATTCCCCACAAACAAAGGCACAGTCAAAAACATAGTGTACAGTTAGAAGGCTAACTGTATCTGTTACTGGGTTAATCCTTCACCAATGGAGAAAAATTTATGACATGAACACTGAGCAGTCAATATTCTGTCACTTTCCTCTCTGTTTTCCTCAAGAAAAAGAACTTCCCTGTTTTCTAATTCCCTAATTTTTCTATTTAGAATTGATAGTATAAAGAAATACTTTAAAAGTTGCTATAGTTATTTGGATGTCTTCAGAAGTTCCTGCTGTTTTTAAAACAGGGTTATGACTTTACACACTGAATACAGGTGTGTAAACAACTTTGATAATATATCATAAATAGCAGCAGACCTTATGTGTTTATTCATGTTCCAGAAAATGACTATGTTATTGATGACAGTGATACTTACTACTTTAAAATACTTATGTTAAATGGAAGGTGGGAAGCACTTAAACTCGGCGTGCTGGTGGTAAAATGATGTTTATAAACTCAAATACAGCACAAACATTTCACGAGTTATGATTTTTTGATAATGAAAGAGGGAACATCATTAGAGACCCTATAGAGGTTAAAAGTACCAAGTAATACTATAAACAAGTCTATGTCCATAAATTCAGTAACTCAGATGAAATGGACCAGCTCCTTGAATACATACACTACCAAAAGAAACAACATGGCCAGGCGTGGTGGCTCACGCCTGTAATCCCAACACTTTGGGAGGCCAAGGCAGGCGGATCACAAGGTCAGGAGATTGAGACCATCCTGGCTAACACGGTGGAACCCCATCTCTACTAAAAATACAAAAAATTAGCCAGGCGTGGTGGCATGCACCTGTAGCCCCAGCTACTTGGGAAGCTGAGGCAGGAGAATCTCTTGAACCTGGGAGGCAGAGGTTGTGGTGAGCCGAGATCGCGCCACTGCACTCCAGCCAGGGCGACAGAGCAAGAGTCCATCTCAAAAAATAAAAATAAAAATAAAAATAACATGAATAGTTGAATAGCTCTTAAGGAAACTGAGTTCATAGTTTAAAAATATCACAACCAAGAAAACTGCAGGCCTGGATAGTTTCACTGGCCAATTTGACCAAATATTCAATGAAGAAATAATGGCAATCCTACTCAGTCTCTTCCAGAAAATAGAAGAGAAGAAAGAATTTCCCAAATCATTTTATAAGGCCAGCATATTATCCTAGTACAAAAGCCAGAGGATTAAATTACATGACAGGAAAACTAATATCCCTGATGAACACAGATGAAAAAATCCTCAACAAAACTGTAGCCAACTGAATCCAGCAATATATGAAAAGAACAATACAACATGCAAGGTTTATTCAGTATTCAAAAATCAGTCAATGTAATTCTCCATAATCACAGACTAAATAAGAAAAGATGAAGAAAAAGCACTTGATAAAAGTTAATATAATATCTTATTCATGACCAAAACTCGGAGCAAACTAGAAATAGAACCTCCTTAAACTGATAAATGGCATCCATGAAAACCCTAAATATATCATATTTAATAATGAAAGATAAAATGCTTTTGCCTTAACACTGAAAACAGACAAGTCTGTCCATTCTAACCACTACTATTCAGTATCATACCAAAAGTTTTAGTCAGTATAATACAGTAAGGGAAAAAAAAAGCACAGACTGGAAAGGAAAAAGTAAAACCTTTTCTATTCATACGCAATGTGATTGTCATGTAGAAAATCTTAAGGTTTCTAGAAAAAAAACTCTTCAAACTAACGTATGAATTTATCAAGGCTATAAGATACAAGGATAATATACAAAAATCAATTACATTTCTACTTATTAACAATGAACTAACAATCCAATAAAAATATACCATTTATAATAGCACCAAAATCATAAAATATTTAGGCATAAGTCTAATAAATAGATGAAGAATCTGAATGTTGAAAACAACAGAAAAAATCAAAGATGATCTAAATAAATGGAGAGATATACAGTGTTCATGGACCAGAAGACTTAATATTGCTAAGATGTAAATTCTGCCCAAATTGCTCTAACGGCCAACACAATCCCAATAAAAATTCTAGAAGATCTTTTGGTATATATTAACAAGGTAATTCTTTTTTTTTTTTTTTTTTTGAGACAGGGTCTTGCTCTGTCACCCAGGCTGGAGTGCAGTGATATGATCTCTGCTCACTGTAACCTCTGCCTCCTGGGCGCAAGTGTTCCTCTCACCTCAGCCTCCTGAGTAGCTGGGACTACAGGCATGCATCACTAAGTTTGGCTAATTTTTATATTTTGTAGAGACAAAGTCTCACTCTATTGCCCAGGCTGGTCTTGAACTCCTGGGCTCAAGCTATCCTCCCATGTCTGCCTAACAAGCTAACTCTAATATCTGTATGGAAAGGCCAATGAATGAGAATAGTAAAAACAATTTAGATTTAAAAAAAAAAGTTGGAAGACTCATATTAACTGATTGTAAGACTTACAATACCGTAATGAAGATAGTGTGTTCGTAGAAAAGGGACAGACAGATAGATCAATAGAATAGAATAATAGAAAGTCCAGAAACAGACTCACACAAATATGGTCAATTAATATTTGACAAAGGTGTAAAGTCAATTCAATGGAAAAAGGATAGCCTTTTTCAATAAATGGAGCTAGAACACGTGGAAATCTATATCCAAAAACATAAAACCTTGCCCATACCTCAAATCTTCTACACGCATTAACTCAAAATGGGTCACAGACTTACATGGAAAACCCAAAAATATAAAACTTCTAGAACAAAACACAGGAGAAAAACTCTTTGTGAATAGCATAGGATTTGTGATCCTGGGTTATATCCCATGGGTAATTCCTGATTGGCACATACTATTCAGTACATTTCATCCTCCTGGTTACAGTGGCAGGAATCATGGATGATCAGAAGGCCCAATACAAACAATGAAACTCATGGTGACATCTGCTGAGGGATTCTGGGGAAAAATTTCCCCTTACTTAGAGGGCAGATACTGAAAATATGCTGTCTTCTTTCTTAAAGATATGAACAAGAAAACACATAAATCTGCTGACTGCAGTGGCCAACTTGAGAAAATGAGAGCCAGCCTTAAGACAAAGTAGAAACTATAACTGCTGTCCAAAACAGTAGCCTCTGGCTACATGTGGTTACTGGGCCTTTGAAATCTGGCTAGTCCGAATTAAGACATGTTGTAAGAGTAAAATACCAGTTTTGAAGACTTAAGAACGTAAAATATCTCAATTTTTATACTAATTCCATGTGAAATAGTAATATTTTGGAAATACTGAGTTAAATAAAACCTGTTATTAAAATTAATTTTGCCAGGCACAGTGTCACATGTCTATAGTTCTAGCTACTCAGGAGGCTGAGACAAGAGGATCACTTGAACCCAGGAGTTCTGTGCTATAGTGTGCTAAAGCTGATCAGGTGCCCCCACTAAGTATGGCATCAATATGGTGACCACTCAAAGCAGTAGGGAACCACCCAAGTTGCCCAAGGAGGGGTGATCCAGCCCAAGTTAGAAACACAGCAGGTCAAAACTCTCATACACCTGTGAATATAGCCACTGCACTCCACCCTGGGCAACAGAGCAGGACTCTGTCTCTTTTTTTTTTTTTTTTTTTTTTTGAGACAGAGTCTCGCTCTGTCACCCAGGCTGGAGTGCAGTGGCACGATCTTGGCTCACTGCAAGCTCCACCTCCCGGGTTCACACCATTCTCCTGCCTCAGCCTCCCAAGTAGCTGGGACTACAGGCACCTGCCACCATGCCCGGCTAATTTTTTGTATTTTTAGTAGAGACGGGGTTTCACCATGTTAGCCAGGATGGTCTCCATCTCCTGACCTTGTGATCCGCCCGCCTCAGCTTCCAAAAGTGTTGGGATTACAGGCGTGAGCCACGGCGCCCAGTCAGACCCTGTCTCTTTAAAAAAAATGAATTTCATCTGTTTCTTTTTACTTCATAAAATGTAGTAACTAGAATATTTAAATTTTAAAATGTAATAGGCATTATATTCCTATTGGATAGAGTTGCTCTAGGAAGTTGAGAATGCAAAGTAAAACAACACAACACTACAACAACAACAAAGATTACTGATGACATCTTAGAACCTCTGGATCAATTTTTGCCAGAAGTCTTACCTGTCTTTGGATTTTGTGATATATAAACAAATAAATTTCCTTTATAGTTTGTTGGTTTCCATAGAATTTGTTATTTTGCAACTGAACATATCTAATCCAGAAGTACTTCTATAGCCACCTTTGAAGAAATAAAAATATGTTCTGCGGAATTTCCTTTGCAGTTCTTTCACTCTATTTGCATATGCTTATAATGCATTCACTGGTTTTTATAAAGCATTTCATTTCCATTATAGGTATTACAAGTATAACACTGTGTTCAAATAAAGTAGAATATATTCTAACAAGGAAGTTCTCACTGAAATAAGAGCAAAAAAAGAAATTTTCACTGAAATGAAAACCACATATTTATTTTATTAATTCAAATGTTACTGACCCTCTAACTTAGGTTAGGGATGTCAAATAGGCTTCAATGTCACATTAGCTGTCATGGCTGTCTGCAGTGCTGTGGTTCAAAGAATGCTAAGCTGAAGTTTATACAGATGTTTGTCTTGATCAAGACAAGTGAAGGCGTGTGTTCAGATATTTACTTACCTAGCAAAACAGTGCCTGTCCACAGTTTAAAGTGGGAAAAGATGATTCTGATGAGGCGATTTTTTTAAGTGTTTAATTAGTATGTTAAATTTCCCACTGGCCATTCTTTAATAGATGGGGTATCTATTTGATCCCACATTTACAATTTGATCCTTAAGTTCCTAAATACAGATTTTACTATATAAGTCCCAATCGTTTTCTAATATCCTCTTTGACAATGCAGGTTTATAAAATTCTCGGTAGTTTTTCTGTAGATGAATATAAATGTACACACTGAACTTACCCATCTCAAGTGGTTAGGCTGATTTTATTTAATACAAGGAGGCTATCTCTTTTTAAAACAGATCAGGCCAGGCACGGTAGCTCACGCCTGTAATCCCAGCACTTTGGGAGGCCTAGGCAGGCAGATCACTTGAGGTCAGGAGTTCGAGACCAGCCTGGCCAACATGGTGAAACCCCGTCTCTAAAAATACAGAAATTAGCCGGATGTGGTGGCACATGCCTGTAGTCCCATCTACTTGGGAGGCTGGGGCAGAAGAATCGCTTGAATTTGGGAGATGCAGGTTGCAGTGAGCCGAGATTGTGCCACTGCACTCCAGCCTGGGTGACAAGAGTGAGACTCCATCCCTCCGCCCCCGCAAAAAAAAAAAAAAAAAAAAAGAATCACTTGAACCCAGGAGGTGGAGGCTGCAGTGAGATCACGCCACTGCACTCCAGCCTGGGCGACAGAGTGAGACTTTGTCTCAAAATAGATAAATAAATAAAAATAAAACAGATCAAAGGATCTCTATTCACTTAGCAGACGTTACTAAGCATTTACTATGAGTCAAGAACTGTGCTGGGTGCTATGGGGAGAGAAAGAGAAATGCATGGTTCTTAACCCTATGCAGTTTACAGTCTAGTGGGAAAACAGACAAATAATTACAATAAGTTGTAATGTGTACTATAGGGAAAGTACAGAGTATTCCAGAAGCATGTAAGAAAATATCCTAACCTAATCTAGGGAAGTATTTAAAGTAAGACACAAAGAACTAATGGACATTGCCGGGTTGAGAAGTGGGGAAATGGGATGGTGAAGGCGAGGTGGGAGGGTGAATTCACCTACTTAGAGAGAACAGCATGTGGGGTAACAGGCAGGAAAAAGCTTGCCCAACTGAGAAACTTAAAGAAGATTAGCTGGAACATCAAATGCAAAAAGAAAAGTAGTAATAATGTTAGAGATAAGTGAGTGCAAATATGTTGGAGAGTCTTACAAAGCATATTAAATAGTTTGGACTTTACCCTAAGGGCAAGGGTTTAAAAAGACTTAAGGATAACATTATCCATCTTGCTATCCCGTGGGGAAAGAGGGCAAGACCAGCACTAGGGAGTGTCATTAGGAGATTTTACAGTAACCATTCTAGGCCATCACTGACAATGACTTGGATCAGGGTGACTATAGGAGGAAAAGGGAGAAATGGTGAAATGGTGATATTTGGAAACAGAATATAGAAGAGTTAACATGAAGGAAGTAAGAATCAGAGATAATCCTCAGGTTTTTAGCTTGAATAGGTGTTTGATCGTTGGTGTCATTTCCTACAATAAGCAATACTAGAAGTGGAGAAAACTTAAGTATGTTTTTTAAAGCATAAAAAGGCATCTTTGAGATGACTTTGAAACACCCCAAAAGAAATATCTAGTATAAAGTTCTCTCTGGAACTCAACAGAGAGGCCTAGGCTAGTCTGTAAGTGGTAAATGAGGCTATAAAGGTAGATGAGCTTGCTTATGGAGTATGTTTAGACAAGAATAGGGCCTGGAGCAGAGCTCTGAGGAACTTGAAGGGCAAGAAGCAGCCTCCAAAAGAAGAAAACCCAAAACACAGAAGTATCAAAGAAGCCGCAGAAGCAAGTGTTTCATAAAGAAGGAATGATCATTGACAAAAACTGCTGAAATATCAAACCAGAAAACTGAAATTTGTCCATGAATTTTAGCGAAATTGTGAAAAAGAGTTTTGGAGATTAATGAGGGTATACACCAGATTCTGGTGGATTGAAGAGTTCATCAAGAAATGGGGTTGAGAATAGTCAATATTGTCTATAGATGAGAAAACAGAAACATGGCAGAATCTGGATGGGAAAGTGAGGTTGAGGGAGCTTGTGTTTTCTTTTTAAGATGGGAAACACTCGAGATTCTTCAATACTAATAAGATGGAGTACCTATTTTTCATTAAGAAGCTTGAAAATGCCAGATATTCATATCCCAGCTTCCTTTAGAAATACAGTACAGATGCTCCTCAACTTAGCGTAAGGTCACATCCTGATAAACCCATAGTAAGTTGAAAGTATTGTTATGTTGAATACACATTTAATACATCTAACCTATCAAACATCATAGCTTAGCCTAGCCTAATCAAAATGTGCTTAGAACAGTTTCAGTATAGTGTTCAATAAATTAAATGAGATATTCAACACTTTATTATAAAATAGCCTTTGGTTAGATGATTTGGCCCAGCATTGTGAAAAGGTAGCATATCACATATGGCCAGTTGGGAAAGAAGTCAAAATTCAAAATATGAAGTATAGTTTTTACTGAATGCATATCACTTTTGCACCATCATAAAGTTAAAAAATCATTAAGTCAAGCCATGGTAAGTCGGGGACCATCTGTACAGTTGTCCCTTGGTATCTGCAGTGGGCTGGTTCCAAAATACTCCCCTCTGCCCTCCCCCAACCCTGCAGATACCAAAATCTATAGACGCTCAAATCACTTATGTAAAATGGTGTAGTGCTGGTGTCACAACCAGAACGAACCCTCTTAAATAGAGATGACCACTGCAGCAGGGGCAAGTTTTAGGAGCAGCAGCAATAAAAGTCAAGCAGCAGCTAGGCGCGGTGGCTCACGCCTATAATCCCAGCATTTTGGGAGGCCGAGGTGGGTGGATCATTTGAGGTCAGAAGTTCAAGATCAGTCTGGCCAATGTGGTGAAATCCTGTCTCTACTAAAAATACAAAAATTAGCAGGGCATGGTGGCAGGCACTTGTAATCCTAGCTACTCGCCAGGCTGAGGCAGGAGAATCGCTTGAACCCGGGAGGCAGTGGTTGCAGTGAGCTGATATCGCGCCACTGCGCTCCAGCCTAGGCAATAGAGGGAGACTTCAAAAAAAGTCAAGCAGCAGCATTCAGTGGTGCCAGCAGCAGTAAGCAAGCAACAGTATTGCTGTCCTAATCAGACTGCACCTGTGGTGTGGCTCTGACTGGTTTCTGCCAAGGACAGCACCCTCCCCCCAGGTCTTCTCATTGTACAAGCCTGGCTGCAGTCTTCCTAGCAATTCTAAGAGCTTCCTAACATCTATTTAATAAATTTACTTCTAGGTTAAATAGGCCAAAATCAGTTTTTGTTGCTTCCAACTAAGAAATCTGACTGCTTAAGGAATTACAGTAAAAGATGATGTTCTGTCAGTGGTATGGTGGCAAATCGACTCCCCCAGTACAACCACCAGAATATCAGGTTTGAAACACTGACGTGGTCATTTAGCATCACTAAGCAAGTGAACTCTACAATTAGATAATTACTTTCTGAAATAGAGCTGAAGCAGAGTAAGGTACCCTGTCACTGCTCTCTCATTTCATTAGTCTCTGTGATTCTTTAAAATGAGCATGAATTTTAAGAAGAATTGAAAGGTTCCCCTTTCAAAACAAATCAGTAAGAGAAAGAAAAGACAAGGGTTAGGAGAAAATATCTGCAAAACATATTAATATATCTATAAAAGACATGTATCCCAAATACATACAGAATTCTTACAGTTCAATATGATGACAACCCAACTATAAGATGAGCAAATACCTGAATAGATATTTCATCAAAAAAGATATATGAATTGCCAATAAGCACATGAAAACATGCTCAACATCATTAGTTATTAGGGAAATGCAATCCAATACCATTCCCACTAGAATGGCTATAATAAAAAAAGATAGACAATAACAAGTGTTGACAAGGATGTGAAGAAACTGCGACTCTAATACATTGCTGGTGAAACAGTAAAATAGTTTTGCAGTTTCTTAAAAAGCTAAACATAGATACCATGCAAGCCAACAATACCACTTCTAGGTACCTATCCAAGAAATAAAAACATGTTCCCCCAAAAAGTTGCATGCAAATGTCATAAAAGCATTTTTAAAAATATCCTCCAATCTGGAAACATCCCAAACAACCATCAGCTGGTGGACAAACAAAATGTGGTATTTTAAAACAACTGAATGCTATTCAGCAATAAAAAACAGAATATTGATACATGCTACAAAGTGGATGAACTTCAAAAACATTACACTTAGTCAAAGAGACCAGAAACAAAAGGCCACATACTGTCTGATTCCATTTACATAAAATGTCTGGAAAGTACAAATCTGTAAACACAAAAGGTATTTTGGTTGGTATAAACACATAAAGCATGGTGGTTGTCTGGAGCTGGGGTTGGGGCTAGGAATAGGGATTAAGTATAAAAGAACATAAGGGTTCTTGTGGAGGTGATGAAAGTGTTCTGGGACTGAACAGGCTTGAGGCAGGAGAATCACCTGAGCCCAGGAAGTCAAGGCTGCAGTGAGCCATGATCACACCACAGTACTACAGCCTGGGTGATGAAAGACCCATTTGAGCCAAAAATGGGTCTCAAAAAAAAAAAAGTTCTAAAATTGGATTGTCGTGGTGTTTTGCACAAGTTGGAAAATTCACTAGAAGTCATTGAGCAGTACACTTAATACAGATGAATTTTACACCAAATAAATTATATGTCAGTAAAGTTTGTTGTTTCTTTTTTAAAGAAGTTCTCAAGTCTCATTTTTTTTTGGTCTTCATAGAAGGCTACTAAGCACTTTAGCAGGCGAGGCACCTGTAGATTGTTTGCAGGAGCTGTGTCTGGTGTGAAAGACAACTCTTCAGCTTAGCAATGACTCCTAATACTACATAGCATTTGTATATTCTAGGACAGTTCTTCTCAAAGTCTGGTCTGTAGACCAGTATTGATCCATGGGCACTGTTACTGTCTGAAACTGGTCCATGACTAGTTACAGAAATTGAGACTAAGTGTTTAGAAATTTTAATAGCAATTTGACCAATTAATATATCTCCTGAAACTGATATTTGGACTTGTATCATATTTCTTTGGCTATTTTTTCCACTTAATTTTTCTAGTTACCCATTTTTATTGTATTTTACAAAAGACACTATCAGCCAATGAGATTATAAAAATGTTGCGTTACCACAAATAGTTCAAAAAACATTGCTCAACAAAGTTTTTCTACCATCCTACAACTGGCCATCATATAGACTGGTAGGTCAATTATCTTGTCAAACTAACCTTTAAAAAATACATAAACATGCTTTCAAATGCCCCAACTACCCTGGTGGTACAATCAACAGTAATTTTTTTTTTTTTTTTTTAGAGATAGGGTCTCACTCTGTCACCCATCTTGGAGTGTAGTGGTGCGATCATAGCTCACCACAGGCTCCAACTTTGGCTCAAATGATCCTGCCTTAGCTTCCTGAGTAGCTGGGACTACAGGTGCAAACCACTACACGCAGCTAATTTTTAAAAATTTTTTGTAGAGATGGAATCTCACTATGAGGCCCAGGCTGGTTGGTCTCAAACTCCTGGCTTCAAGCAATCCTCCTGCATCAGCTTCCCAAAACACTGAAATTACAGGGAGGAGCCACCTCACCCGGACACAACACTAAATTTTAAGTCCTTCTATATAACCCAGGTTTTTTTTTAAGACAGAGTCTCGCTCTGTCGCCCAGGCTGGAGTCCAATGGCACAATCTCGGCTCACTGTAGGCTCACTGCAACCTCCACCTCCCAGGTTCAGGCAATTCCACTGCCTCAGCCTCCCACATAGCTGGGATTACAGGCATGCGCCACCATGCCCGGCTAATTTTTGTATTTTTGGTAGAGACAGGGTTTGGCCATGTTGGTCAGGCTGGTGTCAAACTCCTGACCTCAGGTGATCTGCCCGCCTTGGCCTCCCAAAGTGCTGGGATTACAGGTGTGAGCCACCACACCTGGCCCATAACCCATATTTTAATAGATGTTCATTTGTTTTTCCATTTTTATAAATAGACTTTCAAGTTTATAATTAAAAGATAAAAATTCAAGCTATATATAATTAATGTCAATTCTTCCCTTTCCCTTAAAAAAGTAGGTTTGAATTTGCAAAATAAATCTACTCTTTGAATTCTAATAAATTATGGTCCTAGGAAAGGTCCTATAAAACAAAACAAGACAAGCTAATTATATTTTCATTTAAAAATAACAGTACAAACCAAATATGTTCCTATGTCCATTTGGAAATTAATCCAAAACATAATATATAAATCAGTATATTTTAGGCTGGGCACAGTGGCTTATGCCTGTAATCCCACCACTTTGGGAGGCTGATGCAGGCAAATCACTTGAGGCCAGGAGTTTGAAACCAGCCTGGGCAACATGGCGAAATCTCATCTCTACAAAAAATACAAAAACTAGCCATACAAAAACTGTGGTGGCATGTACCTGTGGTCCCAGATAATCGGGAGGCTAAGGTAGGGAGGATGGCTTGAGCTGATGAGATGAGGTTGCAGTGCACCAAGATCATGCCACTGGACTCCAGACTGGACAGCAGAGCGAGAACTTGTCTCAAAAAAAAAAAAAAGAAAGAAAGAAAGAAATCAGTATATTTCATATAGTATACAACACGATGTCCCAAATGTATGTCAATGAATTAAATCAGGCAATATAATAACCAAGGATACACATATACTCAAGAGATCTCTAGGAGAGGTGCTTTATAATTCGGTGGTCAGCAAATAGCTGGAAGACTCAGGACAACAGCAGAACAGAAGCCATCTAGGATCCCACAGACATGCTGAGATGCCTGTAGGCCTCTTAAGACACATAATCAGGAGCAGAGGCACATAACAAATCACTGATTGCACTAATTGTTTTTATACTACCTGGATGAGATGTTTAGATAATGTACACTATATAATAGAGATAAACTTAATTACTATCAAAAATCAATACATATCTATAAAAAGGAAGTAATTCAAATCCCGAGTGTCCAACACAAATTAGCAGTATTTGAGCACAATGAACTAAAATGTTTCAGCCACCTTTGGTAACAGGTAGTACAATGGAGAAAATGTAAAACTAGGAGATAAGTGACCTGAGCTCTACCCTGGCAATAAGACTTTAGACAAGAACATCTTACTCCCTTCATTTCCCTATTGGACACAAGTGATAAACTAGATTATTTCTGGTCCTTTCAAGAAATATACATTACAGTTTGTGATTTAAATACCAACAATGCAAAACACCACCACCACAAGGAATACACTGCCTTAAAAGGTTACTGTGCTTCTTCTAAAATGAACCCTATATAGACGATTCATTTGGAAAATAATCTTTCATTTATGCCTTGAAAAGAAATTAATTCCTGCCATAAAGCCATTTAATTATTTTTCAAATAATTTTGATAACATTTTTCAATAATTTTGATAACATTTTCAATAATTTTGATAACATTTAACATTATAACTGACTTGCAATTTACCATCTTGATCACTTTGGAATTATTAGTTTGATAACCCATTAAAAACCATTTTTTTCAAGGCCAGGTGTGGTGGCTCACGCCTGTAATCCCAGCACTTTGGGAGGCCAAGGCCAGCAGATCACCTGAGGTCAGGGGTTCAAGACAAGCCTGGTTCAATATGGTGAAACCCCGTCTCTACTAAAAATACAAAAAATTAGCTGGGTGTGGTGGCTAACGCCTATAATCCCAGCCACCTGGGAGGCTGAGGCAGGAGAATCCCTTGAACCTGGGAGGCGGAGGTTGCAGTGAGCTGAGATCATGCCACTGTACTCCAGCCTGAGGGACAGAGTGAGACTCTGTCTCAAAAATAATGATAATAATAATAATAAGTCATCATTTTCAAAAAGCATTTACTAAGAATCTCTACATACGTCATGTTTGAAAAGTGAGAGGAAATGGACATAAAATTAAACAATGTTTCAAATACTAAGTATTTTATAAATGTAATGTAAGATAACCACACAAATACACAAAATAACTTTTTATACAGTGATTTTTCTTTTAATATAAGCCTGGAGGGAAGGAATTATTATATTTAAAAATCTCATTAACTAAGAGTTAACTCAGGCATGCTGCTCCAAGTAATCTCTTATCCTTCTATAATCTTAAAGTTTCTCTAGATAAAGAAACCACCATCATTAGCAGAAAGTGCAGGAAAGAAGGGCTAACATTTTCCCCAAAAACTACAGAAATAGTAATTAACAACTTTAACAAGTCTATGCTAATTCAGCTTTAAATCCTCTAGCTCTGAGAAGATTAACAATCCATTCAGGTTAGATTTCCCAATGGGTGTTGGTTACTAGAGAATTCATTAGAGTATCTAAAATGCTGGTTTCTGGACCTCTCTGATTAATCTCTGATTAAATTCTAAATAACATCACTTTTATTAGGCAATGAGTCAGCCTGCATAAATTCATGTAGCCAAAATTATGCATATATTCTGAAAACGCATATAATCAAAGCTGAAAAAAATGTGCTGGTAATACAAAGATTGGAAATGTGTTAGAATCAAGTCTTTAGTGAAAATTGAGATGCTGGGTTTAAGTATTTTAAAGAAGTTTAAGAAATGTTTTGGCAAAGTGCAGGAGACTGGCTGATGGGGCTTAGTATATAAAGGCCCATATGAAAGTAATCCAGAAATACAGCAGACATCATGGAAGTTAAGTTAGTCTGCTTAAAACAGAGTTGTTAAATAGGATAAGGCCAGCTGGTAGCAGCCCTTGAAGCATACACAAAAATATGATTAAGTACATTTCATGAAAGGAACCGAAACCTAGCAAAATAACTGAATCACTTCTAGATAGGCAGAGCTTCCTGATTATCCCAAATACCTAAAGATTTGTGAAGTTACTCAGCAAGGCTGATAAATCAAGAGTGAAGAGCATTATTATCTTTTGAAGGCTATAACTGGCATCATCACTGTCCTCCCTGATCCCCTCACAAATCCTACCAACTTGGGGTAAAACAAAATTCAACTGAAATCTAAAACTATATTATGCTTTTAGGCTTTTTGTTTTTGCTTCTCTCTCTCTCTCTGCGTGTGTGTGTGTGTGTGCGTGCGTGTGTGTGCGCATGCACGCGCGCCTGGTTTTTTGTTTTGTTTTTCTTTTGGCTTATTTAAGTAGAAGTTTTCAGTGAACTCACTTTGAAAACAATTCTTTTCAACAACAACAACAACAAAAAACCCTTCAGTTCCTACTGCTCATGTGGAAGCTCTTGCTCAGCCTCCAATTAACCAACCATCATAATCAACCAATATTCTCTAGATTCCCCTTCTAAAACAAACTGACAAGGATGCTTATTAGGCTGTTTCAAACACTCCACTGTGTGCCAACCAAGAGTAAGCTGGTTTATTCCCTTACTGTTTAGACAAGGTGTTCTTGCAACTGTGGAATTTGATTATACTATCTAAACTAACAAAATAAGAGTGTGAAGAGGCCGGGCGCAGTAGCTCATGCCTGTAATCCCAGCACTTTGGTAGGCCAAGGAGGGTGGATCACGAGGTCAGGAGATCGAGACCATCGTGGCTAACACGATGAAACCCTGTCTCTACTAAAAATACAAAAAATTAGTTGGGCGTGGTGGTGGGCACCTGTAGTCCCAGCTACTTGGAAGGCTGAGGCAGGAGAATGGTGTGAACCCAGGAGGCAGAGCTTGCAGTGAGCAAGATGGTGCCACTGCACTCCAGCCTGGGTGACAGAGCGAGACTCCATCTCAAAAAAAAAAAAGAGTGTGAAGAGTTGTTTCTATTAAAAGTAAGTCACACACACACAAAAAAAGGTTCAATGTTTGGCACAATTTAAGACGATTAACTTGAAAAAATAAGAATGCTATTGAATTGAGTATAGGTGAGACTACTGTAAAAGATTTGGGAGAAATGGGCTGGGCACAGTGGCTCACGCCTGTAATCCCAGCACTCGGGGAGGCCTAGGCGGGCGGATCACAAGGTCAAGAGATGGAGACCATCCTGGCCAACATGGTGAAACCTCGTCTCTACTAAAAATACAAAAATCGGCTGGGCATGGTGGCGCACACCTGTGGAGGCTGAGGCAGGAGAATTGCTTGAACCCGCGAGGCGGAGGTTGCAGTGAGCCAAGATTGCACCACTGCACTCCAGCCTGAAGACAGAGCAAGACTCCGTCTCAAAAAAAAAAAAAAAAAGAGATTTGGAAGAAATAAAATATTAAGATTTGACTCATAGATTACAAATGTCCTTAAGGTCTTCCTCCATTTAAAAAAAAAACTGGAAATCATAAGTGATACATTATGGGTATGGTTTATGCATGAAAAACTGATGTAGAGTGTCAACTGATAGAGTCACACACAAAGAAAAGGCGTTGGCCCTAGATCAGAGTTTCTCAATCCCAGTACTGTTGACATTTTGGATGGGAGAATTATCTGTTGGGAGCGGGAGATATTGGCCTGTAAACTGAAGGATGTTTGGCAGCATCCCTGGCTTTGCTATTACCCACTACATGGCAATAGCACTCCCATTGCAGTAGTGGCAATCAAAAATGTCTCCAAATGTTGCAAAATGTCCCTGGAGGGTAAAATCACCAGTTGAAAACCACTGCCCTGTAACCAAATAACTAACAAATGCATGTATGTCTATATATTTTGATTAAAGTAAAATGTTTAAGTCATCAATTTTTAATGCTTTTTACTATAACCAAGTTTTTAAAATCAATTGATCAACTCCTAGTTCAAGTTAAGTCATTTAAGATGTCTTTTGCATACACAACAGGAAGAAAGACAAAAAATAATTCTTCACCTGATCAAGTGCCAAATGAGATATCTTTGTACATGATGATAGTCCCACCTCATCCATATCTTTTGCTGAGATCAAGACAGAAGCACAGGATTATTGAGGAGGTTGGAGCAAGGAAAAAAGAAAGAAAAAACAGCAAAGGGAGAAAAAAAAGGAGATGCAAGAAACAATTCTCAGATGGTTGGAATAGTGGCACGAGGAGAAAGCTTATTACCTCTTGCCTTCTTAGTCCCATTCACAACAATGTTTACCACAGGCCAATCTAACACCAAACAAGAGGTTCCTACTAAAATTACTCACCAAGGTAGATAAATCAAGAGTGAAGAGGATTATTCCCTTTCAAAGGCCACAAGTGGCATCATCACTGCCCTCCCTGATCCCCTCACAAATCCTACCAACTTGGGGTAAGACAAAATTCAATTGTAATCTAAAACTATATTATGCTTTTAGGCTTTTTGTTCGTTTTGCTTCTCTCTCTCTGTGTATATGTGTGTGTGTGTAAAAGAAAGCTTAAATGTATGTGTGTGTGTGTGTGTAAAAGAAAGCTTAAATGTCCACTGGTGGGTAAATGGTTATATTATACTTCATTTGTTTACATTAAGAAAGTGAGGTATGTCTTTACGTGCTGACACCATTATATATTGTTAAAGAAAGAAATATAAGTGGTAGTATGACACCATCATAGAGAATACACTTGTAACCTGAAAGCAAAGCAAATTATTAACAGTATTTATCTTTTGGTATGGCACGTTGCATTTTGCATAACTGCCACAACAATATTTCCATCATACATGCTCTTTGAGAATGTTGCCACTCCTCCCATCAAAAGGTGGAGTGTAGTCTCTGTTCCCTGCTCTCCAACACAGGCAGGCCTGCATGACTGCCTTCGTGAGTAGAATGCTCTGGAAGTAATCCTCAAGTTTCCAAGGATAGATCATAAAAAACAATAAGCCTGACTTCCTTTCTCTTTTGGGACACCTGCCTTTGGAGCCCTGAGGCACTATGTGAGAAGTCTGGCTACCTTGAAGCCACCATACTGAAGAGACCACACAGAGACAGGGAGATGCCTAAGGAGACATTATGTTTTCCCCATAATGTCTCATGAGTAAGCTAGCTCAGATGACTGAAATTACTGAAGCAAGCATACCCCATGTGCAGTACTGAGATCTGTGCCTCACGGTTGGGTCCTCTTTCTGATCCTATCAAAACCAAACTATGAGCTTCCTGAACGGTAGGCCTACATCTAACTCATTGTTGGCTAAATAAGTGGGAGTTAATAAATGAACTGTGAAAATGAAGGAGGGATGGGAAAGAATGTCATTTCTCTGATCCAGTACCCTCAGTACTAGATAGATTGCTGTGTCTAAGTTCTTGACAAGTATTATTGGCTGTAGCTGGTACCAGCGACAGGGGTACCAGAAATTTTAGGTTCACTATCTTCTGAGGATAAATTCAGTCCCCTCACCCCTGCCCCCTACCAGCGGCAAGTCAGCAGAAAATTCAAGGATCTTACACTTCAACTAGGAATCCAATTCATATACATAACATGAAAACTAAACTATTTAGAATGTCACATACCTTACAAGTAAATACAAAAAATTACAATAATGATTGAGTATGTAAATGCAGCTTATATGTCGAGTAAATGACTGGTCTAAGTGTGTCGAGGTTCACTGGGATATGTCTCTTCAGACAGAAGGATTTAACTGGGTTTTAAGTATAAGGTTTTAACTAGTAAGATAAGGATATACAAATACATTAAGTGGGTAAGGTAGCAAATGCCAAGAAACAAAGGCTGAAAATATACAGCAGAAGGAAAGGTAATTTACTTGAATGCAATACAGAAAATGACTTCTGGAATAAGAAAATAAGACATGGAAAAGGGAGGAAAGGAAATGTTAGCAAACCCATCACAAAGCACAGGGACGAAAATTTGGCATATGGCACAATTTGAACTAAGGTATAGTAACCTCTTAAATGACTTGATGAAAAGTTTGATAAAAATTATTCTAAGAGTGCTGTGCACCATGGAATAGAGTAGGGAAGTGGCAGGAAGGCCAGTTTTACTGCTGCAATCATCTCAACAAGAAGTAATGAGGATGGCAACTATAGACAATAAAGGAAAAGAATAATCTAAGAGATGTTATGGGGTGAAAGAATCAGCAGATCACTGACAAATTAGGTGAGAGGAGGAGGGAGAAAAGTACAAAAAGAAAAGTACTAAAGGGAGATTTAAAGCCTTCAAATCTAGGAACTTCAAGACCAGAGGTAATTTTAACAAGAGAGAAAAGAATGATGGAAGAAACACTTGTATAGAAAAAATTTTAAGGGGAAATATTACATCAAATGCAGCTAAGAGCTAAAAAAGGAAAACTCAGAAGAAAATAAATACACAAAGAAAAAATAAATTAGCCAGAAAGGGATTATTTGCAACAAATAGAGAATTCTAAAGATTAAGGAGGGGAGTATTACCTAGGAAAAAGAACAGGACAACTAATAATAAGATAAGGTGTAACAACCACTACTCTAAGCACTTTGCAAATGTTGAATCATATACTCACAAGAATCCTATTATGTATATGAATAAATAGTATTATTTATCTATGCCCAGTTTACAGATGAGACACATAGAGGTTTACACAAAATTACAGGGTTAAGTAGTGGAGATCAGATTTGCACCTAGACAATATGGCTCCAAAGTTCATGTTCACAACCAGCTCAATATTCTAAGAGTAATTAAGACTCCAAAAAGAATGACAGACCTTAAAAGGTGAGAAATTAATTCATGAGTGCAAAGGTTCAAGAGATGGCTGATATTCCAAAGTATATAAGGTTAAAAAACAAACAAAAAAAACTCGCTTACCAGATCCAGAAAATTAGAATAAAGGAGAACTTAATGACAAAAGGTGGGAATAAAAAAAGACTGTCTTCTTAAGAGTTCATATACAAAAATACAGAGTTTAAGAAAATGAGCTGATGCCATAACCATAAAAACTAGATGTTTAGGGCATAATACTGTTAAGTACAACATCTAGAAAAATAATCATATTTACGCAAAATATAGCCCATGTCACGATCTACTGACATAAGCAATCAGAGAGGATGGACACAGTGTTTAATATGAGGCAGGCAAATATCAGGAAAGAAACACTCCCAATTATAAACAGATATTTGAGACTTCCACAGAACAAAGCATATAATAGGTTCTAAGTAGACATTATGCTGTCTATGCATTTTCCAAGCATTCTGAGGACTATACCAATTAGAATTACCTGATATACTTATGAAGGATATATATTCCTGGGCCCATCTCAGATTTTAGGAATCTGGGGGTAGAACTCAGGAAACAAAATATATATATATATATATATTTTTTTTTTTTTTTTTTGAGACGGAATCTTGCTCTGTAGCCCAGGCTGGAGTGCAGTGGCGCAATCTCAGCTCACTGCAACCTCTGCCTCCCAGTTCCCAGTTCAAGCAATTCTCCTGCCTTAGCCTCCCGAGTAGCTGGGATTACAGGCGCGCCATGATGCCCAGCTAATGTTTTAGTATTTTTAATAGAAACAGGGTTTCACCATGTTGGCCAGGCTGGTCTTGAACTCCTGATCTCATGATCCGCCCACCTCAGCCTCCCAAAGTGCTGGGATTACAGGTGTGAGCCACTGCGCCCAGCCAGAAACTAAAATTTTAATACTTTTTCCAGGCAATTCTTCAACACAAAAGTTGAGATCACTGTTTCCTTCTGTTGTAGCCTAAGTGCTTAGAACTCTGTGACTCCCCAACTATTTATCTCCTGTGGCTTTGTAATCTGACTCCAATCTTCTAGGTTCCTTAGTTGCCTATCCTTGACTTGTACTTATTTCTAAAAATCTTGGCCCTGGTTTGGTAATATAATAAAGACTTGGATATGGAAATTTTAGCTCTGAAGTCCATATAAACTCCAATACTGACATAGGAATAAAAAGCTCCAGTTCCTTTCCCTGAAATCATGGAGCTTTTGTTAAATATCACCTATGGTGTTGACTGGACATTGGATTGACCCAGTATGTCAATTCTTTTGTTGCCAGATCTGCAGAGAACAAGATGCTCACTACTACAGACTCAACTATTTGAATTCCTGCTTATTGTCTCTAAAGAAAGAAGGCACAAATTTTCTTGTCAGGGATGAATGACATTTGCTAAGAGAACAGTTGTCACTATATAGATAGAGGGTGCCTATGAGAATGTTCCAGTTCCTAGAGTAGTGATGAAATGAGTTCTCCTAAGATGTCTCTAGATCTTAATGATGGGACAAAAGAATGTCTACTTGATATGAATAAGAGCTTCTTTATTCAATAAGGGATAGTCTTTGATAGCAGCAATGAGGATCCTGATACAATGGCTTCTAGATACTTTCATGCTTAGTAGGTTAGTGATCCAAACTGTAGAGATAGTACGTTCATGTATCCAGGGCTACCTCTCATTCTCCTTCCTTAATCCTAGCTAGTTCTTATAGTCCTACTTTGTCATCTTTCTGGTTTGCCTGAGGTGACTAGAATAAAAAGCAAATCTTAAATTATAGGAGTCTTTTGCTATTTCCAGCAAACTGATCCTTGCAGAAAAGGATTAAATCCAACCTATCTTTGTATCCCACAAAGTACCTCATCACGCACTGCTAGACTTGACATGTTTAACTGAGTGCCTTGTTCAACACCAACAAGAGAACCCTCCTCATAAAAAGCATCTAAAAGCTTAAGCCTCATATAAAAGGTGCTTTCCACGCTACCTCCCACCAAGGTCACGGGATAAGGATAGACATTTAAGTCATGGTGGTCATGCAATGCATTCAGATTTCTCTCTTGCCAACTGAACTAAAAGAAACACACTGTCACCATCAACAGGTAAACTCTAGTTGAAAGAACAGTTCAAGTCAACACCATGGCAAATCAAATCCACTTACCAGTCAGAGAAGCAGAGACTATGAAAAACCAGGGCAATACAAACAGAACTGGAAGGGAGAAGTGAGAAAGGGAGATGAAGCAGACATGGAAGGAGATGCTGAGACAAGAAACCATTTATCACCAGAACGAGAGCTTGAGAGACTAGCTTCTCAGATTCCTAACGTTTCTCCCATTCACACAAGGTCTAGTCACTCTTCTTCAACCCAAAACAGCTGAATCCCTACAACGCCTGTCCTTGAAGCCAAATGATCCCTAATTCAAGCATTATTTTTTAGTACGTACACCAAGACAAATAGAAAGCTAGAAACATAAATCCAAGGAGGAAAAAATAATTCTACCAGGAAAAAACTGAAATCACAGGTAGCCAAAAAGCTTTGTAAATATGAATCTTATTTATCAGGAAGTACCATCAATATTTGTCATATTCCTGCTAATGAAACAAATTAAACTTTGTCTTTTTTTAATAGAAATTATCACAGTATTGACAAATGAAAAATTGTCTCAAACCCAGAGAAGACAAAAATCAGGTGATCTACCTTTATTTGTTAATACATTTGAAAATATTTTGTTAGCCTGTTTAAAGCAGACTTCCGTTGTTGTCTGTAATAATCGATAGTATATTGGATTAACAGCCTCATCTTTTAAGACAGGCTTTATAATCATATGGCTGATTAAGGGGCAGCAAAGTATAACCAACCCTGTAACTATCCTTTAACTTGTACCTAACAAAAATAGTAACCATAACCTCCCCTTTTATTCTGTAAAGATCCTTTTTCTGAAAATATCTTTGAACTAACTTCCTTTAAAGCTAGTTCCCTTGCAACAAGTACAAAATAAAACTATGACATATGCTGACAATCAATTAATCTGACAAGTTTGCATTAACACTGTCAAAACCAAACTAATGTCAAAATAGCTGTAATTTTGGTTATCTAACACAGATTCTAACATATCCTCTCTAGCAACAAACATACCATGTAAGCCTTGAATTTATTTAAAATTTAAATCTTTTTTTGTTTGTTTGTTTGAGATAGAGTCTCGCTCTGTTGCCCAATCTGGTGTGCAGTGGCGCCACCTTGGCTCACTGCAACCTCCGCCTCCCAGGTTCAAGTGATTCTCCTGCCTCAGCCTCCTGAGTAGCTGGGAGTACAGGTGTGTGCCACCACGCCCGGCTATATTTTTGTATTTTTAGTAGAGGCAAAGTTTCACCATGTTGGTCAGGCTGGTCTTGAACTCCTGACCTCATGATCCATCTGCCTTGGCCTCCCAAAGTGCCGGGATTACCGGCATGAGCCACCACGCCCAGCCTCATTTAAATCTTACACATTTTATTTGTGGACAATTTCAATGTTATCGTTAACTTTTACCAGAAAATTTTAATGGGTCCTAATATTATAATTCCTCATTTAAAAAAAAAAAACTAGCCGACCAGTGGCTTACGCCTGTAATCCCAGCACTTTGGGAGGCCAAGGCGGGTGGATCACCTGAGGGGGGATTCGAGACCAGCATGACCAACATGGAGAAACCCCGTCTCTATTAAAACTACAAAATTAGCCGGGCATGGTGGCGCATGCCCATAATCCCAGCTACTCAGGAAGGCTGAGGCAGGAGAATCACTTGAACCTGGGTGGCAGAAGTTGCGGTGAGATGACATCGCGCCATTGTACTCCAGCCTGGGTAACAAGAGCGAAACTCCATCTCAAAAAAAAGAAAAAAAAAAAAAACCTAGCCAATATTCAGATTCTCATAACAAAAAAAAAAATTGGTATGTTTGCAATGTCAGGTTCATCTAAAAAATAAACTTTTAAAAGAAAGTTTAAGTGGAATTTTTCATAAAAACTTTCAGGATGTGCCAATGCAACACTTAATGACAGAGATACACTCTGAGAAACGCACCATTAGGCAATTTCATTGTTGAGCGAACACCATAGAGTGTACTTACACAAGCCTAGGTGGTATAGCCTATTGCTCCTAGGCTACAAACCTGTACAGCATGTTACTGTATTAAACATTGTAGGCAACTGTAACGCACTGGAAAGTATCTGTGTTTCTAAACCTTGGAAAAAGTACAGTTAAAATATGATATAATCTTATGGGACCACTGTCATATATTCAGTCCGTTTTTGACTGAAACATCATTATGTACTACATGACTGTATTACATAAGGCAAAGAGTGAAATTACTGATCCAATAATTGGTTATCTTTCTCCTTAGCTATATTGACAAAACAACAGAACTTATGAAGAGGAGGAGAATCATTCAATCTTTGCAGTAAGAGTTCTGTACCTTGATTTTGGTGGTGATTATGCAATCTACACACCTGTGATAAAATGGCATAGAACTATACACACACATTGTACTGATGTCAATTTCCTGGTTTTAATATTGTATTAAAGTTATGTAGGATGTAACCAATAGGGGAAACTGGGGAAAAGTTACAGTGCCCTCTCTATTTTTGCAGCTTCCTGTAAACTATAATATGCCAAAAGCATCCTAAGGACTTGCCAGCACTTCAAGGGCTCACAATAATCCTATGAAGTAGGTACTATTTTTATCCCCAGTCTATTGATGGGGAAGCTGAGGTACAGACATTTTAAATGATTTGCCCAAGGTCACATAGCTAGTAACTGGCAAAAACCAGGATTTGGACACAGGTGGTATGACTCTCAATTTTTGATTTATGTCAAAGTCTGAGGAGCCACTAAAGGATTACAGGCAAAGTATGGTTGACAATCAAATTCACATTTTATTTTGGCAAGATAACTCCTACTAGGAGCTTAGAATGACTAATGAAAAAAATTCAAACAAGATTAGTTAAGAGACTGATGCAATAAACCAGAAAGGATGAAGATATGAAATAAGAGAACATTAATAGAAAGAAATGTATACAAAATACGAAACCAACTTGACTTCACGATTGGATGAAGAGTGAGAACTTCATCCAATTTCAAGGCTTGACTGACTACACACAAGCCAAGGATTTCATGTTTTAACAATACAATACATTATCAAAATTTTTTTTTTTTTGAGACTGAGTCTCACTCTGTTGCCCAGGCTGGAGTGCAGCGGCGCAATCTCAGCTCACTACAACCTCCACCTCCCAGGTTCAAGCGATTCTCCTGCCTCAGCCTCCCGAGTAGCTGGGATTACAGGCATGCACCACCATACCCAGCTAATTTTTGTCTTTTCAGTAGAGACAAGGTTTCGCCATGTTGGCCAGACTGGTCTCGAATTCCTGACCTTAGGTGATCTGCCCACCTCAGCCTCCCAAAGTGTTGGGATGACAGGCATGAGCCACCATGCCTGGCCTATATTATCAAAATCTTAAAGCAGAACAATTCAGTCTTAAGTCATCCCTGTTTCAGCAGTACCCACAGCATTTCACTTTCTTGCTATAAAAATTGTGACTAGATACAAATTAAAGTTACTGCCACTTGGCAACTCCACGCTACTTAATACGTATACAGTAATGAGGCTACTAATATTTTCAATACACCACATGTGGACCATCTCTGGACATAAGATAAACAAAGAAGCAGCCAGAGAGAATACATACTCAGCATGTGGAATTTAGTCAACATTTTTATCACAATCCACACTCTAAATTTAAGAAAAACCTAAGTGCCCTTTGACTGGATTAGAATCATTTTACCACTTAACAGGAAGGAGTCTAGTGTCACCCATTTTAAGGGTGAAAAAGTTAAAATAATTGATCACTTCAAAGCTAAAATCAGACTATTGTTACTGTTTTTTTTTTTTGCAAATGTTAAAAAAAAACTATAGCCTAAGAATCTGTCAAATATTGCATTAAGATTACACTAATCACTGGAAAAACTTAATGTAACTTCAACTTTATTACCACTATAAGGGTAAAAACCATGCTAAAGCCAGGGCCCTTCCAGGAGCTAAATGCTCTTGGAAAGTGTCCAAAACAATGTTATAGTAAATTTCCAACTTGTTTCATCTAAGGTCAAGGAAAACAAATTATCTAAAGCACTGGATTATGTTTGAATACACTGCAACTAAAAGTTTACATCAAATAATCCCATGGAAAAATCTTTACTCTGCGCCTATGATGGGCCCTAAATCCAGTAAGGGCAATGTGGGGGAATAGCTGCACCTAGGAATCCATGCTACGTCTTACTTACTAATATTTTGAGAAAACTTTCAATATCAATAGCTTCCATTTTGAGAGAACTGTATTTTAACAAAATCTGTGAAAATAATGGTTTGGAATGATAATGAAAATCTCCTCAGCTTCTATAATGTGGACAACATGTGCTGGTTACTCTTTGGTTTCTAGCTTCAGTCAAAGTTCAAGGTCTTCTGCTATTTGTGGCTCAGATTCTTTCTTATGGGAGGCATGTCTGATAGATATACACCAATTTCATAAATAAATAAATAAACATAAAAGTATTTTATGTATGAGTGTATTGTGGGTGTACATATATGGCACTCTAGACAAGCCATGCTTTTCACTCACAACAATGCTTTAATAAATTACAGTTCTACTACAGTGGGAAGTAAAAGCCAACTGTTAACAGAAAAATCTAGCCAAAGAATAGCAAAGTGAGCTACAAAATTAATTCCAGAAGCCAAAGAACTAAATAAAGCTGGTTCACAAAACAAACAAAACCAACACATTTTCAATGAGCACTATTCGGTTTATCTATAAATGTTCATGTATTTAAAAAGTTGAGTGGTATGCCAACTTTCACTTATGACAACATTCTACATAAATACCTGATTCCCAAGAGAAATAATTCAGGTTTAAAGAGCTGTATACAAAAATAAGAGAAGCAAGAGCTACAATGAAATGAACAGAACTAAATTGCACGGGAGCCCTAAATGTGGGATGTGCTGAATACAGTGTACAGGAGACTCAAAATACACAAATTAAGCCTAAATATTCCCAATGTATTCAATATCTATGAAACAAGCAATAGAATTCCAATCAACACTTGCCACAAAAATTGCCATAAGCTGGTTGCTATTTTTTAAATGATGTAACAATGACAGATTTGTTGCCACATATTTTGTAACTTAGGAACACTGAGCTATTAAGTTTCTATTAGCGATGTTTTAACTGAGGATTTGGGCTAGAAGACTGAAATCTGTTTGTACAGCAGTGAAAACGAAGCCTCACTAAAGGCATTCAACTTCCAGCTAAAGGCTCCTTTCCTTGATGCGTATTTGTGACCATACATAGTGTTCACTAAATGCAGTAAACTAAACTAGCAACAGATTAGTTAAAAGCAGCTTAGATTTTCAACTTCCCATAATACAGGCAACATCTTTAGAAGCAATCACATTAAAATAAATGTGTCTTTCACAGTTACGGGATGAAATTGTAAGCTGGACAAGCACCCATGCCCTGGTTTTCTACTTTATTTGTAAACCATATGACTCTCACATGCTGAGAATGTTTTATGCTTTAACCTGCAGTAAAGGCTTTACATCATTTTAATGCCCAGTACTTAAAATGCAACAGAATCACCCCCAACAAATGCTGGGAATATATTTGGTTTACATGTAATGATTTTGATCCCACTAGTAGCCAGAAAAAGTTTAATGAATGCTTTTTCAAGTAAATAACTTTGCACTTCTATAGACAAAACAAAAAGAAATTTTGAGGTAAGGGTAGATGGAAGAGAAAACACTCGTGTTTTTCCAATTTAAAATATTAACAAACATGTTGGTTTTTTACTTCTAAAATAATTATTAAACATTTTTTAAAAAACTCCATGACTATTATAATATGCTTCAGAAAAATAAAACAAAACACTCCGTTAAGTAGTTACGTAGGATTTTTCTCTGGTTTTTGCAAAGTAGTGTTTCAAGTTAAGATACAAGCTTAAAACAAATGATTCTGAAAATCCTGGTCTATCACAAACTAATGGCTTAGTTTTGAATCAACATATTGTATATTCTACATCTGAGATTTAGAAATCACATTTTTTTTTCTATTCAGGTCAATTGAAATATACATGCTACCTCACTCTTTCAGTCCCCCTTATCTGTGTGAATGACCAACAGCAAAAATTTTAAATCAATGGTTAGAGGACATATCATAAAATTACACACTCTATCAATGTGGTTTTCAGTTATCATAGAATCTAAAGGTCCCTTACTGATGATAGGTGGCAGATTCAAGAATTGATAAGTTTGGGGAATATATTCAATTCTCAACAGTCGAAATAGAAATTATGCCAATTTCTTTACTTTAAAAATCCGTTACACTAAAAAAATTGTCACATAAGGATTATTGAAGAACTTAATAAGGAAGTACAAAATATGACCTTAAATTCTCCTAGTGTGTTATTAAATATTAAAAACTGTGAGAAATAAGAGATGTTGCAATCCTTTCCTTTTTAACTCTAATTGAAATTTGAAAAAAAATTTAGAATTCAAATTTCCCAACTTTGACTTAGAAACATAATTCAGCTAGATCAAGCAACTTAATTGCACAATTTTAAAATAAGTTTAATGCAAAGCACTGCAATCCTGATGTGATAATTACCTGCAGCATAAATGCAAAATAATAAATGCATTTAACGATGCATTTTATGGTAAAACCACAAAAAGCACAACCATATTAGCACAAACTAAATAAAAAGACACAGGCGGTATTATGTCCAACAGAAAGAGAAATGTTGTACGAAGCCAAGAAAGAAAGGAAGGACTTAAGGAAGGAAGGAAGGAGGGAGGATAGGAAGGAAGGAAGAGGGAAGCCAGAGGTTTCTGTACCTGCAGGATACCAGAGAAATGAGCTAGTCACATCACTCTACCTTATATGATACATGGGTGATTTTTTTTAAGCTTCAGCGTAAATAAAAACAGTAATCACTTTATACCATTCAACTTTACATAGTGTTATCTTTAATGCCAACTGCATTCTTCCCTTTACTCACCCAATGCTTCTTCACTGTTCCATTCCACCAGCTTTCAGGCAAATGCAAGACAGAACAGGGTGGAGTAGAAGAAAAATACAAGCAGCGCCTTTCGGCGCACCCCCTCTCCCGCAAATAATTTCCAACAGTTCCTCCTGCTACGAAAATAAGTCGCCCTATCTCCAGATACATAACAGACATTCCGTCTCCTTAGTAGACACACACAGACGCGTACACAATCCAGCACTCCCGACCCCCACCCCAGGCCCCCCGAATCTTCAGCAATTATTCATCTAATTCACACGAAGACAAGATACCTCTACCTACTGTTTCGGGGTGAAGGTGGGTGGAGGACGCCTTTCAAAGTAGCCCCAATAGTGTAACCAAAACACGGTTCCGGAATAAAATATTAAGAAACACTTTTCCTTTCCCACCTATCTACCGACTTGAGGATGCAAAAAATCCATCTCCACATCACACCATCTCTACAGTTCTCGTGGCTGGAGTTTGGGGTGGAGATTCGTCCAGGGGAGGGGGCGGAGGCGAGTGGCAGAGTGTGAGCGGGCGACGGGACACAAGCGAGTTGTTGAGCCCGGCCGCCTCGCACCACGTCGCCAGCCCAAACGCCCAGCACCAGGACCTCACGCCCGCCCCTCAGCCCAGGCCCAGAGCGAGCGAGGACTCGCGCTGTCTAACTTCCCATCTACAGACACCGCTCCAAGACGAGCAGAGCACACAAGTACACGTCACACAGTTTAAACACACTTACACACCCCAAACAAACCAACACACCTGCAAATCACCTCACAGTTTCCAGAACTCCACACCGGAGACCCCACCTCCAGGATTCAAACCTTCCGCTCATCGTAGAGGAAACCAGAAGAGTTGGGGGGCAGTCGACGCCTTTCCAGGACCGGACCCCACGAACTGCCCCACCCCACAGCCCGCGTCTGGGTCACCCACTCGGAAGCCCCCTGCTTCCTCCCTCCTCTCAATCCGGCCGCTTACGAGACCCATCCCCAGCGTCCGCTCACTTCCTCCCCAAAACCCCTCCAAAAAAATTGTTTTAAGTGAAGAGAAAGAAGTGAGGAAAGAGACTTGAGGTAGTCCGGCTTCAAAACCGCTCGACTCACCTCAGAATCCTCGCTGAGTTCTCTCCGCCCGGCACAGCCCCCTCCCCAACGTCCCAGTACGAAGGGCTGAGATAGGGAGGAGGGAAGGCGGGAGGGGGAGGGGTGTCTTCCGCGTGGGGCGCCCGTCGGGAGGGGACTGGGGAGGGGTTGAGGCCGGCGCAGGAAGAGGAGAAGGGGGAGGGGAGGCCCCTATCTCCCAGTCTCCCCCTGAAAAACCTCCCTTGTCTCAATCACATCAGACTGACTGTCTTTGTCTGGCTGACAACCGCCATATTGATATCAACAGCCCCTCTCCCACCTGCTGCCGCCGGGCGTCCCTGGGAGTTGTAGTTCCTGCCTCCCCTGAGAAAAATTGCGGAGCCCGGCGCCTAGAGGGCCAAGGGAACTACAACTTCCGGCAAGCCCCGTGCCCATCCGCCTTCCCTTTGGGAGGAGGGAAAGGGGAGTCGGAGCCGTCGGGACTACACATCCCAGAACACCATGGGCCCCAGGCCCGTAAGGAAGACATGATATCATGCTGGGGTGGAGAGGGAGGATGCATTGGCGGCTGGGATGAATTTGAGCTGACGGAAGGAGGCGTTCGGAGAGGAAAGGGAGGAAAAGGAAAGGCGACCACAGTTCCCATGATGCCTGGAGGGGAGACTACATTTCCCATTATTCCCCTGGAAGGGACGTGAGGATGAAAGACTGCAAGTCCCGCGATGCTCTCGGCTGGCAGGTGGCGGAGATTGCACCGGAAGACGCTTCCTGGGTTTGAGGAGTTCAGTGACTGCTATTGAACCACCAAAAGTCCATTATGAAACTGGTGAGTCTTCGCTCCTAGGTCAGAGGGCAAAGGTGATGCTATAACCTTTTGGACCTCTTTTTTTCCTACGTTGGGCAGGGAATCGTCGCACGGGAGGGGTAGCAATTATTGAGCTGGAAAGTGGAGTGGGCTAAGGAAAGCTGCTTTTTGTTGTTGAGAAGGTTTGAATTCCCTCTCCCCCACCCCATCCCTCCCAGGAGGTCTTTTTTCACTCGTTAGTGGGTCTTTTTGTTCAGACAAGAGGTTGACTGTCACAGTCCTTCGCCCATGAACTCTGTGGGCTCTGTTAACCAGGTTTGGACGTCCTGGTTCCCACGTGAGGGTTATAATAGGCTGTTAACAATCCGTTTCCATTCGATTGGCGCTTGAGTATCCTGTCTCCCTACTGTTGTTGAGACTGGCTAGATTTAAGCAGACAGTAAAAAACATCCAGCAGAACGTAATCACTTATTAAATATCCTGTTATATAGACTCCTCACTGCCCTTGGAATTCAGGACGAGGTCAGAGTGTGGAGAAGTTGAGTCTTAAACCCTGCATGGGATTTAGATGGGCAGAGAAGTGTTATATGGTATTCCATTCTAAGACTGTAGGGACTTCATGAGCCAAGGCTGAATGAAGCGTGCTCGGTATACCTGAAGTCTTAACATCACACAGCTCAAGCACCTGGTTCATGGAGGCTCCTCAGACCTTTGATTTGAGCCATTTGACTCATTGTGCACACAAGTCTAACTAGTTTATTCCAACTCGATTCAATTAGTTAATAACATAGTGTAGAAAGGCAGGTGTGAAACACTGTTTCTCAACCTTTTAAAACCCATATTTGTGCAGCCAAGTTATTGTCAAGCTTTACTTGAGGCAGGAGAATCGCTTGAACCCGGGAGGCAGAGGTTGCAGTAAGCCAAGATCGCGCCACTGCACTCCAGCCTTGCAACAGCGCGAGACTCTGTCTCAAAAAAAAAAAAAGTTTATTTTTTACCATTTATATAATTATCTGAACATGCTTTGCCAAACCACACAACACACCTACCCTCATCTTGATAATCATTGTGCTACAGGCATATATTCTGCAAAGCCAGCTGTTTTCTGCGAAGTCAGAGAAAGTATTAAAAGTGGATTCAATTCCGAAATTGTCCCCGTATAAATCTGTTTATATAAGGGGAAGGATGCGGGTCACTAAACCTTGAGAATAGCAACTTACCCCTGGGTCAGTGTGTTACACATTTAATAATGCAGAATTAAAAGTCATAGCCGTTGCCCTACAGAAGCATGCAACCTAAGAAGAAGATAGAAAAGTAAACCAAAGTTATTATTTATTTATTTAGAGACAGGGTCTGGCTTTGTGGGGCCCAGACTGAAGTGCAGTGGCGCGTTCTCAGCTCGCTGCTACCTCCACCTTTCGGACTCAAGCGATCCTCTCGCCGCGTCAGTCTCCCCATATAGCTGGGAATACAGGCGCGCACCACTGCACCCTGCTTATTTTTTTTGTAGAAATGGGGTTTAACCATGTTGCCCAGGCTGGTCTCAAACTCCTGGGTTCAAGGTATCTGCCCACCTCAACCTTCCAAAGTGCTGGAATTACAGGCATGAGCCACCATGCCTGGTCCGAAATTATAATTCACTGTGTTCATGGTGAAATAGAGGCGTGTTCAGGGTTTTGGGAATTCAGAGAACAGAGGATTGGGGAGGTCAGGGGACAGCTTCCTGGAAACGTGACTCTTGAACTGATAAGGATAAGTAAGCCAGGGCCTTCCATGAAAGAGGTCAGCTTATAGGAGCATAAGAGCTTGGTACCTTATTGGCTAAAGCATGGACCCTGTGTTCTCAATAAAGAGCAAATTATATTTAATGTGTTCAGTTTAAGAAGGCAGGGAAGTGTGAAATAGTTTTTCCCATAACAACTCATTAGTGAGGGTATCAAAAAGCCAGGGTTTACTTTACATATATTTTAGTTTGCTCATAAAATCCTCCTGCTTAATTTATTTAGAAATATGAAACCGGGGATTGTAAAAAAGTGGAAAATTATTTTTTCCATTAAGAACCAAAGATGTCTCAGAGGAAAAGGAAGTATTCTATTGATACTCATACTCCCTCTTTACTTTGCAACTATGTATTACATACTAAAATTTATTTGGTAGTTGATAGATAAATGTAATTGAGAATTCCCATCAACATACCAAAAGCATTGTTGCTCAGTAAGTTAGATGGGTGTGTCATGCCTCCCAAATGGTTGGAATAAGTCCTCCCATGGCCTAAAAGTTTTAATTTTGTGTACTGCTTCAGAAATATGTAATAGGCTGTGTTTTAAATTTATAATTATGAAACAAAAACACATTTTGTTTAGCATTTTCTCATTTTTGAGATTCACTTTCCAGAGTACCCTTCCCACACACAATCTATGACCACCTCTTATTGATTCTGCTTCCTAAATGCAGCTTTCTTAAATAGGTTCTATTTCTCTCCAGTCCAACTAGAATACTGTCTTTGTAATCGGAATTCAACAAGACCCCTTATCTGGTCTCTCTGCATTCAGTCTTAACCCTCTCAAATTCATTCTTTCCTCTGCATCCGGAAGTTGTTTTAATTGCAGAGTTCCATGAAACCCTCTCAGTATCTTCCTTTGCCCTTAGGATAACCTCCTACACTTAACTTGGTTGAATATGTTCCATTGCCTGCCTCACTCTTTTTTGCCTGGCTAATTTCTTCATATATTTCAGATCTCTGTCTAAATAACACTTCTTCAGGGCCTCGTTGAATTAAGTACCCCTGTTATATATTTGATGGCATACTTCCTATTTGTAGCACTTGTAATTATTGGCGTGTGTCTGTCCTCCCCCATGTAGATTCTGTGTAAATAATTGGTAAATAATTTCTGAAGGTTTATCAAGGTCTATGGATACCCTTGAGAAAAGATTAAAGAGTGAAATTAAAGAGATTACAATAAGCAGTAACCATTGAAGTAAAAAAGGAATGATAGCTACCTTTTATAAAGCAATTATTGTGTGCCAGGCAATGTGCTAAGTATTTGCTATGTAGTTTCCCATTTAATCCTTTGATCCAGGTGACAGTATTCCCATTTTACAGACAAAAAATGTGAGCTTCAGGGAGGTGAAGTAAGTGGCTTAAAGTTAGCATGGATTAAAAATGATAGAGCCAAGATCGAAACCCAGGTTTCCCTGTTATTTAGTGAGGGTAGGAACTCTAGCACCCTGCACCATGCCTAGGTTATCTCTTAAAAAAAAAGAAGGTAGAGTGCATACAGAAAATATATTCAAGGCTATTTTTAAAAATTAGCTTTAAATGCAAGTGTGGTTCAATTAAGATCTTCAGGCCAGGTGCAGTGGTTCATGACTGTAATCCCAGCACTTTGGGAGGCGGAGGCAGGCAGATGGCTTGAGATCAGGAGTTCTAGACCAGCCTGAGCAACATGGCAAAACCTGTCTTTACAAAAGATACAAAAACTAGCTGAGCGTCGTGGCATGTGCCTGTAGTCCCAGCTACTTGAGGGGCTGAGGCAGGAGGATCACTTGCGCCTAGAAGGTTGAGGCTGGAGTGAGCTGTGATGGCACCACTGCATTACAACCTGGGTGACAAAATGAGACCCTATCTCAAAAACAAAAAACAAAAAAAAGTTTTTAAGGTTATTGGTTAAAAAAAAATTTTTTTTAAGTTTGAGGACTTTCTTGATGAGCTAAAGGCCCCCATATCAGAGCATACTAATTTGGTGCTGAAGTTAGTATTTTTTATCTTCCAAATTTAGCTCCTGTGATACCATTTATAATTCTCTAACTTTGCACATCACCCTCTTGGTGGCTTTTCACACACCCACATGAAAACAATGGATGCCATTATAACGTAATACTTGGGTATCTCCTTCTTAGATACCAACTCAGAGGATTTCAGTGGCTTTCCGTATTTATAATATGCAATATTCAGGCAGCTTTATTTAACTGAAGAAAACTCATTGGCATTTTCAGTTAACCAGAATCATTTTAGAAAGCAGAGGAAAATTAGAAATATATCTTTTAAATTAGCACATTTTAGAGCATGTTCTGTTATTTGTATAGATTGAGCCTAACTGAGTACGCTGATGGCCAGTTCAGCTAAGGATAGAAACTGGAATTCACAAAGGTCCTTACCGAAAGAACATGGAACAAAAAATTCTGAGCACGTTGACAGAAATTAAGTTTGAAACATCATGGCCAGGAACCCAGTCATTTAAATAGATGAAGAGTCAAGCGAATAAAATAATCCAAAGCAGTTCAAGAATGCAGCCTGTGTGTTGTACTTCCTACAGATAGTACCTGAGATGGAGAGAATCTTCTGGCTTATTCAGTCAACAAAGATTTTTTATGCAACCACAGTATACCCTTGGCATTCACAATTTTAACGCTTTCCATTTTAACCATTACATTTGACCCCTGTGACATGGAATTATTTATAATTTTGCTGAGACACAAATTTGAATGTGACTTTAAGATTAATGTTAATCCTTTGGGAGGGGCCTGAGTGCCTCAGAATCCATGGCGCTCTGCAGAGGCCGGCTTGTTAAAAGTCTTAAAGGAAGGTCATTTAAATGCTTGTTATACTATACTTATTAAATTTGAAGGAGAAAATTACATGCTGTAGTTGTGTTTACAAATTTTAAAACTTGAGAAGGCCACGAAATACATTCTTCAGTGGTCTTTGCTCCTTTGTTCAAAATGCTGTTTCATTTCTACTGGCTCAAACTTTTAACTTGCCATTTCTCCTGGGAAAACAGATGGAGCAAAGAAATGAATTCATGGACTGCTCCCAGTGGAAGACAAGTAAAACACCGAGTGCAATTGTAGATTATGTAGAAGATTGCTTGAAAGGGGCAAATCCTGCCCCAAGGTCAGTTTAAGAAATCATTAGAAAGGGGCGTGGTTAATCCTCACCTTGGATCTGAGAGTGTTGGATTCTTCCTCCAGTTTACATGGTTGTAGAATCCTGTTGGCTTCCTAGGTTGTACATGAAAACAGGAAATCTCGGGCTATAAATTACAAGCCCTCAACATTTTATCGGTGCTTGATTCAACTATTGCAGTACAAATTGTTAAAATGTCAGCTTGACTTCACTGTCTTTTCTGTTTTTCTTTGCTGGTTAATAAGAGTGCCCTCCTGTGTCTTTAGGATGTAATGTCATTTCAAGCTTTTCAAAGGTCATATTTTATCATAACCTCAATAGGTTTTTTCCTTCATGATTTCCTCAAACTCTGAAAAGCTGCGTGTGACATAAGGCTAAGTTACATACCTTTCTCAGTAATGGTCTGTGATAAAGATGGATATTTTACTCTTAGGCATTTCAGAGTCCAAAATTATTATTCTGAAGATTAAATATTTTATACTTAACAAGGCAAAAAAATATATCGGGCCAAGCACAGTGGCTCACACCTGTAATCCTAGCACTTCAGGAAGCTGAGGAGGAGGATCACTTGAGCCCAGGTGTTCCAGACCAGCCTGGGCAACATAGTGAGACCCTGTCTGTACAAAAAAAACTAAAAATTAGCTAGGCCTGGTGTCTTGTGCCCGTAGTCCCAGCTACTCAGTAGGCTGAGGTGAGAGGTTTGCTTGAGCCCAGGGATTTGAGGTTACAGTGAGCTGATTGCACCTCTGCACTCTAGCCTGAGTGACAGAACAAGGCCCTGTCTCCAACCAAAAAAAAAAAAAAAAAAAAAAAAAAAAAAGATACACTGATGACAGACTTTTGGTAGTAGTAGTTGAATTGAAAAAAAAAATCTGGCTTACCTATGGTCAATCAGCAAAGCCAGAAGACTGTACTAATAGAAGTATTACAGCATTACTCTTGCTATAACCACGGTACCACAGTAGCATATTTGTTTTGTGACTGGTTTGCTCTGAGTACTCATATCCCTCTGGCATTTGCTCTGATGTTCAGCAATATTTAGTTAACAGTTCACAAGGGCCCAGGTTGCAGCATGGCCACCAAGTCATTCCACATGGAAAATACACTCCTGGTTTGCTGAACACCAGCAGAGGTCCAGGCATAAACCAACCCTCAGGTCTCCATCATTCATGTATTTACTCAACAAATCTTCTGAACACCTGCTCTGTACCAGGCATTGCTCAAGATACTAAGCATATTGCAGTGAACAAAACAGATTTATCCCCAGCCTATATGGAACGTGAAGCCTAGTGGGTTTACTGTCCAATTCAAGCAGTATTACATTGAATGTCCTGATTAGAGATACCCTTGGGCTCAGGCTCAAATATTTTTGTTACATGTAATGGTCAAAACTGTATTTAATTGTATCCAGTAATATGCTTTCTGAAAATTTTAACAGATAAGGCCAAATTGCTCACTAGTTTTCCATTGTACAGGTAGTATATGAGAATGCATTTTCCCCACCCTTGCCAATGATGCTGTTTCTTTACTTTTACTATTTGTCTTCTGAATGTAACTTTCTTCTTTGATCTATCCTCACATGCTCTCAGTCTACTATAGACTTCATCCGTGTTTAGTAAAGTGTCCCTGGAGTAGTGATTGCAGACGTGGGAAGATGGACCAGAAAGGGGAACACATTTCTTCAGATAAAAATATGGTGCCATAAGAATCTTCAAAAGGAAGCTTGTAAAAGATCTATGGTGTTGCTTTGGAAATGCCAGTGCATAGATGTAGGAATTAAGATGATGGTACTGTGAGATCAGACAGATTGGAGAGGCAGCTGGGGAAGTGTGGGTAGATGGCAGAGGAAATCCCCTATACTCCCCAGAAAGGGGAAGGCCAGTGA
The DNA here is from genome assembly GCF_000001405.40 of Homo sapiens. Classification (NCBI taxonomy): domain Eukaryota; kingdom Metazoa; phylum Chordata; class Mammalia; order Primates; family Hominidae; genus Homo; species Homo sapiens. The sequence continues at coordinate 28,883,103 of NC_000008.11, read as the reverse complement.
GAGGAAGCCTGGAGTTGACACATCAGGCAGGGCTAAGAAAGGGGTACGTGCCAGAAATTTGCAGGGATCGCAAGAAAAGGCAAGAGTAGGAAAAGAAAGGACAGGAAGGGAAAATAGAGAAGACCCTGCAAGAGAAAGGCACTGGCTTGAAAGTCGCAAGTTGCTCAGTGATCAAGACTAGTAACTGTGTGGTGGGAACTTTACTGTGAGAAAAACAACAGGTTTAAATGGCCCCTGATTTACCATGAATTTGAAGGAAATGCCTCAAAGATTTAAAATGTTTAAATTTATTGAAAGCACATTTGAATGAACTTTTAGCTCTCTCAAAGACAGGTAATCAGACAAATGATGTTCAAGAAAGCTATTCTTTAATAGGTATTGTAAAACTAACACCTTTTTTGGCTTTAGGGTAGTTTATTTCTCATCACTGATGTTTATGAAGAGGTGGGGGAGGTGTATAATAAGATGTCTTGCATAATCCATTTCTCAGATTTATGGCTTAATCAGAGTCTCTTTTTCTAAATACATTATGTCTACATTTTTCTTTTTTTTTTTCTTTTTTTTTTTTTTTAGCTGTTAATATCGCTTGCATATATTTCTTTTTTTTTTATTTTATTTTATTTTATTTCTATTTTTTTTTTTTTTATTGATCATTCTTGGGTGTTTCTCGCAGAGGGGGATTTGGCAGGGTCATAGGACAATAGTGGAGGGAAGGTCAGCAGATAAACAAGTGAACAAAGGTCTCTGGTTTTCCTAGGCAGAGGACCCTGCGGCCTTCGGCCTTCCGCAGTGTTTGTGTCCCTGGGTACTTAAGATTAGGGAGTGGTGATGACTCTTAACGAGCATGCTGCCTTCAAGCATCTGTTTAACAAAGCACATCTTGCACCGCCCTTAATCCATTTAACCCTGAGTGGACACAGCACATGTTTCAGAGAGCACAGGGTTGGGGATAAGGTCACAGATCAACAGGATCCCAAGGCAGAAGAATTTTTCTGAGTACAGAACAAAATGAAAAGTCTCCCATGTCTACTTCTATCCACACAGACCCGGCAACCATCCGATTTCTCAATTTTTTCCCCACCCTTCCCGCCTTTCTATTCCACAAAACCGCCATTGTCATCATGGCCCATCCCCAATGAGCCGCTGGGCACACCTCCCAGACGGGGTCGTGGCCGGGCAGAGGGGCTCCTCACTTCCCAGTGGGGGCGGCCGGGCAGAAGCGCCCCTCACCTCCCGGATGGGGCGGCTGGCCGGGCGGGGGGCTGACCCCCCCACCACCCTCCCGGACGGGGCGGCTGGCCAGGCAGAGGGGCTCCTCACTTCCCAGTAGGGGCGGCCGGGCAGAGGCGCCCCTCACCTCCCGGACGGGGCGGCCGGCCGGAAGGGGGGCTGACCCCCCCACCTCCCTCCCGGACGGGGCGGCTGGCCGGGCAGAGGGGCTCCTCACTTCCCAGTAGGGGCGGCCGGGCAGAGGCGCCCCTCACCTCCCGGACGGGGCGGCTGGCCAGGCGGGGGGCTGATCCCCCCACCTCCCTCCCGGACGGGGCGGCTGGCCGGGCGGGGGGCTGACCCCCCCCACCTCCCTCCCGGACGGGGCGGCTGGCCGGGCGGGGGGCTGACCCCCCCCTCCCCCCTCCCGGACGGGGCGGCTGGCCGGGCGGGGGGCTGACCCCCCCACCTCCCTCCCGGGCGGGGCGGCTGGCCGGGCAGAGGGGCTCCTCACTTCCCAGTAGGGGCGGCCGGGCAGAGGCGCCCCTCACCTCCCGGACGGGGCGGCTGGCCAGGCGGGGGGCTGATCCCCCCACCTCCCTCCCGGACTGGGCGGCTGGCCGGGCGGGGGGCTGACCCCCCCACCTCCCTCCTGGACGGGGCGACTGGCCGGGCAGAGGGGCTCCTCACTTCCCAGTAGGGGCGGCCGGGCAGAGGCGCCCCTCACCTCCCGGACGGGGCGGCCAGCCGGGCGGGGGGCTGACCCCCCCACCTCCCTCCCGGACGGGGTGGCTGCCGGGCGGAGACGCTCCTCACTTCCCAGACGGGGTGGTTGCCGGACGGAGGGGCTCCTCACTTCTCAGACGGGGCGGTTGCCAGGCAGAGGGTTTCCTCACTTTTCAGACGGAGCGGCCGGGCAGAGACGCTCCTCACCTCCCAGACAGGGTTGCGGCCCAGCAGAGGCGCTCCTCACATCCCAGACAGGGCGGTGGGGCAGAGGTGCTCCCCACATCTCAGACGATGGGCGGCCGGGCAGAGACGCTCCTCACTTCCTAGATGGGATGGCGGCGGGGAAGAGGCGCTCCTCGCTTCCTAGATGGGATGGCGGCCGGGCAGAGACGCTCCTCACTTTCCAGACTGGGCAGCCAGGCAGAGGGGCTCCTCATATCCCAGACGATGGGTGGCCAAGCAGAGACGCTCCTCACTTCCCAGACGGGGTGGCGGCCGGGCAGAGGCTGCAATCTCGGCTCTTTGGGAGGCCAAGGCAGGCGGCTGGGAGGTGGTTGTAGCGAGCCGAGATCACGCCGCTGCACTCCAGCCTGGGCACCATTGAGCACTGAGTGAACGAGACTCCATCTGCAATCCCGGCACCTCGGGAGGCCGAGGCTGGCGGATCACTCGCGGTTAGGAGCTGGAGACCAGCCCGGCCAACACATCGAAACCCCGTCTCCACCAAAAAAAAACGAAAACCAGTCAGGCGTGGCGGCACGCGCCTGCAATCGCAGGCACTCGGCAGGCTGAGGCAGGAGAATCAGGCAGGGAGGTTGCAGTGAGCTGAGATGGCAGCAGTACCGTCCAGCTTTGGCTCGGCATCAGAGGGAGACCGTGGAGGGAGAGAGAGGGAGAGGGAGAGGGAGAGGGAGAGGGAGAGGGAGAGGGAGAGGGAGAGCTATGTCTACATTTTTCTATGCCATTAAAATAAAGGCAAGCATAATGAGATATTCTAGCTTTATAAGTCTTCTTTCCTCTATTTTTTTCCAGCATGTGGAAATATGGGTAAAAAGCAGTAGTTTTAATATGTAAATGATATTATTATAGTTACCTTTTTTTACATTGTTTAAACAGCTTTTTTGAGGTGTAATATGTAATATGTAAAATTCTTGCATATAAAACAAAATTCAATGACTTTTAGTAGATTTCAGAGTTGTGCCTCATTCACCACGATCCAGATTTAGCGCATTTCCATTACTCCAAAAAGATCTCCGTTACTACCTCCAGGCCTCGGCAACCACGAGTCTCGGTAGATTTGCCCTTTCTGGTCATTTTATGTAAATTAACTCATTTGATATGGGGTCTTTTGTGGCTAAGACATCTTCTTTCATTTGGTGTAATGTTTCTGAAGTTCGTTCATGTGGTAGCATATATCAGTTGTTTCTTTTTTCTTGCTGAATAATATTTTCCTCTATGGGTACTCTCCATTTTGTTTATTCCTGCACCAGGTGATGGACATTTGAATTGTTTCTGCTTTTTGGCTGTTATGACTGTGTGGACATAAGTTTTCATTTCCAATTTCTCCATGTTTTCACTTCTTTTTCTTGCATGATTGTACTAGCTAGACCCTCCAGTACAGTGTTGAATAGAGGTAGTACAAGCAGGCATCATTGATTTGTTCCTCATCTTAGGAAGAAAATATTCAGTTGTTCACTCCTAAATATGATGTGAACTGTACGTTTTTCATAGATGCCCTGTATCAGGCTGATGATATTCCCTTCTATCCAGCTTGTTGAGTATTTTTATCGTAAATGGTTCTTGGATTTTGTAAGATGCTTTTCCTTCATCTATCAAGGTGATCATGTGGTTTTTGTCTTTATATTAATATATTACTTTAATTGAATTTTGAATGTTAAACCAGACTTGCATTCCTGGAATAAATTCCACTTGATCATGGTGTTTAATCTTTTGTATATGTTGCTGGATTTGGTTTGCTAACATTTTGTTGAGGATGTTTGTGTATATATTCATGAAGGATATTGGTCTGTAGTTCTCTTGTGATATCTTTGTTTGACATTGGTATCAGGTAATATTGTTCTCATAGAATGCGTTGGAAAATGTTTCCTCTTCCTCTGTACCTCCTCTATGTTCTACAAGAGTGTATGAAGAATTAGTATTATTTCCTCTTTAATTTTTTTTTTTTTTGAGACGAAGTCTCACTCTGTCACCCAGGCCGGAGTGCGGTGGGCAATCTTGGCTCACTGCAATCTCTACCTCCCGGGCTCAAGCGATTCTCATGCCTCAGCCTCCAGAATAGCTGGTACTACAGGTACCTGCCACCACACCTGGCTAATTTTTGTATTTTTAGTAGAGACAGGGTTTTTCCATGTTGGTCAGGCTGGTCTCGAACTCCTGACCTCAAGTTACCTGGCCGCCTTGGGGCCTCCCAAAGTGCTGGGATTATAGGCGTGAGCCACCGCGCCTGGCCCAACATTTTTTTTTAAGTAAACTATACAAGAGTTTTTTGTTTTGTTTTTTTTTTAAAAAAAAAAAAACAGTGAAGGCCAGGCACAGTGGCTGACACCTATAATCCCAGCACTTTGGGAGGCCAAGGCAGGAGGATCACTTGAGCTCGCAAGTTTGAGTCCAGCCTGGGCAACACAGTCAGACCCTGTCTCTACAAAAAAACAATTTTTTTTTTTTTTTAGCTGGATGTGGTGGCACACACCTGTAGTCCCAGCTACTCAAGAGGCTGAGGTAGGAGGTCCACTTGAGCCCAGGAGGTCGAGGCTACAGTTAACCATGATCGCTCCACTGCACTCCAGCCTGAGCAACAGAGTGAGACCGTATTTCAAAAAACAAAAACAGTTAAATGATTCCCTCCCACTCTTTCAGTCTTTATCCTCCTTTCCAGAAGGAATCTCAGTTATCAGTTTCCTTTGTATTTTTCAAAGATATTCTGTGGATTTTTGTACATGTATATAGTTTTCATCCCTATTTTATTTTTTACAAAAATAATGAGATATTATCCACATTGGTTTGGCATATTGATTTTTCTTTTTTAAGTTAGAGATGTGTCTTTAAGATTATTTCATATAAATATCTAGAACTACCTCATTTTGTAAGACTGCATACCTATACCTAATGAACAGAATCTGCATTTAACAAGATCCCAGTTCTTTTGGTTTCAAGATACTTTTTTCTGAACAATGAGATATTTTCAATACTGCTTTCAAATACTTTTAGAAAATATTTCTAACACCCTTTGTATTTTCGTTGCTTGTAGGAAGCATTTAGAATTGTGGATATTTGCCTGAAAGATATTGTTCCACCACCAACACCCTCCCCCAACTATTTTAAAAATCATTCATGATTAAAGTTTAGGGCATGGTTTTTGTTGTTGATTTAAAACATAATTATGAAACTAGTGTCAATATATCTCAAAAATACATTCATACTGTTGCTAAAAGAAAAACCGGTTGCATAGTGTTCTGTTGTTTAAATATACCATAATTTATCTAACCAAACTTCTATCAATTAACATTGTTTCCAGTCTCTTGCAATTACAACTCACATTTTACAGATTATCTCCTTTTTGAGCCTCTTAGGGAGTACATCTGTAGCATACATTTCTACTGGTGAAATTGATGGTTCAAAGGGTATATGCATTTTTTATTAAGGTTTATTGCAAAAATGCTCCCATAGAGATTTATCAAATTGCAGTTGCCAGTAGCATATCCTAATGCTTACCACTACAATGTAATGATCAAACTTGTTTTTTTCTCACTGAAAAGTGAAAAAATATTATGTCATTATATTTTAAATTTGATTTTTCTCACATTATGTATGCAATGTGGAGCATATTTTTATATATTTATAAAAGCATTTGTATTTCCATTTCCTGCTCAGTTCTCTTCCTCTTGATCTATTAATATTCCAGTAGTAAACTATTTTACCCTATGTAGTTCTGGAGTATATTTTAATATCTTATAGTATTTGTTCCTGTTCATTGACCTGTGCCTCAGAATTTTCCAGGCTGCTCTCAGACATTTATTTTTTTGTATAAAACTTAGATTTTTACATTTTGTATAAATTTAGAATTATTAGTTCACAGTAAAATCCTTTTTGTGTTTTTATTGGGATCAGATTGAATTTATAAAATTTAAGGAGAGAATTGACTAATTTCTTTTACTGTATCATTGAGTCTAAGAATAAGACATGTCTTTTCCTTTATTTCTTTTTTTAAATGTTTCTTTGTAGCATTTTAAAACCTTTTGCTAATATAGCTTTTAGATATTTATTGTTAAATCTGTATCTAAATACTTTATCTTTTTGATTGTTACTGAAATCTTTTCCTGTGTGGTTTTCATATAAGAAGGCTATTTATTTATTGTGTTCACTACACAGGCCCCTTGTTGAATTTTAATTTTTAATACCCTTTCCAGTTGATTCTCATGGGTTTTCCAGGTGCATAACTTTGCAGATTTTTTTTTTACACTTCATTTCTTTCTCTGATGTAATTGCAGTGGCTTATACGTGCAGAATGATTTGGAATAGGAGTTTTGGTAGTAGGCGTCTCTATTTCTGATTAGAGTGGGCATTCTTTTTAAACTTATCAGGTGACTGTGATACTGACTTTTGGCTTGAAATTTTTATGTATTTTAATTTACGTGCTGTAGCTGACTGCTTTCTTGTTCCTTAATTTTCTAGTCATTAGTAAAGAGAGACTCTTTTACATAGCCTAACAATAAGTTATTTTTCTAAAGAGAAAATGTATTTGTGTTTTATTGTGTGTCCTAGGCAGTTAATTATATCTTGTAAGCCCTTTCCAGACTTTTGAGTAAACAATGGATTTTATAACTTAAAGTCTTAGGTGGTGCATAACAGACTCATAGAAATAATGGATTTCTACACATGATCCCTAGCCAAAACACAGGGAAGAAATGAGTAATAGATTTCTATGACCTTAAAAGAAAATTGCAAGGTTTCCTTGGAAAACAGAACAGCCAGAAATAGTTTCTCTGTACTTCAGAGATAGGCCTGATAAACCCAAGAAATGTAAACAATCAATCTGTTAAAATAAACGTAATGGCCACCCACACACACCCCCCAAAAAAAAATCTCCATAGAAACAAAAAGGGGCTCAGAGCCCTAAGTGGTGGCTTATTTTTAAATGGTTTTCGATTGAAGCTATGTATCCAGTAGGAGGAAACTGTTGATGACTATGTTGATGACTGTGTGATAGTTATAGCTAACAGATAAGAGAAGCAATAACAAAAATCCATTGTTTGGCTATACAATTGAACAAATGTTATTAAATGCCTATCTTGTACAAAACATTCTCAGTGCTCTGAGACATAAAGATGAATAAGACATAGATCCTACCTATCAGTAACTCACTATTGAACAAACTGTGTATATTCAATGTATGTGATTGAGAATATAACGTTTTGGTGATAGCCCCTGATACAGGCAGTGGGGACCTATGTAAGGTTAGGATTATAGAAGGTTAATCTTATCAGGGGTGGGTAGGGGGAGGGAGAGCATCAGGAAGAATAGCTAATGGATTCTGGGCTTAATACCTAGGTGATGGGTTGATTTTTTGCAGCAAACCACGATGGCACACATTTACCTATGTAACAAACCTGTACGTCCTATACATGTACCCTTGAGCTTAAAAGTTGAAAGAAAAAAAAAGATGAATGCCAATGGGAGAATCACAGTTCCCTAGAGAGGCAAAATCTGAACTGACCTTGAAAAGTACTTTGATAAGTATTTTCAAGAAGGAGTGTTATGTGTTATTACAAGTAGAAGGAACAGTTAAAGTAAAAATAATTTGGAGAAGTTCCATTTCCCCAGTGATGTATGTGTACAATTTATTATGTATTTTTTTTGCTTTGTAGTGCTCTGTAGCAGTGTGTACAAAAATGGATACATTTCCCCCAAGACATCCTCCTATTTGGATAGTTCAGAATATCAACTACTGATATGGTTGGATCTGTGTCTCCACGCAAATCTCATCTTGTAGCTCCCATAATCCCCACGTGTTGTGGGAGGGATTGGTGGGAGATGGTTGAATCATGGGGGCGGGTCTTTCCTGAGCTGTTCTCATGATAGCAAATGTGTCTCACAAGATCTGATGGTTTTAAAAAAGGGAGTCTCCCTGCACAAGCTCTCTCTTTGCCTGCTGACATCCATGTAAGATGTGACTTGCTCCTCCTTGCCTTATGTAATGATTGTGAGACCTTCCCAGCCACGTGGAACTGTAAGTCCTCTTTTGTAAACTGCCCAATCTCAGGTATGTCTTTATCAGCAGTGTGAAAACGGACTAATACAGCTACTCATGAAATTAGTTTCATTATAATGTTATTAACATCTGAAAGATTTGTGTATTTGATTGGAACAACAGATCACTATAAGTGGGGCAGGGGCAGACCTAATAAATGTCTTAGAAGGGAAAGTTAGGCAAATTGAAGCAAAAGCATGGTGGGTTTTACTACAAGACTTAGTGGTTTAGACAGTAAAGAATAAGAATTATGGGGGTTCTCTGTTTTCCAGGAAAAGTTTCAAGGAAGTTTAAGAGTTTAAAGTGGCCGGGTGCAGTGGCTCATGCCTGTAATCCTAGCACTTTGGGAAGCTGAGACAGGCAGATCACGAGGTCAGGAGATCGAGACCATCCTGACTAACACAGTGAAACCCCATCTCTACTAAAAAAAAATACAAAAAATTAGCCGGGCATGGTGGCAGGTGCCTGTAGTCTCAGCTACTCGGGAGGCTGAGGTAGGAGAATGGCATGAACCTGGGAAGAGGAGCTTGCAGTGAGCCGAGGTCACGCCACTGCACTCCAGCTTGGGTGACAGAGCGAGACTCTGTCTCAAAACAAAAAAAAAAAAACAGTTTAAATATGAATTTTTAAACATGTAGAGCCTTTAATTTTTTCCCTTTGGAAATCTGGGACCAAGGAGTTAAAAGAGCTTTATTTTACACAATTAAGAAAAACTGGAATGTGAAATCAGAAAGTATGACTTCATTGCAGTTACAGAAAATATTTAGGAAAGTGACATATAATCAAAACAAGAAGAATTAGGGAGCTTAGCAAATGCATCAAAGCAAATTCCAAGTCAGAATTACCTACATAGGAGAAAAGATATTTTTTAGCACTTTGCAGAAGACCTCGGAAGCAGTAACAGAATCCACAAATACACCAGGGGGCAAAAGGCATCCCAACAATCAGTGGGACCAGTTGATGATATAGTATGAGAAGAATGTCCAGATATGAATAAGGAGGGAAGAGAAACCTTAAAGAATTCCTTGACTTTCATCTCTGTTGAGGAAGAGATAGTGGGAAGGGGGGATCCTCTTCTTCCAGAACTGATAAATACATATTCTCAGTCACATCGACATGTTGAGTATAGACAAATTACTAGAAAGTATGTTGCAGTCCTCAGGGTGCTTGTTTGGTTTTAGGTATACTTTTCATTCAGTTCAACTAGCATAAGCTTCAAGCATACATACAGCTTGATGAATTTTTACCTATATATGCATCCATGTATTCATGATCAAAATTAAGATATAGAACATTTCCACCAACTTTGTTTCCTTCCCAGTCAATAATTTTCCCTCCAGTTAATCACTATTCTGACTTACATCACTGTGTCTCACATTTGCCTATTCTTGAACTTCATTTAAATGGAACTATACCTTATGTCTCATTTGTGTCTGGCTTCTTTAATTCAACATTATGTTGACCTGAAAGTTTTAAAGGGTGAAATTGTTGAATATGTCACCTGTCTGCAAATAGCAACTTGGTAGAGGACTGGCAAACTGCCTTTCATCCATAAATTCATCCATAAATCCATTATGGAAAATCTATCCATAAAGATAAATGACCATCTTTATGTGGGGTTCTTCAGGAAACCTTAAGAAATTCAGCCTAGTAAAACCTATTTGTGTGCCTGGCAGGCTGCTGAGATTCAGTGGTAAACTGTCAGGCAATATAGTTGTTTTTCAAAAGAAATCAATCTGACTAAACTAATGAGAGTTCTTTCAAGGAACTAAGTAAAAGAAAGCTTCTATTTTTTTAACACATTTTTAGAAAACTTTTCTCAAAATAAAAATAACTGTTACAGAATCAATACGTATTACTGTAAGAAAAAATTTTCAGAATATACTTCTGAGTCCTGAGAGGCATAAAGAAAAAAAAAAAATCACCTGTAATCTCACCACCTCAAATAATCAGTCATTATGGTATACCTGCTAGGATGGGTGTGTGCAGTGATACCTTCTGTGTGAGTCACCCTAAAACTGTACACCAGTTAGGATTAGATTCAGCTCTGAGTGACAGAAAGCCTGAAGTAATGGTGGCTTAAACAGGATAAATGTTTACATCTCTGTTGTGTAAATGATGTGCTGAGTTAAATAGTCCAGGGCTGGTGTGGCAGGTCCAGGCTCTCCTGATAGCTTGTAGCTCCACCATCTGTAATCCATGACTTCCTCTTTGTGATCCAATATGACTACCAGCTCAGGCCATCATATCCCTATTCTAGTCAGTAGGAAGGAGGAAGGGACAAAGAAAGCCATGTCCTCTCCCTTTGACACTTTGAGAAAGTTGTGTACACTACTTCTATTTATACCTTCCTGACCAGCATTTTCTTACATGGCTACATCTAGTTGCAGTCAAGTCTAGCAAATAGTTTTTATTCCAGGTGGCCATAATTACAGCTAAGACATGGATTCTAATTTAAAAAGGAGAAGAGACATATAGTTAATGAGAGACAATGCTCATAAGCTTTTTCATTTGGAACATTTATGTAGTTCATTTTGAGTATGTTTATAGTATAACATTGTGTGGACATATTCTACTGTTGAAATTTTGGTTTTTATTCCCTACTGTCCCACACAGTGCTGATGAAAATATACTGTTTAGATTGTTTGCACCCATCTAGTTACTGTATTTGTTTATTGTAAATTCCTAAGTGGAATTTCTTGTTCAAAGACTATACATGCACATTTTAAACTCTGATGCAATATTGCTTTTCAGGACTGCTTTAGTTTTTACCCATAGAGTAAATGAGAGTTTCCACTTCCCCACAACCTCATCTTTGGCTTCTTTGCCAATGTATGGACTGGGCATTTTATGTCAGTATAGTTTTAAATTACACTTTTATTTCTTCTGGGTTTCTGTTTTGCATTTCTCTTACATCTTTACATATGTTTTTTCACTCATTTGTATTTCATGAATTGACTGTGCTTTTTGCACATTTTTCTGTTGGAATCTTACTCATTTCTTAGAGCTCTTTATATATTAAGGATATCAATTTTTTGTCTTGGTTTTATAAATATTATTTTCCCAGATAATCTTTTACCTTATTCAAAGTAGTTTTTCTCATAGAAAAGTCCTTAGTATAAGTAATCTAGTCTATCAGTATTTTCTCCCAAGATCATGGCTTTAGGATCATGCCTTAAAAGTTCTTTCCTAGGTCAGGCATGATGGCTCACACCTGTAATCCCAGCATTTTGGAAGGCCGAGGTGAGCGGATTGCTTGAGCCCAGGAGTTCAGGACCAGCCTGGGCAACATAGTGAGGCTTCATCTCCACAAAAAAATACAAAAATTTGCCAGGTATAATGGCTTGCATCTGTAGTCCCAGCTACTTAGGAGGCTGAGGTGGGAGGATTGCTTGAGCCCAGAAGGTTGAGGCTGCGGTGAGCCGTAATCATATCACTGCACTGCAGCCTGGGCAATAGAGTGAGACCCTGTCTCAAAAAAAAAGTTATCTCCTACCCCAGAATTATATTAAATATTTCCCTAAAATTTTAGAAATTCCTTGCTCAGATTCCATAATAAAGATTTTCAAAGAAGTATTTTATCATGGACCAAGGTAAACTGAAAATCAAAATTTAACTAGTTCCTCCAGTAAGTATGGCTCTCCCTTCTGCCTAATCTGTAGGATCAGCATACATTAGTGAAGAAGCTACTGCTTCCGTTCTCTCCCAAAGTCTCTACCAAATGGTAGAGACAAACGGAAGCTCTTTCCTTTGCTGACTCCTAACTTACTACCGGTGTGACTAGTAAGAAGTTTTTCCATTGAAAAGCCTTTTCTCAGCCCTAGTACTTAGCCAGTCAGCCTGGTTTTTGTGCCTACATAAATGCATGTGAATAACCCAGCATGAAGTAAGTGATTAATAAATGTTCGCTGTCTTTAAAAACTTAATTTATCAAAAGCTGTTTGGAAATCCGTTTCTTTGAAAATCTGAAGTGACTAAAGGGGTGTAAACTTCTCCCCACCCCCAACTCTTGATCCACACAGAAGCATATTTGTTCAAAGATTGAAACTAGGCATGCTCTCCTCCTTGCTGAAACGTATTATACCAGGCATCTTCCCCCTAAATAAAACACTTTTGTCTGCGTTGAAAGTCTGTTGAGTTAGGGAACCCCTTCCTGATTGTCTTCACAATTGTGACCAGCAACTCCCTAGTATTTCTGCTCTATGCTTTATGATTGATTTTGATGTCCAGATTTTTCTAAACCTTGAAACTTGAACCATTGCATTTATATGTGGTTTGAAGAGAGAAAAGAAAGCATATTTCTAACATGCTAGAATAAATTCTTAGCTTACTCCTGAACCGACATACACTAATAAGTCTCCCTTCTTGATGCTGATCCTCTAGCCATTTACAAGTTTTACCATTTCGTTAACCATTTTTCTTTCTTGCAAGTTGCCATTGTTGCACATTTTCAGCAATTTGTATAAATTATATTGTCCTTAAAAACTTTGTTGCCAATAGAAACTTCTCTGGTAGTGACTCTATTCAAAAAAAAAAAAAAAAAAAAAAGCTTTTTTCTGATTCTAAAAAAAAAAAAAATGGTTAATGTTTAAAAGAAGTAGTAGTCAAGGATACAGAAGTATCTAAGTAGAAAGTGAGAGTTCCAGTATGATCAACCACTCGCCCCTGTGGTAACCACTTCAATCAGTTTGGTGTGTGTGCTTACAGTCTTTTATACATACATATATATATATGTAACAAACAGTCACATATATAGTTCCATGAACTTTTTTTCATCAACTATAATTACTTCTTAACGTGTATTAAGTGCTGGTTCCAGATAGCCAAACATGTTGGTTCCGAAGGCAGCCCCTACCTGTTTTCCTTCCCTCGCCCTTAATGATTTACTATCAACATTTCCACCCTTCCTGCGCTTCTCTTGGGGAAATTTTGCTTTTTATGACCACCCTCTGCTGCTTGTCTCATTTTCATGGAAAGCCAAGTAGAGGACAGGATGAGTGTGAGGGAGCAGCCCTAAGTGGCAGTTACTCAGCTGTGTGTGATATCTAGCCACTCTTCAACCAGAAAGTGGCTTTTCTGTGTTCACCATGCATGCTAAGATTTTCTGCACAAGTGGAAAATTACCCTTCTCTTTTATCCAGCTGTGTAGTCAGTTTGACAGTGAGTATGATTGGCACATTTAACAGCTCTCCTGCGAGATGGAATCAAGACACAAAGTGGAAGAAAGTGAAAGATTACCAAATAAAACTGAAATGTATTTATAGAACTCTGATTGTTGGAGGGCCTGGCCCAAAATTCCTAGCAGAGGTAATTTGCCTCCAAATTAGGCAAATTTGGCTCAGTGGAAGCCAGCATCTCAGAATGGAGTAATATAAGGTAGGGATGCTCCCAGCCCCTCTGGGAACCTTATATGCCCTGTTAGGCCATGGAGTATCTCCTAGTGAGCTGCATTTACTGATGGCAGCGAATGTTTATACTTGGATGTGTTGGAGAAGAGAAAAGTTTACAAGCTCTGGAAGAACAGGGTTCCTTGTTTCTAAAAGAAACATTTAGGCTGGGCATGGTGGCTCAGACCTGTAATCCCAGCACTTTGGGAGGCCAAGGCTGGCAGATCACTTGCTGGAGCCCAGAAGTTCGACACCAGCCTGGGCAACATGGCAAAACCCCATCTCTATTTTAAACTTTTTGAAAGAAAATAATAAAATATTTTTTTTAAAGGAAGCATTTAGATGATGTTGAAATTAGTTCCAGCTTGTGCATTGTATAGTTTTTTACATTGTCAGAAAGTCAATTTTTTTTTTTTGAGACAGAAGTCTCATTCTGTAGCCCAGGATGGAGTGCAATGGTGTGATCTCTGCTCACTGCAACCTCTGCCTCCTCAAGCTATTCTCCTGCCTCAGCCTCCCAAGTAGCTGGGATTAAAGGTACGTGCCACCACGCCCAGCGAATTTTTCTATTTTTAGTAGAGACGGGGTTTCGCCATGTTGGCCAGGCTGGTCTTGAACTCCTGGCCTGAGGTGATCCGTCTCGGCCTCCCAAAGTGCTGGGATTACAGCCATGAGCCACCGCATCCAGCCCAGAAAGTCAGTTATAAAGAGCACAATGTCACAAACGTGTTGGTGACAGGTTATATAAAAGAGGAGTTTTGACTGACCCAGTGAAATGGTGGAATAATGAGAAACAACATTTTTGTGTTAAAAGAAAGCTTAAAATAATCTAGTTAAATCTCCTCATTTGTCAGATGAAGATATTTGAGACCCATAGAATTTAGGGATTCATTCAGGCTAACATCAATGTATCAGCAAAGTTAGAACTAGTACTTTATGCTGATGTCAAATGAGCTATTGGATGATGTGATGCATGGGTTGGTTAAATAGAAAACGGAAAAAATTGGTGATGTCATTTACAACTTACTTCATTAACACTATTGCCTATTTAAAAAAAAAACAGTTTCTTTATGACTGTGCAGTTCTCTCAAGCGAGAGTAAAGAGCTATTGGCATCAATTCAGCCTAGAAGTTATAGGTTACAGTACAGATAATTAAAGGCAGTTTCAACAGCAGAACTACTTTACAGTAAGAGAATCTTCTCACTGTTTTTGAATGGAAAGGAAAACCAACAAAAGAAAATTACTGCTTATGATGGATTGCAGGGCAATTTAATAATTTAATTTACTTGGGACCTTTATTGCATCAGTCAGCTAACTAATCCTCTTTGTTCAGAACCAGATTATAAACTCATCTGCATTCTTACCAATTCAAAATAAGGTCTTTTAGATTATACCACCTCTGCAAAAAGTAATATGTCTTTAGGTCTCTGACAATGCCTTTCATACTGTGTAACACGGTGTGTATGCTGTGTTGGCTAACTGTACTGATTCCGGAGCTCACTGTCCAGGTTCAAGTCCTGGCACATTTTCTTAGAACTTTGGGATCATGTGAATGTTTTATACTTCCTATGCCTCATTTTTTTCATCTGTAAAATGAGAAAATGATTCCTACCTCATGGCATTCTTGGGAGGATTATAAGAGTTAAAATATAAAGTTCTTACAGAGTACCCGATACCTAATAAACACCATAGCATAATAACTATGCGTATTTTAATTACTTTAAACAAGACTAGAGAAAAGAACATAGATGATGTTTTAGTCTATGGTTCTTTTTGCAAAAAAAAAAAAACAGACTTGTTACCCAAAGTCAGTTCACTAAAATTCAATTTGTCGTATTACCAAATTGCCAAATTTACTAATTTGCCAAATTTTTTTTAGGAAGTTCACAGTATTTCATACTGCTTTTAAAGATTTTTGTGAGATTAAGTAGTTGGCTGGCTGTCATTTTGTTTGTATAGCCTTTTTTTTTTTTTTTTTAATCTCAGCTCACTGCAACCTGTGCCTCCCAGGTTCAAGTGATTCTCCTGTCTCAGCCTCCCAAGTAGCTGGGATTAAGGCTCACGCCACCACACCTGGCTAATTTTTTTTTGTAGACGGAGTCTTACTCTGTCACCTAGGCTGGAGTCCAGTGGCACGATCTGCATTCACTGCAACCTCCGCCTCCTGGGTTCAAGCGATTCTCCTGCCTCAGCTTCCCAAGTAGCTAGGATTACAGGCACATGCCACGACGCCCAGCTAATTTTTTTTCAGTTGAGACAGGGTTTTACCATGTTGGTCAGGCTGGTCTTGAATTCCTGACCTCAAGTGATCCACCCGCCTTGGCCTCCCAAAGTGCTGGGATTACAGGCATGAGCCACTGCTTCTAGCCTAATTTTTTGTATTTTAGTAGAGGTGGGGTTTCACCATGTTGCCCAGGCAGGTCTCCAGCTCCTGAGCTCAGGCAGTCCACCCACCTCGGCCTCTCAAAGTGCTAGGATTACAGGCATGAGCCACCACGCCTGGCTGGAAAGCAGATTTTTTATTTTTCTTTTCTTTTTTGACAGTTTCGCTCTGTCACCCAGGCTGGAGTGCAGTGGTGCGATCTTGGCTCACTGCAAGCTCTGCCTCCCGGGTTCACACCAGTCTCCTGCCTCAGCCTCCTGAGTAGCCAGGACTACAGGCTCCCGCCACCATGCCTGGCTAATTTTTGTATTTTTAGTAGAGATGAGGTTTCACCGTGTTTGCCGGGATGGTCTCGATCTCCTGACCTCATGACCCGCCCGCCTCGGCCTCCCAAAGTGCTGGGATTACAGGCGTGAGCCACCACGCCTGGCCAGCAGATTTTTAAAGTATTAGATTTGCTGAAACCTTAACATAATATGATTTAATCTTGTTAGTAATAAATGTAACATTCAAAATGCGTATTTCAAGATTGATAACCAAGAAACTCCCAAGGACTGTATACAGTACTAGTACTCAGTGAAAAGAGTACTAGGAAAATTTCATTTGTTTGCCCCTGGGGTCTGTAAGGAAGCTCGTCTCTGCAAGGAGCTTGGGCCAGTGCTTTAAGAGTGTTGAGAGTCTGACGCGTATGCTCCCCTTATAGTACAGATATATAAGCTGAGAAATCAACATAAAATGGTCTCAAAATGGTGACATTTATTGCGGACCGGCCCCAACCCATTCCTCATAGAGCTCCCACAGAATTCCCACAAAGCCCTACTAAAAATGAGCTCACCATGCAAATTGTTAAAGGATCTGAAATCCACCATGAGTTAGGATGAGTAGTCATAATAAGACTACCAAGAACTTCAGAAAATCGTGTAACATGGAGACTCTTAATATGTGAAAGTGATTTAAAGGCATGTATGAAGGAATGCAAACCTTTGAAAAGAATAAGATGCTGTTTTCAATAAGGAAAGAGGACTTCTAGATTTGAAAAACATAGTCACTAGGAAGAAAATTTCAGTATTTAACCCATTGGCTAAATAGCAGATTTGACACCACTAAAGAAAGAATTAGCAAAATGTAAGATAAATCTGAAGAAAATACCCAGAATGCACTATACATTGCAAAAAAAAAAATGATAATTTAGTCACAGGGAGGGGGGAGTAAAATGAAACATTACCACATGCATTTAATAGGCATTCCAGAAGTAGAAACTAGAAAAAATGGAGAGAGGCCGTATTCAAAGTGATCATGGCTGACAGTATTTTTCACAGTTGTGAAAGACGAGTTATGTGTTAGAAGCATAAACCAAAAGGAAAGTAAGTTATACCTCATACCCGTGCACATCTTTTTGAAAAATCAGAGCACCAACAACAAAGAGAATATTTTAATAGCAGCTTAAAACACCACCTAGACTGGCAGCAGATTTCTCCCCAGAAATCTTTGTAATTCTGTCAAATTTTGCTTCATGTATTTTGAGGCTACGTTGCTTGTACATAAGTGTCACAGTTATTATATATTACCAGTGAACTGTTTATGATTATGTGATAATCTTTATCTTAAAATCTATTTCCAAGTTTTTAAAAATTTTACTTTTTTTTTTTTTTTTAGAGATGGGGTCTAGCTCTGTTGCCCAGGCTGGAGTGCAGTGGCATGATCACAGCACACTGTAGCCTTCAACTCCTGGGCATGAGCAGTCCTCTTGCCTCAACCTCCCAAGTAGCTGGGCTATTTCTAAATAGGCTTCTAGGTTTATTTATAAATCGTATAGATACATCTACTTTTTTTAATTCAGTGAATCATTGTCTAATGTGTTTTTTTTAAAATAAAATTTTATATCTGCACAGTTAAAAATGAATCAAATAGTTTTACAAACTGTAAAAACTCTCAGTCCCCAGTTCCCAAATTTAAGAGGTAACCTTTTTGACTCTGCTAGTTACCTTTATATTTTTCAATAATATGATTATACTGTTATTTCTTGATTTTCAAGTTTTAGTTATTATGATTTTTTGTTTTTATTTTTTCTTCTGATTCTCTGAGATTTTTTTACTATGAAAACTGACTACAAGTTGAAACTTTGTTTTTTTTTTTTTTTTGAGACGGTGTCTCACTGTGTCTCTGAGGAGGGAGTGCAGTGGTGCAATCTCAGCTCACTGCAACCTCCGCCTCCTGGGTTTAAGCTATTCTCCTGCCTCAGCCTCCCGGGTAGCTGGGATTACAGGTGTGCACCACCATGCTGGGCTAATCACTCAAGTGATCCACGTGCCTCAGCCTCCCAAAATGTTAGGATTACAGGCGTGAGCCACCGCATCTGGCCAAGTTGAAGCTTTGATGTTTTATAACCAAGATATGTACAACAGGATTCCATATCTCATTCTCACGCACATGAAGACAAATGATAAATTTCTTACACTAGATGAAAGGAATTTCAAAGAAAAAAGAAATTAGTATAATAATATAATGCACTGTTCAGTCCCATCATTAAAGCACTGTGTTATGATTTCTCATTGTTGCTGTTTTTCTCAGTGGTATGTAAATAAAAGACAGACATGTTTTAATCATATTTTAGAGTCAATGAATTATTTGACTTTTAAAATACTTATTATTTAACAATATTTTAACCAATTTATTTGCTCACCAATCCTTCTTGTATCTCATTTCTTCTGAGTTCAACTCCCTTCTTCCTGAAATATAATCTTGAATATACCTCCTTCAGTGATGGTGTTGAAATAGTGAATTCTTAGTTACTATTGGTCTGAAAATGTCTTAACTTTACTTCTCAACAATGATGGTGTTGGAATTATGGGCTAGCAAATTACCTTAAAACCCCAAAGATACTACTCCAATTGTCTTCTGGCATCTGTTGTGTGCCACCACACCTGGCTAATTTTTTTTATTTTTTGTACAGACAGGGTCTCACTGTGTTGTCCAGACTCGCCTGGAACTCTTGGCCTTAAGTTATCCTCCTGCCTTGACCTCCCAGTGTGCTGGGATTATAGGCATGAGCCGCCATGCCTGCCCATAATAAAAGCTTTTTAATGAAAATAACAGAATGAGAAATATATACACTAAGTATAACTGATAAAATTTTTATTCAAAAAATATAAATAATGTTTATCTTACCCATATGTAACTTTCAAAACCATTTTCCACTTATTCTATGAAAAAAAGGCACACAGGGAAATACAGATACTATAGTAGTCCCTCCATACCCACAGCAGATAACGTCTAATACAATATAATTGCTGTGCAAGTAGTTGTACATTGCTTTTTGTTTGTTTGTTTTTGTTTTTGTTTTTTGAGACAGAGTTTTGCTCTGTCACCCAGGCTGGTGTGCAGTGGCGTGATCTCAACTCACTGCAACCTCTGCCTCCTGGGCTCAAATGATTCTCCTGCCTCAGCCTTAGCCTCACAAGTAGCTGGGATTACAGGCACTCGCCACCATGCCCAGCTAATTTTTGTATCTTTAGTAGAGACAAGGTTTCACCGTATTGGTCAGGCTGGTCTTGAACTCCTGACCTCAGGTGATCTTCCCGCCTTGGCCTCCCAAAGTGCTGGGATTACAGGAGTGAGCTACCACGCCCAGGCTGCATTTTAAAATTTATATAACTTTTGCTGTATTGTTATATTTTATTACTTGTAGTTTTATCTTTTCAGATATTTTTCCATTTGTAGTTGGTTGAATCCTGGATGCAGAAGCCATGGATATGGAGAGCCAACTGTAGATTGTGATCACAGAAAAACTTGTAGCTTTTTAATTAAGTAGGAATAAAATGAACATGAAAGCATTGCTATGGGCTTGTTAAGCTAGAAAAAAATAAAGATTATTCTGTACTTACTAGTGGATCTATCTTCCTGAAGAGCAGACCAGCAAAATGGGAACTATTTATAAAATTGTTCATTCACTTCACCTAGTCTTAGGGGATACACATGTAAAGATGTTAGTGAATGCCGCTGTAGAATATAAATTACTCCATCCAAACTTAAATGACCTCTTCAGCCCCTTAATGATTTTATAACTGATAGTAACTAAGAGCACTTACTGTGTACCAGGCAGTGTATCCATTCATTTAGTCCTCCCAGCAACTCTGCTACAAGGATAGGTTCTATTACTGCACCTTAACAGTCCAAAGTTAAGTAACTTTCCCAAAATCACACATTAACACTGAGTGCAGCCAAGATTTGAGCCCAGGCAGTCTTAACTTCAAACTCCCTACTTCATATCATTGCACCAAACTGCCTCTCAGAACTAAAGCCACTTATCAAATAGTTAACTTTCCTTGGTTAGGGTCATTTAATTACCTCTACATGGCTACTACTAGGGTGATAGCTGCATTTCAGTACAGATTCTAAATGGTTTTGAATATAATGCTCATGGGTTTGAGCAGTGAAACAGATCTTCTGATATATTACCAATGACATTGTAAATAAGTACAGTCCTTTTTGGAAAGCATTTTGGCAGATTGAAAGAGCCATAAAATACTCATCTTTTTTGACCCAGTTAGTGCTACTTCTGGGAATCATCTTAAAAAAATAGTCCAGTATGGAAAAAGACTTACGCACTAAAGTGATCACCACAGCCATGCTTGTGATAGTAGGGTGACAGGAAACAACCCTCAATGTTCAACAATAAGGGAATGAATGACCAAACAAACCATGGTATATTTACTTAGGCCAATAAAAATTAAGTGTCATGTAACATGAGGAAAACATAGTCATCAAGAGTTGAAGCAGCACACACAGCAGTGTGAATACTAAAATTACAGCTTTTACAAATATGAAAAAAGATGGAATATAAAAATGATAATCAGATTGGTGTGATTGTAGATAATTTTATTTCCATAATTACTTACTGGTTTTGTGCCTTAGTCTCATAACCCTCAGTAGATGATATGCTGCTTGGTGACAGAGGAAGAAAACTGGAATTGCACAAAGAGCATCGCTGGAGGCCACAGGGTCTGGGCCCTTTGCAAGCGCCTCCTGTACAAGTGTGTGAACCTCAGGCAGCCACTCTGTGCTCCCGTGCACTCAGTTGACCCACGGTGAGCAGTGCAGTTTGGGAAGCATGAGTGGGATCTTTGGAGTCAGAGGGACCTCGCTGTGTGTCTTCAGCTCTTCCCAGAAAAGCTTCTGAAACTGGGTAGAGCTCAACCTTCTCATCTATACAAATAAGGCGAATGAGCTCGGTGCCTGGCACCTTTCGTCAGTGCTCTGAAAATGTTTGTTCCATTCGGTGGTAGCCGTTAGCATTCCTCACTTTGGCCTTTGGCCTTTGGCCTTTAAGGACAGTAACAAAAGTAAAGTCTTCCAGCGAACTTTCTTTGCTGAAATCTTTTGAGCATCAGCTTTTAAAAATTTTACATATTCTGTTTTCTGGTGTACCTTATCCTCCATAATTTAGAATTAAGGAGGAAGACAAAAAATATTTTGTCATTCAATGTGGCTGGCTAAATTGTCTGTTTTGTTTTAATCACATTTTTTTTCTGATTATAAAAATGTAGTAAAAGCTCATTGCTGAACTTTTGGAAAATGGAGAAAGCTGAAAGAAGAAAATCGGACAATAATCTTCCCACTCAGAAATAACTGTTACACACATTTCATTTTATTTTCTTCCATGCTTTTCTGAATATCTGATTTTTTCTTATTTTTGAAAGGAGAGATATAGGAAAGCTTTTCCTGGAACATTTGCTATATTTGGAGCAAGTTTAACATGATGCTTTGTGTTCATTTTGAGATAGTTTATCTTTAACAAATAGTTCTTAGATGGGGATAAAGACCAAGTAGCAATAGGGAACCAGATGGAGGGTGGGGACAGGAATATCTCTGTCTTAATTAGGAGGAAAAAATTTTCTGTAATCCTGATACCTATCAAAGAAGGAACTTATGTAAAGTGTAATTACCAAAATCATGGATCCTAGACTTCTTCAGGACAATTGCAGTTTTAAATAATTTGTATTGTTTTTATCGTAAGTGCCTTATATCTTTTCAGATCATGAGTTGTGAATTTTGGTTTGGTAAAATATAATCATCATACATAAACTTGGAATGAAGAAGCAGCTTGCAAAATACAACTTCTTGGCTCTTGGCCTTACCATTTTTAGAACATGCAGTTTTCAAAAAATTATCAGTTCCTGTAACATCCTCTGGAGAAAAGTGGAAAATTCATCCACTACAAAGATAGAACCAACAGAGCAACAAATACCTGGAAAGACTTAGCCTAAGTGACTGAGGCCATATGGGGCTGGGCATTGATGGAGCTTCACTCTCACTCGTGCTGTCTTTGTGCTTAAATCAGGAGAGGGTCGGGCGCCATGGCTCACGCCTATAACCCCAGCACTTTGGGAGGCCAAGGAGGCGGGCGGATCACTTGAGGTTAGGAGTTTGTGACCAGCCTGGCCAACATGGTGAAACCCCATCTCTACTAAAAATACAAAACAACCAGCCAGGCATGGTGGCAGACACCTGTAATCCCAGCTACTTGGGAGGCTGAGGCAGGAGAATCGCTTGAACCAGGGAGGCGGAGGTTGCAGTGAGCTGAGATCACACCACTGCACTCCAGCCTAAGCAACAGAGTGAGACTCCATCTCAAGGGAAAAAAAAAAAAAAGGAGAGAATGGACTTGCTAGTGGATTCAGCACACTGTTCCCTTTGTTTTCTGGGCTCTGTTGCTCAAGGGAGGGCTTTAAAAGTTGGGAAAGGGTCTTCTTCCATTTCTTTTCTTCGGAGCAGCAATAGAATTATTAAAGGTGGCAGAGCATGTCCCATATAGATATTTTCAGTGTGGCAGATCTGTCACTGCCACAACATTGAGGAGAACATGAGAAATGTTTCGGGTCAGTGTGTTGTGTTCACTCTCCTTTGAAGACACCATTGTGGCTTGTGCCCCTTTGACTTCTGAGCTCTGCTGCCATAGGCAAGAGATTCCTACTTGTCTGGAAGTAGGTTCCCACACTCCTGCTTAGTGTCTGCACATCAGGGAAGTCACTTGTCCTTTTGAGTCATTTCTTCTGACAAGACTGAGCATAAACCTTTACTCATGCTTGTTAGTTAACCTTTCTAACCAGTTCCTCTTTGAGGAAGGTCACTTATTTACAAAGGGAGAAAACCATACCTAGAGCACAGTTTGAGTGTCCAGCTTAGAGTTTCATTGACATCCACAGCTTTAGACAGTACTTACATACAAAGGGGAAAATGATAATTCACCAGTGCCTTGTGAGAACGGAATGAATAACCATAGCCTTGAAACCTTCTATTTTGAATAACTGTGGCCCATGTAAAACCGGGCTTGCCTTGGCACCCTGTGAAAAGACAGATGGGTGTGATCTGAGAATTTTGAGTATTTTGAACGGCTAGGGAAAGTAGTCCCCAAGCAGTAAAAGGGCGGAAACCACATAGAAAGTTAGCTGAACTTAACACGCTGGTCTTATGAGAGAAGATCGTCAGAGTTATTTAATTCACTTTACTTTGTAGGATTCTTCTGTAATTGATTACTGATCAAAGTGATTTAATTTTTTTCAGTATTGCCTGTCAGGGCACCCAACCTTACCATGCAATGTGCTCAAATTCAAATCAACCACCATTATGTTGGACTGCGGACTGGACATGACTTCTACCCTCAATTTCCTTCCTTTGCCACTTGTTCAAAGGTATGTGCTGGTGCAGCCAAAGACAAAATGAGCTTTAAGTTTGCTGAAAAATGGTACCATTAGTATGAAGGTTACTAGTACCTAGTATATTGTCGTAAGTTTGCTTTGTTTCCTTAAAAATGTTCTTTATCAAAATAATTTCCTTTGGCTGAGCTGATGGAAAGTGTTCTATTGATTTATTGATTGGCTTCTTTATTATAACTTCTTCTGAGCTTCTGTAAAATGTTCCTGCAACTGCTCAGTACAACTGAGGTCATGTATATTTCATCTTTCTTGCTAATTCACATAAGAGCTGGTAAATGGTCAACTGCTGAGCCCAAGAATTGAATTTTAGAATTATTTAGCAGCCTTTGCAGAGACTTAACAGCATAGAGTCTGACATTTCTTTTTGACAGGCATCTGTGCATTATTTTCATACTAAGTCAACTTTAGATTTAGAACCACATATGTAGCCCAAGTTCATATCTTAAATGAGACAGATTGCCTCAGGCCTACAATAGCACTGTTTATGCTTAAATAAGACTTTGCCTTAGGAAATTGGTTTCCCAGCATACTACTATTTAGAAACAGTTTATAGAAGAAGTGGCTACCTTGTTGAAGCAAATATACTTACAGTAGCAAAAAGTGACACCACATACAAGATAGGATATGGAAAAGCTATCTAAAGCAGATTTAAGAGCTCAAAAGCATAGTAAGCTGGGTAAGCTTTCTAGTTTATCTCAGTCATTCCTGAAGACATCACTGAGTACAATGATTATTCACAGTGATAACCCGATGAACCATCTAGAAAAATTATCATCAGCTATTGATTTTTCTGAGATAAGGGGCACAGTAAGGTGGTGTAAGGATAAAGTCAGAGATAATTCCAGATTACATTTTATGCAAAGCAGATGGAATTCAGTTATAATTACACCCAGCATTTAGAAATACATGTGCCACCCACAGATATTGCCCAAAAACTGGATTGGGAGGAGCTTGTTTACATGACAATTGGTTATTTCCTAATAAAATGGCCTGATATTATTGTCTTTTTCCCCCAGAGAGCAAAATGTTTGTTTGTTTGATGTTTCTTAAAAATCTGCACTGTTCTGGACCAGAGGATTTAGAGATGAACAGAATAACCTACTTTCCCTCATGGAACTTAGTCTATCAGGGAGAAAGACATCACACAGATGAAGATTTAATTACACTTGTGACTAGAAAACAAGTATATATATTTAGGATAATTACTTTAAAAATAAAATCTAAGGTACCATGAGAGATTCCAAAAGGGAGCCCAACCTGCTCTGTGGGGTCATGAATTTCCTGGGTGATGAGAACTGGACGAGGGCAGACAATCCCAGCTGCATGTTTTCCCGTTCCTGTTCACTCTCATCCTTACCCAGTTCTACTGTTCTCATGGTCCTGGCTCAGCACTGGAATTCTCGTTCCCTCTCTTCCCCTTCCCATTCTTTCACTCTCAGAGGGAAGTTCTACTAGGAGAATGGTTAGCTATCCATATGGTTTCTTACAAAAGATGTCTCCTTTTGCTCAGACCAGGACACGGTTGCCTAAAATGGTATTCCTGGCCCTCTCTATCCCCTCAGCTGCTTTGTCTTCGTAGCACTTATTACATTATAAGTACATATTTATTGTCTTTCTTCTCCACTACATGTAAGTTTCATAAAGGCAGGGAATTTGGTTCTCCATTGTATCCCCACTGCCTAGAACTATTCTTGGCATGTGGTAGCTACTCAGTAAGTATTTGTTGTATGAATGAATTGCTTTATCTTCTCTGTATTCCATACTCGTCACTTTTTCAGAGTCCTTTTACTATTATAATTAACTAATTAATTAAATTATTATATCTTTGGTTTGTCTTGGACTTTTCCATCTTGTCATTTAATTATAATCATTCACTTTTAACTTAAAATTTAAAAAACAATTTTTGACCTTCTCTCAATTCGTTTTTCCCCTTCAGCATTTCTAAACCCTGTCCAGTCTTCACTCTGCCCACACCACTCCACTAGAACCTCTTAGGCCCCACATGACTTCCATGTTATTAGATGTGATGGGCATTTGTCAGTCCTCATCTTATTTGACCATTCAGCAGCACTGACCTCCATGATAATGCATTCCTGGTTTTCCTCTTACCTCTGTGACCCTTCTTTCTCTGTATACTTTGGAGATGTGTTTTCCTCTAATTGGCCATCATGTATTGACATCTTCGGTGTTCATTGCTTGGCCCCATCATATTCTCCACTAAGGGCATTTAATAAATGCTCAGCACTATTCATAATAGTAAAGACATGGAAGCAACTTAAGTGCCCCTCAGCAGTGGACTGGATAAAGAAAATGTGGTACATATACACCATGGAATACTACCCAGCCATAAAAAAAGAATGAAATCATGCCCTTTGCAGTGACATGGATGCAACTGGAGGCCATTATTCTTGGTGAATTAACACAAGAATAGAAAACCAAATACCGCATGTTCTCATTTGTAAGTGGGAGCTAAACATTGGGTTCACGTGGACATAAAGATGGCAACAGTAGACACTGGGGACTGCTAGAAGGGCTAGATAAGGAGGGGCCAAGGATTGAAAAACTAACTCTTGGCTACTATGCTCACTACCTGGGTGACAGGATCAGTTGTACCCCAAACCTCAGCATAATGAAATATAACCAGGTAACAAACCTGCACATGTACCCTATGAATCTAAATACAAGTTGAAATAACAAAAAGTAAATTGCTCAGAGCTGCAATAACCGTCCAAACAGCAACTTACAAATGTGTATCTTTAGTTAGTAACTCTTTTCCAAGTTCCAGATTGATGTGTCCAAAATGCCTACCAAAAATTTTAAAATTAGCTAGGCATGGTGGTGTGTGCCTGTAGTCCTAGCTGACTTGGGAGGTTGAGGCAGGAGGATCACTTGAGCCCAGAGAGTCGAGGCTGCAGTGAGCCATGATTGTGCCACCGCACTCCAGCTTGGGTGACAGAGAGAGAGAGAGACCGTGTCTCAAAAAAACAACAACAAAAACAAAATTCAACATGCCCTCAAACCTTTTTTCATGATCAGACTGGGTCCAGAAGAGGAAAATGTATCCTTCCAGATAGGGTTTTCTTCAAGTTCCTATCTTAGTAAATGGTATCCTTTTATAAAAACCAGAAAACTGGGAGTTAACTTTGATTCAGCCCTCTTCCTCCCTGCTCCATATTCAGTCTTTGATTAAGCCTTGACACTTTTACCTTCTAAATAGTTCTAAAATCCAGTCACTTCTCTTCAGTGCTGCTGTAGTCATTCTCGTCTTTTATAGGTATCATTACTAAAGCCTCCTCACCAGTTTCATCAATTCTCATCTTGACCCTGTCTCAATCAAGAGTCATCTTTTTTGTGTGACTTTTTATTTGAAATCCTACAGATTTACAGAAAAGCTGCAAAAATAGTACAAGCAATTCCTAATTGCCTTTACCAATTTATTGGCATTTTAACAAATTTGCTTTATCATTTCCTCTTGGTATGTATACACATAATTTTTTTCTGACCCATTTGAGAGTGAGATGCAGGCATGATCCTCCTCACCCATAAATGCTTAAGTATATTTCCAAAGAGCAAGGACATCCTCTAACATAACCATGGTACAAAAATCAAAATCAGAGAATTTACATTGATAGTATACCAGTGTCTAATCTGTATACCTTATACATATGTCTGCACTTTTACCAAGTCATAATTCACTATGTAACCCGTTATAGCAAAAGAGAAAAATGGTAATTTCTGGTCCAGGATCTCATCCACATCCCATCCACATTGCATTTAGCTGTCATTTCTTCAGACTCCTTTAATCTGGAAGACTTTCCCAGTCCGTCTTTTATGACCTTGAGGTTTTTAAGAGTATGGCCAATTATTTCATATAACGACTTTCAATTTGGGTTTGTCTAATGTTCCCTCATGATTAGGTTGGGGTTACTGTTTTTGGTAGGAATACCATGCCAATGATAGTATCTATTATCAGAAGGCACATGGTTCCATTTTCCCCACAGTCATCTTGTAGAAGCACAAATCAAATTTTATCTTACTTGTTTAAAACCTTTCAGTGGTTTTTCATTGCTCTTAGGATAAACACCACACTCATCTCAGTGTATCAGGCTTCACGCCTGCCCCTCCAGTACCTTCTGTATACTCTGCCTCTTGTTCTTTGTTTCCTTCTATTAAATAGTTTCAAAGAAATCTTCTGACTCCTTCAGAGCAGTCACATGTATTGTTTCTCCAGCTTGGAAGACTCTGTGAGATCATCTATGACTACAGTTTTGATGTAGGAAGGACATAATGATGGGGACTAGCTGGATGGGGACTGGGAGGGAGTGTCTTGGAATCTGCTCAAAGTTCCATGTGAATAACCCTCGTGGAAGATGTTCATGGTGAGAAGGACTGAAGGAACCTGCTGGGCTGTTCACCATGGAATACTACACAGCCAGAAAAAGGAACAAAATCATGCCCTTTGTAGTGACATGGATGCAGCTGGAGGCCATTATTCTTGGTGAATCAACACAAGAACAGAAAACCAAATTCTGTATGTTCTCACCTGTAAGTGGGAGCTAAACTTTCTCTATTCCTTCAGGCCCTGCCCTCAGTTTCCCCTTGACTCTGCTCCTGTGCAGATCTCAACTCAGTCCTCATGTCCCCAGGGAAATCTTTTGATGCTGCCTCCACTTGTCCCCATCAATTTGCATGCTGACTGGATTTGTGTGCCTTGCCTGCTTCCTCAGGAGGAGGGAGTGTTTTGCTCACAGTCCTATCGCTGGCACCTAGTCCTATCACCAGCATCTTGACATGCAAATAAAGACTCCTAAAGTGACACGCGAATAAAGATTCAGTGAGTGAAAATATGAACACCTCACTTGCCTGCAACACTGCACCTTGTGATGAGGCTCTTCCCTGTTTCCTTCTTCTTGAAAGATCTCCTCTACCTTCACTTCCTAACTCCTGTTTTCTGCTCTACCACCTCACTGCAAACTGTCAAAAGTGCCCTTTCTGTGTGAACCCATGGCACCTCCTGCGTACCCCTGTCAGAGCTCTTATTTTATTCTGGTGTAATGACTCTCTCCCTATACTAGATTGCAAACTCTTGAAAGGAAAGGATTGTTTATTTACTATCATTCCAACAGTTTGCACTGAGTATTAAGCTTGTTAATATTTTTTGAATAAATGAATGAATGGACTCATGCCTCTTTCACTATTATTTTCTGATTATAAAAGTAACACATTTCATACCTGGATATGGTGGTATGTACCTGTAGTCCCAGCTGCTCGGAAGGCTGAGACTTGAGCCCAGGAGTTCGAGTCTGTGGTGGACTGTGATCACACAAGTGCTTTCCAGCTTGGGTGACAGAGTAAGACTCTGTCTCTAATAAAAATAAAAAAGAAATTGTGGGCCAGGCGCGGTGGCTTACGCCTGTAATCCCAGCACTTTGGGAGGCTGAGGCGCGGGCAGATCACGAGGTCAGGAGATCGAGACCATCCTGGTTAACGCAGTGAAACACTGTCTCTAACTAAAAATACAAAAAATTAGCCGAGCGTGGTGGCAGGCACCTGTAGTCCCAGCTACTCGGGAGGCTGAGGCAGAAGAATGGTGCAAACCCAGGAGGTGGGACTCCGCCTCAAAACAAAACAAAAAAAAAAAGAAATTACGTATAATGTTCAATCTTCTCTTCAGTATTTTCCTAGGCAATAGATTACTTGTCTTAGGTTATTTTGCTTTTAATGATTACAAAGTTCGACTGTATAAACAAGGAGATAGAGATCTTTCCACAGAAATCTTAGAATAATTTACCTATTTTTCCAAAATAAACAATTACTTTAAAAATAAATCTTTCATACATTTTTTGACTAAAAATTTTAATGGTATCCTTTTTTCCTAAGAAATGTTAGTAAAATAGTGGGTGCAAAGATGTGCTCTTCTATAATCATTTTTTTGGTACCTTTACCTCCCATATTTTATTAGATTTTCTTTCTTTGTTTCTTTCTTTTTTTTTTTTTTGAGATGGAGTTTTGCTCTTTTTGCCCAGGCTGGAGTACAGTGGCGCCATCTTGGCTCACTGCAACCCTTGCCTCCCAGGTTCAAGTGATTCTCTTGCCTCGGCCTCTCAAGTAGCTGGGATTATAGGCACACACCACCATACGTGGATAATTTTGTATTTTTAGTAGAGACAGGGTTTCACCATGTTGGCCAGGCTGGTCTCGAACCCCTGACCTAGGTGATCCATCCGCCTCGGCCTCCCAAAGTGCTGGGATTATAGGCATGGGCCACCATGCCCAGCCATTTTATTAGATTTCTGTGGAAAGATCTCTATCTCCTCATTTACAAAGTTTACACAGTCGAACTTTGTAATCATTAAAAACAAAAAAATAAGTCCCTTCCCCTTTGGTTTCTTAAAATTTACTCTTTATGGTTTATTTGATAACTCATTGGAACACAGTAAGCAAATATTTTCATCTCTATAGTCAGCATGTCTTTGCCATGTGGTGATGTATTTGCATCCCTTTGTCATTGGCACTGTTGTCACAATGTGGTCATGATTTCCTTTGAGCATTCAGTCTCATCTACTAGCAGTGGCTCTAACCCAAAGTAACCACCCAGGTATAATAGGTGGCCTTGATGTTATTAAAGAATGTTTTCCAGGAGTTTAAACCACAACACCTCAAAATTTTGCTTTTTAAAAAATTAGTTATATTCTCATAAGCAACTTACTATTTCTAAACATTTGTTGAGGACAACTAACTGCATCTGTCATCTGATTTGTGTGGGTCTGATGGGGAACGGACAGAGTGTGTGTCCTTTGATCCAGTTCTCTTTGTAAAGGGAAGTAGATAGTTACAACCTTGTTTTAGAGAGTTAACATGCATGAAATAAGAACAGTGTCCACATTGTCTTGTCATTACACTTTTATTGGAATGCTTGCTTTCTTAATCTGATCTGATAGCAAATATATTTTTCAAGAAGTGAGAAGTCTTCAAAATATATGACTATGAAATGAGACGGGAATTAAAACAACTAATGGTAATAGCATATTTTTCTGAAAAGTTACAGCAGAAAACTCCCAGAGTTTATTTTAAAAACTTTTTTAAAAACTCCCAGAGTTTAAAAAAAAAAAAAAAAGAGTTTATCAGGTGTGATTTATACCAGTCAAATTTGATTCTCTCAGTAGTGATTTTCTTTTTTTATTTTTTTGAGACAGGGTCTTGTTTCAAAACAAGATCTTGCTTTGTGGCAGTGGCACAATCACAGCTCCCTGCAGCCTTGACCTCCTGGGCTCAAGCGATCCTTCCTCCTGGGCCTCCCAAGTAGCTGAGACTGCAAGCGTGTACCACCATAGCCTGCTAGTTTTTTAATTTATTATAGAGACAGGGTCTTACTATGATGCCCAGGCTGGGCTCAAACTCCTGGGTTCAAATGATCCTCCCACCTTGGCCTCCCAAAGTGCTGGGATTACAGGTGTGAGCTACCACACCTGGCCTCCAGTAGTGATTTTCATTCTCTAGTATGAAATGGTATTCTCACTTTTGGATAAATAAAGGCAAAATGTAAACAGTTAATCTAGATAAAGGGTATGTGGGAGTCCATTGTATTCACATCCTTGCAACTTTTCTGTAAGTTTGGAATTAATGTCAGAATTATTTGCACCAACCTAATAATTAAAACTTACCCCCCACCCCCGGCTGGGTGCAGTGGCTCATTCCTGTAATCCCAGCACTTTGGGAGGCTGAGGCGGGTGGATCATGAGGTCAGGAGATCGAGACCATCCTGGCTAACACAGTGAAACCCCATCTCTACTAAAAATACAAAAAATTAGCCAGGTGTGGTGGCGGGCACCTGTAGTCCCAGCTACTCGGGAGGCTGAGGCAGGAGAATGGCGTGGACCCGGGAGGCAGAGGTTGCAGTGAGCCGAGATTGCACCACTGCACTCCAGCCTGGGCGACAGAGTGAGACTCTGTCTCAAAAAACAACAACAACAACAAAACAAAAACAAAAACAAACTTACCCCACCCCCAATTCTCACTTTTTTCTGAAAATAGATGCATTTATATTTTATTCAGGTTTTTCACCATTTCTAAAAGATTGACAGATATTCACATATTTATGCTTTTGTGTTGACTTTCATACCTATCATCTAATTACAGACTTAGCATCTGATCAAATTATTTTGGGAAGAGGAAGAGGGACCTTAGAGATACTTGGTTTCTGATTCTTTTAGTCCCGCACCCTTACTTTGCCCTTAACTTTTGCATCACAGAAGTTAATTTTGTAGTGAGTGCTGAAATCCTTTTACCATCCAACTTGGAATCCTGTTGGCTTTTTCTTCACACATTGCCTTCTTCATTAAGCTTTTACTTTTACCAGCATACTGTTTTCCCTCCTGAGTTATTGGCACTTTCAGCTTGCATTATATTTCTTCTGGTCAACTAGTAGAACACAGTTAAATCTTGAGATTACTAGTAGCAAATGATTTTTTAATTCAGATTTTTAAAATGTAACATATACATGAAATTGACCTCATCTGCTAGAAGCTGTTCACTTTAGACATGGTGTCATTTTGTAACACTTGGGAAAACTAGCTTCATTCTCCAGAATTGGAAACTCAAGTCACAGGTGACAGGTGACTAATCCACTTGTAAAGCTGTGAACCCAAAGCGTGGATTGGACTGGAATTCGGGTATTCGTGTTTGTTGTGAATGCTGATGGGAAGATAGCAGGGCAGTGTTCTCATCAGAGCTCCTATCCTCTCTGCATCTGTTTTTTCATCTGCAATAAGATGATGCCTATTCTGCCCTGTCCTAAGGACTGTTGTCAAACACATGGGAAAGAAGACAGGGTGATTGGACAATTATAAAAGGCTTTCATGTCTCATCTTTCTTTTTTCTTTATTATTTTGCATAGGATTCTTTTAGTTTTTCCAATTTTCCACTAAACTATTTGACCTTTTAATATCCTATTGCCACATAATTTTTAAGCTTGATACAACATGGTTATTTCTCTTATTTTTTATTGGAATTTAGGGTAAGAACTACTGCCAGTAATTTTAAACTGTTCTTAACTTTATGGAGACAGTAAGTTACCATGAAGTCATTGAGGATTATAATCTATTTAGGTTAATTTAATCTTAATCTTTTGTTTTGCAGTCCCAGGCTGTCCAATCTTCCTGGCTGGTCCCTGAAGGATGGAAATGCTTTCTTGGACAAGGTAATATCTAAGACTACAAACTAAAGCCTATCTACAGCCAGTGGAAAGCTATCTTCTCATACCAGAGCCACCCTGTAGTAGTGTGACTGATGGCTTTTTTTTTTTTTCCTCTCTGAAAATCCCCAAGATCTATGCTAGGGTCTTCAGAACATGGTAACTGCTGTTTTTAAGCATGTTTTTAGAGAATGTCATTGTTCTGATTCAGATCCATTTTGCTCATGTGTAGAAATCTAAGTACTTCTGCTGCAAATACCTTTTATCACCACAGAAAGACAACTATTATTTCTAGAATTGCAATGAGTGTTTCAAAGACAAGGCTTTTTAAAGAATTCAATCCAGTTCATTTTGTGATTGCAAAGAGTAAAACCTTTTTTTGAATAACTTTTAAAATCCTCAAGCAGGTGAGTTTTAAACTGCTTCTATCAAGGGTCAGATCAGGTAGGGCTTTGTAAAAAGCTTGGGTCTTTTTTGGGTAATGAGAGGCCACAGAAGGTTACAGAAGGACAGTGGCATTGTCAGATCGGATCACTCTGGCCACTGTGTGGGGAACGGTCCAGGAGCAGAGTGTTTGACTTCCCCAGCAGTGCCTTCTTGTGCAGGGGACAGTACTCTTAGGTAAATTTGAGTAGTGGGTCTCCGACACTATGATCTGTGATCCCGTTTCAACCTGTCCTGATAGCCTAGAATGGACAATCTTTATAGATGATTAAAAAAAAAAAACAGTTCTAGGACTCTGGGATATGGAGTCTTATTATGACTTTAATGACTGACTACACCTAAAATAAATGGCTTAAATTACTTCTTTCTCTTTGAGGCTATTAAATTTTTGACATTAGGTTATCTTCTCAGTAATTCCTTCCTCGGATCAATAGTTAGACAGTTAACTTAATAAATGAAAGACTAAAGCTACCAAAAATGTTACAACTATAAGCTAGTCAAACTTCGTACTAAAATCAGAGGTATAAGAAGGTTAAAGACTGTAAAGCCCCCTCAGGCCAATTCTTAGTCCCCTAAATCATTCTTCCTTTCCTAAGTTTCACATTTGAAAAACTAAAGAGTTTAAAGATGCTTAACATGATTCATCTAAATAAGGCATTTTCTCTTGTAATAGATACTGTTAAATAAAGAGGTGCCCTTTTTACAGAATTAATTCCTGTAACTGCACCCTAGCCTCAAGTACAAGCCAAATGCATAATTTGACACCAGATTTTCTTCAGAGCTGACTGTAAAATTATGTGACATTCAGAAACCTGTGCACCTGATTTCAGCCTGAGTCTCCTGCTGGCTATAAATCATTGTTCCCTGCAGAAGGCTCCGAAGCATCCCATTACCAGCGCATTGTGAGCGAAATGACTTGCATGTGTATGTGGGAGTATTTCATTAGAAGGGAGTGGTGAATAAAATACAGTGACATTGTAAGTGTTTGGAATGGCAAATATGCTTCTGCAGGCCGGGAAGGATGAGAGCCTGTGAGGAGACTTCATCATAGCCCTGTCCTGAAATGTAGCATTATGGGGAAGAAGATTACATAGCCCATTTAAGACCAGGCAAAGCTTTGAAATTTCCCATGATTTGTCTTTAATCATTTTTAACCTCATCCTAAGGGAGTGGGGAGTCTTCTCCCATTAAACATAATTGCTCATTTGTTTTTAGCTGGCAGGTACATTGTAATTAAGAACTGTGTTCAGTCTCCTTTCAGCTCCACCTGTCGCTAGTTAAATGGTACTCATCTAAGGAGAGAAACCAGAGAGTACAGTGGAAGGCAAGGGGAGGAAATTGTCTATCAAGGTTCTGATATGAGACTTATAAAATTCAAAAGGACCAGTACTATGTAGTCAATGCCCTATTTTCAGATAAAGATTGAGAGTAAAATCATTCAGACTCTGATGTGTAAATATAGATACATGTATATATGGATATGTACAATATATGTTGAGTGACTAATGGAAACATAATAGAAAAAAATTACAACAGTATCTTTCCCTTTCTGGAAAGAGCAAAGGAAACTCAATCACATTCTGTCTTTTACTGGTTTCAGTGTAAAGTCATAGGTAGCTTTAACCTTAATGGTGCAAAAAATTCACTGTGGACTTCAGTTTAAAGTCAGTGAGAGGAGAAAGCATTAGTGGCCTTCAGGAGGCATCGTAGCAGACCCTATTGGTAGCCCACCCATATCTCTCAGACTTTGCTGTTTCACTGTCCTCTGTCATAATTCCAGCTGCCGGTATCTGTATGGCTTTGCCTGAGAGTTTTTTCCTGAGGCTGCACAAAATGCAGCAGTTGGTATATAAACATTTCAGCCCCATTGCTCCTCAGTGGGATAACTCAGAGCTGTCTGTGTTAGACCATTTCTGAGTTTCCCCATGGGGATAAGTTCCAGTTGCCCCAAGTTGTATGTGGCTCAGTGCCATTATCTGTCACCTTCCTTTGCACTGATCACTTCTCCGTTCTGTTTTCTCAGCACCTCCCATATAAACTACCTTCTCTCAAACTCTTTTCTCAGGGTCAGCCTGTGGGGGAAAGACAGGTTTATTAAATTTGGTGAGTCATGGGTGGGGTGAGAAGTTGGACTATATCTATTTCTTTATACATATGCTTATTTCTTTTGAATAAATACATTTGGTTTATAATGCTAAATAAATGGTATGTTCTGCACGGAAAAACATTACATTCGTGGTGGCAGTGGTGGTTTTGGTGGAGGTGGTAGTAGTGGTGGTTGTGGTGGAGGTGGAGGTGGTAGTGGTGGTGGTGGTGGTGGAGGTAGTGGTGGTAGTCGTGGTAGTGGAGGAGGTGGTGATGGTGGTAGTGGTGGTGGTAGATGTTGAATCCCTGTTTCAGGCTCTTAACTCTCCCTCCTTACATCCCCCTTTCCTCCCAACCCTTGGTAGGTGAAGAAAAAGCTTCTAAACAGTTTATGTAGGGTTGTGACTCCTAACCTGACAGCATAACAGGATCACTGGAGGTGCTTGTTATAAATACATATTCCATGGCCTCATCCCCAGTTTCTGATCCCTTCAGTCTTAGATAGGGCCAGGGATCTTTTATGTAATCCATGTCCCCACATAATTCTGGTGTTGCTAGTACAGTTTGCATACCTTATTTGGAAACCACTGGATTGTGGGTTATGGGAGCAGCACATACCCATGCATGGCTTTCTTGAAGAGGTATCAAAAAATGTGCCTTCAAGTCCTGAGTCTGCAACCAAACAGCATTTTACCCTTAATAAGACACTTGGCCTGCCTAAGCCTAAACATAGGACAGTCGGCCTAATAACCTCCCAGCTTCCCTCCAGCTCTAGTAGTCTATGATTCTTCATGAAAAGTTTTGTTTGGGGAGTTTATTTCTTTGGTCCTGTATCTACTGGATATCTCTTCCTTGTATTTTTCCTTTTCATTTCTTTTAGGAGCTAAAGGAGTGCTCGGGTCATGTATTTGTGGATTCTGTGCCGGAATTCTGTTTACCAGAGGTAAGATTAAGGTGAATCTTATTGTAGAAACAAACCTTATTATGTAATTGCTCAAAATGAAGTCAAGAAATAATTTTAAGAGGCTTAGCTTCCTGTTTTCAAGTTTAAATGAATCTGTTATTCCAGGCACATTGTTACACAGCCAAAATGTCATCATTTAGCAGCTTTTTATATTGTTTGTAAATCATTTACGTCACTCTCTTCTTCCTATTTCCGGTTCTTTCTGTAATCCCCACTAATACTCCTAGTAGGGCATAGTTTTGAGCAAGGTAAGGAACTAACTCAAGCCTTTTAGTTTTGTGATTCTGATGCCTGTGTGCTTAGGTTAGCCTTATGTGTCCTGGTCTTGCTTTATGGTGGGTAATTGACAATTGCTAGTAAACTGTAAAAATTCTTGCTGACTTGAAATACCATATTGAATATTGTTTGAAATTCATAGATTCTGAACTGAGTCATAGAAGACAATCACTTACATATTATTATCACAGTGAGACTTGCTGTTAGGGTGTGGGGCCAGTTTCATCCTTTCAAAGGAAACTAAGATCAGTTTCCATTTGTTTTCAAGGCAGCTAATCTCAGCTGAGAGGCCTAATACCCAGAGTAGCCTAGGTGCGGTTCTTAACAGACATGTGAAATGTGGAAAGCCGGAGCTGCTCCCAGGTTCATGAGAAGCTGCCATCCTCTTTTTTCCTCATGCCCAGTGGATCGCAGTGCCTGTAGAAAATAGTTCCACAAATTCAGGACCAAAGAGAAAAAGAATTTG
Source organism: Homo sapiens (assembly GCF_000001405.40). Taxonomy (NCBI): domain Eukaryota; kingdom Metazoa; phylum Chordata; class Mammalia; order Primates; family Hominidae; genus Homo; species Homo sapiens. Next base: position 28,845,983 of record NC_000008.11, on the reverse strand, counting down.
GAGTGCAGTTTCTCTGATTTTTGTTTTCTCTTCTTCCTTCTCTTTCCATTTCTACACTTTGTTTAATATCCTGTAGATCAACATTTTTATCTCTCTTAGAAGTATGTGTATGTGTCTTTGAGGGTACCAGAGCAAATAGAAAAAGAAACACAGACAAATGTGGTAATTGAAGGTGTCAGATAAGGGAGAAAGTTTGAGATTGAGTAGTAAGCGTAAAGCTGAAAGAATCCAAGAATCCAGAGCTCTCCCTCTCACCGTTAACCAAAGTCATTTTGTCATCCTTATTTGTGACTTAGGAATTGGTAGGGTGATTCCCCATCTGTTTGAAGATTCCTAATCCTAGGTGCTACATTTGTTTTCAGTTGACCACGTGTCACGCCAACTACTGCAACCTTCCATTTATGGACACCACTGTAGAATTTATGAATTGCTGTCCCGATGGCTTTCTGACTTGCTCTATAGGGTACTCAGCTTTTAAATTAGACAGTTACCATTCCACAGTTCATTTTTGCCAAGCTAAAGGATTATTGATATATTTAGGGTTCTAGAGCCATATACATTTTTTCAGGCAAGATGTTAGGGCACAAATTAGTAATAGTCACTGTTTTAAAGTAGAGCCAGGTCTTGTATGATTGGAAAAAAATGGGAGAGTAATGGAAGCAGGAGAGAGGCACTTATTATAGCCCAGTCTTCACTGACTTGTGGGTGAGCCATGCAGCCTTAGTCCCAATCCTCATGAAATTTACAAACTAGTACAAATAGCTTAAATATCTTTGTATCCCAGTACAGTACGCAACCAGTAAATGAGGGTTGTTTTGATTGAATTTATGGTCTGTAGAACCCCAAGTGTTTGTATACAGCAGTTTTAAAGATAGAGTAATCTTTATTGGATTCCATTAAGTGAACATATGTAAGTAAATATGTGAGTACAGTTGACCCTTGAACAATATGAGTTTGAACTGGGAAAGTCCACTTACATGTGGAGTTTTTCATTATGACAATTTGAAAAAACTTGCAGATGAACTGCATAGTCTAGAAATAGCAAAAAACTTAAGAAAACGTTAGGCATGTCATGAATGCATAAAATATATATAGAAACTAGTCTATTTTCTCATTTACCACCATAAAGTATACACAAATTTATTATAAAAAGAAAAATTTTTTTTTTGAGACAGAGTCTCGCTCTGTCACCTAGGCTGGAGTACAGTGGTGCCATCTTGGCTCATTGCAACCTCAGCCTCCTGGGTTCAAGCAATTCTCCTGCCTCAGCCTCCCGAGTAGCTGGGATTACAGGTGCCCACCAGCTCATTTTTGAATTTTTAGTACAGAGGGGTTTCACCATGTTGGCCAGGCTGGTCTTAAACTCCTGACCTCAGGTGATACACCTGCCTCGGCCTCCCAAAGTGCTGGGATTACAGGCGTGACCCACCACGCCCAGCTGATAATTTTTTTAAATTGGCTCTGTTCACAGGCTGGAGTGCAGTGGTGCGATCTCAGCTCACTGCAACCTCCGCCTTCCTGGCTCAAGCCATCCTCCCACCTCAACCTCCCAAGTAGCTGGGACCACAGGTGCACACAACCACACCCTGCTAATTTTGTATTTTTTGTAGAGATGGGGTTTTGCCTTGTTGCCCAAGCTGGTCTTGAACTCCTGAGCTCAAGCGATCTGCGTCAGCCTCCCAAAGTGCTGGAAGAACAGGTTTGAACCACCGCGCCCAGCTAAAAAAGTTAAAATTTATCAAAACTATGCACATCAACATTTACAGACCATACGTGACAACGATTTGCACTCAAAAGAAACGTAAACAAGCATTAAGATTCAGTATTTAATCATAGGCATAAAACTGTAGTACAGTATATAACTTCATAGCCACCTCCTGTTGCTGTTGTGGGGAGCTCAAGTATCCGCTTAAAACACCATGTGATGCCAGTCATCTCCATGTGAGCAGTTCCCCTCTCTGTAAATTGCATATTGCAGTAAAGAGTGATCTCTCGCAGTTCTCATGGATCTTGCGTCGTGCTTCATGCAGTACCATAAACCTTGAATAACCATGGGACCCATACGAAGTGCCACTAGTGGTGCTTGAAGTGCTCCCAAGAAGCAAAGAAAAGTCATGACATTACAAGGAAAAGTTGAAGTGCCTGATATGTAGATTGAAACCTGCAGCTGATATTGCCCGCCATTTCAAGACAAATGAATCCAGCATAAGGACCATTGTAAAAAAAGGACCATTGTTTAAAAAAAAAAAAAGAAAAAGGAAGAAGAAAAGAAAAGCAAGAGAAAATACATGAAGCTGTCACTGTAGCTACACCAGCAGGCATGAAAACTTGTACTTCTTGTGAAATACATTTTTACCTTGTATTAGAAATGCAGCTTTATGTGGGTGCAAGTCTACTATAAGAAAGGCATACCTGTAGACTCTGATGTGATTCAAGAAAAAGTGAAATCACTATATGACAAAGCAAAAGGAAAGCTTAAAAAAATGTCAAGATAACAGGAAAAGCAGCTTCCTCCAGCCAAGAGACAGCAGACAAATTCCTAGATGCCATTAAGAAAATCATTGAGGAGAAAGACTATCTGCCTGAACAGGTTTTTAATGCAGATGAAAGTGTCCTATTCTGGCAGAAAATGTCACAAGAAACATTTATTAGGAAGAGAAGTGAGTTCTAACACTTAAAGGAGGAAGGGATAGGCTAACTCTACTGTTTTGTGCAAATGCACTCGGGTTTTTTTTATCAGGACTGCCTTTACCTATAAAGTGGCCAACCCCTGATCCTTGAAGAAAAAAGATAAACAGCAGTTGCCAGTCTTTGGCTTGTACAACAAAAAGACCTGGACGGTGAGAACCGCTTGTCAGGATTCCATTGATGCTTTGTCCCTGAAGTCGAGAAGTACCTTGCCACTAAGGGACTGCATCTTAAAGTTCTTTCAGTATTGGACAATGCACTTGGCCACCCATAATCCCATGAGTTCACCTCCAAAGGTGTCAGAGTGGTCTAATGCCATAAACACACCATCACTAATTCAGCCTCTAGATCAGGAGGTCATAAGAACCTTTGAGCCTCATCACACACAGTACTCTATGGAAAGGACTGTCAACTCTGTCGAAGGGGACCCCAATAGAACATCATGAAAATCTGGAAGGATTACACCATTGAACCTGCCATCATTGTTACAGAAAGAGCCATGAAGCCTGAAACAATAAATAAATTCCTGCTAAACAAAACTGTGTCCAGGTGTTGTACTTCACAGGATTTAGAACAGAACCAGTCAAGGAAATTAGGAAAGAGATTGTGGATGTGACAAAAAAAAAAAGTGGGAGGTGAAACGTTTCAAGATATGGAGCTTGGAGAAATTCAGGAGCCTATTAACACACCAGAGGAGTTAACAGAAGATGACCCGACCAAGATGAGTGCTTCTGAACCTGTGCCAGATGATGAAGAAGGAGACATAGAAGAAGCAGTGCTGGAAAACAAATTGACATTAGACAGTCTGGCAGAAGGGTTCTGATTATTCAGGACTGCTTTTGATTTCTTTCACAACTTGGATCCTTCTGTGATGTGGGCACAGAAACTAAAATGGTGGAAGAAGGATTGATACCATATAGAAACATTTTTAGAGAAATGAAAACGTGAAAACATCCAACAAATTACAACATATATCTGTAAGCACTCTGAGTGTGCCTGCTTCTCCTGCCTTGCCTTCTACCTCCTACACTTCTTCCCCTCTGCCACCCAAGACAACAAGACCAACCCCTCGTCTTCCTCCTCCTCAGTCTGTTTAATGTGAAGATGACAAAAATAAAGACCTCTATGATGATTCACTTCCACTTAATGGATAGGAAATGTATTTTACTATCACTAAAGTACATTTACTTTTCCTTATGATTTTTTTTGAGATGGGGTCTCACTTTATTGCCCAGCGTGAAGTGTGATGGCATAACCATAATTCACTCCAGCCTCGACCTCCTGGGCTGAAGTGATCCTCCTGTCTCAGCCTCCGAGTAGCTGGGACTACATGTGTGCAACACCATGCCTGGCTAATTGTTGAAACATTTTTTGTAGAGACATGGTCTCACTATGTTGACCAGGCTGGTCTCAAACTCCTGGCCTCAAGCAGTCCTCCCACCTCAGCCCCCTAAAGTGCTAGGATTACAGGCATGAGCCACCACATCTGGCTCCTTATCATTTTCTTAATAACGTTTTCTTTTCTCTAGCTTATTTTATTGTAAGAATACCATATATAGTATATATGCAAAGTATGTGTTAAATATGTTATTCAGGAAGGCTTCTAGTCAACAGGCTATTAGTAGTTAAGTTTTGGGGGAGTCAAAAGTTATTTTCAACTGTACAGTGGGTCAGCACCCCTGACCCCTGTGTTGGTCAAGAATTACCTGTATATAAATGTGGTTTGGATGTTAAATTTCTCAGAGGAAAAATGTTTTATGTAAGCATACACTCTTGATATATACCAACAGAATAATTTTTTATTTTTTATAATTCTAGACTCTGTGGGCTGGTTCTTAAAGAGAAATTTCAAGTTTTCTCACCCAGTTTCTGTACACATGAGGACTGGTGGTGATGATTTTTAGCTTTATTGTTGCTTCAGTGTGATTCACATTGTTTTCTTCTGGATCTATCACTGTGCTACCCTGTCTTAATTTCCTTATTTGTTTAAAAATGATGCTAGGGGAGGTAGTGGAGAGTAGGACCAGCAAACAGTTACGTGGTCCTTCATGAGGAGGACACTGTCTTGCAAAGGCAGTGCACAACTTGGGGTGAAGGTTGGGATAGGTTGGCTGTTCATTAGGCATGGTGTTCACACAGATGGCAGTACCCTGGCACTGAGTGGCTTATGACCTCTGCTGGCATCCTGTCCTCGGGGGCCGATGCTGCCTGGCAGCTTTATTAAGTTACTCGTTTTATTTGTAAAGTTACTCAGCTGGAAAATACCCATAGCCAGAATGGCACCCTCCCTCTCTTCATCTGCTTATGTCACATCATCTTTCTTTCTTTTTTTTTTTACTTTATTTATTTTTTTAATTATACTTTAAGTTTTAGGGTACATGTGCACAATGTGCAGGTTAGTTACATATGTATACATGTGCCATGCTGGCGTACTGCACCCATTAACTCGTCATTTAGCATTAGGTATATCTCTTAATGCTATCCCTCCCCCTCCCCCCACCCCACAACAGTCCCCAGAGTGTGATGTTCCCCTTCCTGTGTCCATGTGTTCTCATTGTTCAGTTCCCACCTATGAGTGAGAATATGCGGTGTTTGGTTTTCTGTTCTTGTGATAGTTTACTGAGAATGATGATTTCCAATTTCATCCATGTCCCTACAAAGGACATGAACTCATCATTTTTTATGGCTGCATAGTATTCCATGGTGTATATGTGCCACATTTTCTTAATCCAGTCTATCATTGTTGGACATTTGGGTTGGTTCCAAGTCTTTGCTATTGTGAATAGTGCCACAATAAACATACGTGTGCATGTGTCTTTATAGCAGCATGACTTATAGTCCTTTGGGTATATACCCAGTAATGGGATGGCTGGGTCAAATGGTATTTCTAGTTCTAGATCCCTGAGGAATCACCACACTGACTTCCACAATGGTTGAACTAGTTTACAGTCCCACCAACAGTGTAAAAGTGTTCCTATTTCTCCACATCCTCTCCAGCACCCGTTGTTTCCTGACTTTTTAATGATTGCCATTCTAACTGGTGTGAGATGGTATCTCATTGTGGTTTTCATTTGCATTTCTCTGATGGCCAGTGATGGTGAGCATTTTTTCATGTGTTTTTTGGCTGCATAAATGTCTTCTTTTGAGAAGTGTCTGTTCATGTCCTTTGCCCACTTTTTGATGGGGTTGTTTGTTTTTTTCTTGTAAACTTGTTTGAGTTCATTGTAGATTCTGGATATTAGCCCTTTGTCAGATGAGTAGGTTGCGAAAATTTTCTCCCATTTTGTAGGTTGCCTGTTCACTCTGATGGTAGTTTCTTTTGCTGTGCAGAAGCTCTTTAGTTTAATTAGATCCCATTTGTCAATTTTGGCTTTTGTTGCCATTGCTTTTGGTGTTTTAGACATGAAGTCCTTGCCCATGCCTATGTCCTGAATGGTAATGCCTAGGTTTTCTTCTAGGGTTTTTATGGTTTTAGGTCTAACGTTTAAGTCTTTAATCCATCTTGAATTAATTTTTGTATAAGGTGTAAAGAAGGGATCCAGTTTCAGCTTTCTACATATGGCTAGCCAGTTTTCCCAGCACCATTTATTAAATAGTGAATCCCTTCCCCATTGCTTATTTTTTTCAGGTTTGTCAAAGATCAGATAGTTATAGATATGCGGCGTTATTTCTGAGGGCTCTGTTCTGTTCCATTGATCTATATCTCTGTTTTGGTACCAGTACCATGCTGTTTTGGTTACTATAGCCTTGTAGGATAGTTTGAAGTCAGGTAGCATGATGCCTCCAGCTTTGTTCTTTTGGCTTAGGATTGACTTGGCGATGCGGGCTCTTTTTTGGTTCCATATGAACTTTAAAGTAGTTTTTTCCAATTCTGTGAAGAAAGTCATTGGTAGCTTGATGGGGATGGCATTGAATCTATAAATTACCTTGGGCAGTATGGCCATTTTCATGATATTGATTCTTCCTACCCATGAGCATGGAATGTTCTTCCATTTGTTTGTATCCTCTTTTATTTCATTGAGCAGTGGTTTGTAGTTCTCCTTGAAGAGGTCCTTCCTGTCCCTTGTAAGTTGGATTCCTAGGTATTTTATTTTCTTTGAAGCAATTGTGAATGGGAGTTCACTCATGATTTGGCTCTCTACATCATCTTTCTTATTTCTTCTTCGTGGGGATGTATTATCTCAAGGACCCATCTCTTAACCGAGTCACTTGCTTTTCCTTAGTGCACCGTATATTTCCCAGGGTTAGCTCCTCCACGGTGGAGGGCCCTGTGAGTGACAGGTTGTCTCTGAACCATGGTGTCTCACTTCTCCCAGAACATGCTGCTAATAAAGCTGCATTCCTTCAACAGAAGCACACCAAGGCTTGTTAGGTACTGGCTGCCACAGGTGGGAGGGGACAGAGGAGTCACACAGGACAAAGTGCTACTTTGAGGTGTTGTGTGTAGATTGTGAACTGTCATAAGAGTTACACAGACAGACCGGGCTTGGTGGCTTGGTGTAATCCCAGCATTTTGGAAGGCTGAGGCAGGCAGATCACTTGAGGCCGGGAGTTTGAGACCAGCTTGGCCAACATGGTGAAAACCCATCTCTACTAAAAATACAAAAATTAGCCAGGCATGGTAGGGCACACCTGTAATCCCAGCTACTCTGTCTCAAAAAGAAATAAAAAGTTAAAAATTGAGTTACACATGCAATACTTTGGGAGTTCTGAGGAAGATGTGGTTTCTTTCATCTGAGCAAATCAGGAAGACCTAGTGGAAGAAGAGAATTGCGTCTTGACAGATTGGTAGGACTTAAATATATGGAAAAATTTTAGGAGTTTTCCTAAAATTTACCCAAACTTGGATAGCCTTTTCCCTCACATGCTAACCTGTCTTTTCTCCCTTTTTACATGACCTTAATGATGGACTTAAAAGGGCAGATCTGGGGATAAGATTAGGATGGAGGGTGAAAGGATAATTTCCTTTCATGACTGCCACTACGCTTTTTAGGGCGGGCTCTATAACCAGCACTAAACTAACAAAAGTTACCTCAAAAGAAAAAAAAAAGCAAAACAAGTTGTCTCTCCATCTGGCTTTTGAAGAGCTGGTTTCTGTGTGCTGCGTCCCCGTTGCCCATTAATCTGTAGCAATGGGGTGTTATGTTCTAGTGTGTGCTTGCCGCCTGTATGCTGCTCTCTCTGCTTGCAGTTTCCTGGTTTCACTTGCCTGGCAGCAGCTGCCGAAGGGTCCTGCTGTCATTTAACCTCATAAGTCTAATTCAGAAGAATTCTGTTCTAGTAAAATCAGAGTGCTGCCTCTGGGCTGGCTGTGTTCTCACTGCTGGCCGTCCTGTCCTGCTACTTAATGTCAGTGTAGAAAACCTCTTCAAATGAGAGAATGGCAGTGTTGCAGGAAAGCCATCATTATTCTGCAATACAAAAACTACTTCTCTGCATTCTGACAACGTCGTTTTTTAGTCACATCATATTGATCGATCCCTGAACAGATATATATCATTCCCTCCCTTTCTTTTCAGACGGAGCTAATAGATCTGTCTACAGTAGATGTGATTCTCATCTCTAACTATCACTGTATGATGGCGCTGCCATACATCACCGAGCACACCGGCTTCACAGGCACAGTGTATGCCACGGAACCCACCGTCCAGATCGGCAGGTGAGAGGGTTGATTCTGACCCTGCTAGGATGTGACTGCGGAGCTCCTCCCTCAGTGATGACGCTATCACAGTATTATACCAGGGCTGGTGGTTAGTTCCTTCTGAACAACTAACCCAAAGAACAGGCAGGAGTAAGCGACTCTCTAGATGAGGAATGTTCATTGGAAATGCCTAAGGATTGATGGTGCAAGTAGTCTTGTTGGTCTTTTTTCTTATAAATTAATTGGAAGGAGTTCATGGAGACGGCTCCTCTGTACAGAGAATACTAATTAGGGGAGGTAATGTTTAGAAAGATGCCACAAAGATGCAAGGCAGAGAGCTTCAGAGGGAAAGAGTGTAGCATCTTTAAGAAGAAGAAATTTTATTGCTTTGCTTTCAAAAATTCCCCCTTTTTGTGGTTTGTTGTAGACTATAAATGGAGACAGCTTGTAGAAAATACAGGATAGATAAGTAAATAGATGGTTAAGTTGTCTCTGCTGTTGACAGAGTGAAACTGAGCAGTCTAGGAGTAAAACTGCAGTTTTCCTTTGACTCTAAGAAGCCTCTGCCATCCCTTTCTCTGCTTCTACTAAGCCTTTGTGACACAGGTGGTTACCACAAGTAGCAATAGTATCATTTAGTGAGGAATTAGGTAAAGAAAATTACTCCAGAAAAAAAAATTTGTCAATTTATTTTTTTTGAAATAAATTAATAAGTACGGTATAAGTTGAAACTGTCAGGTTCCAAAATGTGAGACTTAAGAATTGCTATAGACTCCTAGGTTGGATTCTAGAGCCTTGCAGATGAAATAATGTGTTTTCTTGTTTTTATGTCAAACCATATTACCTGCACTGTGTATGTAACCATTAGGGAGCTGAGGAAGGGCTCTCATAGGAAAGTAAAACACTCGAAGTGATGCACTGGTTTCAATTGAGAGGATAAGCTAAAAAACTAGCCTCTAGTCTGGAAAAGTTAAAGCAGTGAGGATCAGCACACCAAACTGTTCCTATGAAAGCTACATCCAGGACACCAGTGAGCCTGAATCACAGGTCTTGAGATGTTGAAATTAGCACTCTTCCTTCAAGATGGAAGGAGGAGATGGTATTAGGCCAAAATAAATAAATGAGAATGAAATGAAGTTGTTTAGTTTTCAAATGCTAATACATTAATGGCTTACCAGTATGTATATGTTAACTTGGAGGGGATTTAAGTCAATATGGATCACGAATATTAGATTAGGAATGGAGATTCAAGGTGTCAAATCCATTTCTACCTTTGTGGTCATCCTCTGGCCATCAAGAATTCCCGCAGTTCTCTGTCCTGTGAATCCCCAAAGCCTGTGTACCTTGATCTAACTGATAGCGCAGCATTTCTTAGATTCCTCATCCCTGGTTCTGTGGTACTCCGTCTCATCTCAGAGAGAGCTAGTCTTCTGCATTTAGCAGCGTACTCCATTTGTCCTTGGAGTATTCTTCCACATGGAATTTTGCTAATTCCTAAAACATATCAAGAAAACTTATTTTATCCATTTAAAATGTTCATTTAGGCTGGCCACGGTGGCTCATGCCTGTAATCCCCCAGCACTTTGGGAGGCCGAGGCGGGTGGATCACCTGAGGTCAGGAGTTCAAGACCAGCCTGGCCAACATAGTGAAACCCCGTCTCTACTAAAAATACAAAAAATTAGCTGGGCATGGTGGTGTGTGCCTGTAATCCCAGCTACTCGAGTGGCTGAGGCAGGAGAATCCCTTGAACCCGGGAGGCGGAGATTGTAGTGAGCTGAGATTGTGCCATTGCAGTCTAGCCTGGGCAACAAGAACGAAACTCTGTCTCAAAAAAAAAAAAGTTCACTTAATATTGTCATTTAAAAAAAAACAGTCCTGCCCACACCCTACTACGTCACCAAAATTAGATACCTGACAGTCATTTAACTTCTCCCTATATATTTTCAGTAACATAAAAGTAGAGATCTTAGAGTGAGAGTTAAAACAGGCTTGTGGATTTCTATGATTAGAGACAAGAAACAGGCCAGCCTTGTTTTAAAGGTGAATTAAATTATTTAAGTTCAGAATTTTTAGCATGGAAATGCAATAAGAAAGTGAGGATTTTGTTTAACTTTATATCAAATGGTGATCAAGTTTATGTGCAGCAGAGAGGAAGATGATGATGAAATGGTGTAGGGGGAGGTGGGCAAGTCATTTCTCCTGGCCAACTGTTAGAGTATGGGGTGTTTCTCTAATTTTTTAATGGGTGTTCCTCACTTGTTTTGTTTAAACTCAGGCTTCTCATGGAAGAGCTGGTGAATTTCATTGAAAGAGTGCCAAAGGCTCAGTCTGCCTCCTTGTGGAAGAATAAGGACATTCAGAGGTGAGGAACAGACCACTCTCTTACCGAGAGACTGTAGAGCCAGGTGCTTTGCAAAGCAGTCTCATTTGATTTCTTCCTCTATGCTTAAACAATGATTTGGTTATATTAAAGATTCTCTTTTTCCTAATACATGAAAGGGTTATATTTGATTCAACCAACATTTTTTGAGAGGCAACTATGTGCAAGGTGCTATGCTGGGTACCAGAGTTTTTAGGAACAATTGGCTCTTGAGGTGGTCAAAGTTTAATGGAAAATCAGATAACTCAACAGGTCAGTTAACAGTTTGCATGGCATGTCTTAGAAGAGGTGTTTGCCAGCTAGGCGCGGTGACTCACGCCTGTAATCCCAGCACTTTGGGAGGCCGAGATGGGCAGATCACCTGAGTTTGGGAGTTTGAGACCAGCCTGACCAACATGGAGAAACCCCGTCTCTATGAAAAATGCAAAAAAATTAGCTGGGTGGTAGCACATGCCTGTAATCACAGCTACTCGGGAGGCTGAGGCAGGAGAATTGCTTGAACCCGGGAGGCAGAGGTTTCAGTGAGCTGAGATTGCACCATTGCACTCCAGCCTGGGCAACAAGAGTGAAACTCTGTCTCAAAAAAAAAAAAAAAAACAGATGTTTGCCCCCAGTGCTGTAGGCACTCAGAAACTGAAGAACTCTGCTTAGGAAGGCTGAGAAGGACATTCCTTAGGAGATGACAGTTAAGATGGGTCTTGGAAGAAGAAATGGATTTGTTCCTATAGCAGAGGTTGAGAAGAGAAGTCCAGGCATGGCGTCATGGGACATAGTATATTCAGGGAACAGTGAGATGTTCAGTGTGGATTAGGGTGAGTAGAGAGGTGAGAGGTGCAAGTAAAGGGGTGAGTTGGAGCAAGAGAATGAAGATTCTCATATGTGAAGTTTGAGTTTTATATTGTTGAGAGTGTGAAGTTGGCCAGTGGAGGTTTATAAGGAGGCTAATGACTACGTTTGTTTTGGGGAAAGTAACTCTGGAAGCAGCGTAAAGGATGGACAGGAATGCAGAGGTAGGCAGGAGGACCAGCAGTGTGACTGCTGAAACCCAGGGGAGATGACAAAGCCTTGATCTAAGGCAGTATCCGTGAGCATGAAGCTGAAGTCTAACTTCAAATGAATTTCTGAGATAGAATTGAAAAGAACTGGTAAGAGTTGTAAAAGAGGCTGTAGTAATTAAGAAGGTAAGAGGAGAGCTGAGTGGGAACCAAGGGACAAGGAAGTTTCAGAAAACACAGGTTGTTGCTGGTCTCAGATGCTGCAGAAATATCAAGTAAAATGGAGATAAGGCCCTTGGCTATGGGAATGGGGAAGTCCTTAACAATCCCGGAGAGGTGAGTTGCCGTAGAGTGCTAGGTCCAGAAACCAGGCTGAAAGAGATGAAGTAAGGAGAAACATGGTAGAAGCAGCAGCTTGATTCCACTTCCATGATCTCTTATTTAAATTGGCAACAGAGTACCCCTGTGGATATTAACACACTGGGCTTTCTCTAACCTTAGCAATTCTGCCTTCATCTCCAGGCCCCACAGCAGCCACACCTTCTGATGGTGGCGTCAAGTCTGGAGTAAAAACTAGTCTTTTGATTTCTTTTTTTTTTTCTTTTTCTTTTTCTTTTGTTTTTTTTTTGGTTTTTGTTTTTGTTTTTGTTTTTGTTTTTGAGACAGAGTCTAACTCTGTCGCCCAGGCTGGAGTGCAGTGGTGCGATCTTGGCTCACTGCAACCTCCACCTCCAGGGTTCAAGCGATTCTCGTGCCTCAGGCTCCCGAGTAGCTGGGACTGCAGGTGTGTGCAACCACACCCAGCTAATTTTTGTATTTTTAGTAGAGATGGGGTTTCACCATGTTGGCCAGGACGGTCTTGATCTCTTGACCTCACCATCCACCCACCTCGACCTCCCAAAGTGCTGGGATTACAGGTGTGAGCCACTGCACCCGGCATAGTCTTATAATTTCTTAGGCAGTTTACGTTCCATATGCTCCTACCCATGTCCACTTTTTTCCAGTTGGCACTGATTTCTCTTTCCCTCTAGATCAGTGATTTGTAGTCATCTGCTTATTTCAACATTAGAATGTCTTAGTTTTTGCAGATCTTCTTTTGATTAGAATATAAATATGTAGCTAGAGGAATACACTTTTTCTATAGTGACTATTTCGGAGCTTGAGCATGAGTCTCCTCCGTGCATTCCTTTGTACACATGTTATTTATTTTACTTATGTAACACTTGTGTGCCAGGCACCTTCTAAATGTGTTAATTTATTTATTCCTTTAATAAATAGGTAGATAGGTAGGTAGTGGTGTTACTCCTTTTTTTTTTGAGATGGAGTTTCGCTCTGTCTCCCAGGCTGGAGTGCAGTGGTGCAATTTCGGCTCACTGCAACCCCTGCCTCCCAAGGTTCAGGCAATTCTTCTGCCTCAGGCTCCCAAGTAGCTGGGACCACAGGTGAGCGCCACCATGCCCAGCTAATTTTTGTATTTTTAGTAGAGATGGGGTTTCACCATATTGGCCAGACTGGTCTTGAACTCCTGACTTCGTGATCTGCCCACCTCAGCCTCCCAAAGTGTTGGGATTACAGGCATGAGCCACCACACCCAGGCAGTGTTATTACTTTTTTACAGGAGAGAAAACTGACACAGAGAGATTAAGTAACTTGCCCAAGGTCGCACAGCTAGTGAGTGGCAGGATCTGGATTCAAACCCAGACAGCCAGCTAGCCTGGCTGCAGGGTCCATACTCCTAACCCATTTGCTGGGCCACCTCTTATGCACACACACATGCCTCTTCTCATGTGCGTGTCAGCCGCTTCTTGTGTCAGGGGACGAGGAAGTAGGCTTATCTGTGCACACTTTCTCCTGTGTTTTAAGGATCTTTTGAATGTCTGTTTCCTTGTTTGGGGATGTATGGTGTGGGCGTGGCTTCACATTAGGAAACATTTTCTGGACATGTGCATTTATAAGTCTTTGGTGTGTATGTGAATGGCCTCCTTGATCTGACTGCCCTGGTGCAGTACCACATTCTTGTTCCCAGCTCCCTTTTCTCTTGCCCTCGGTTCTGATACCTCCCTTCTTTTCTTTTCTCTCCTGTGTGCCCACTGGACTGGACAGGACCCCAGTTCCCTACATCTCCCTCTTAGAAACCTCAGGACTTTGTTTTCTTTCCCATGGAACATGTGTGCTCTGGCTTCCCTTCTTCCTCTTAAATGTAAACCCTTTATAGTGATTTGCTGCAAATAATTTTGGCACACCACAAATAGTGTTCTAAAGTCAGTATTTCTTGGCCAGGTGCAGTGGCTCAGGCCTGTAATCCCATCACTTTGGGAGGCTGATGCGGGCAGATCACTTGAGGTCAGGAGTTCAAGACCAGCCTGGCCAATATGGTGAAACCCCCCATCTCTACCAAAAATACAAAAAAAAATTAGCCAGGCGTAGTGGTGGGCACCTGTAGTTCCAGCTACTCAGAAGGCTAAGGCAGGAGAGTCGCTTGAACCTGGGAGGCAGAGGTTGCAGTGAGCTAAGATCACGCCACTGCACTCCAGCCTGGGGGACAGAGCGAGACTCTGTCTAAAAAAAAGGGCAATATTTCCTGACTCCCAAATCTTGGGTCAAGTCTTAGGAAGCCCCAAATCCTTATTTCACCTTTTCTCTTGTGACCTTGGACAAAGTCCTCAGCATTTTGCCTTTGCCTCCCATTTGGCCACACAAAAGAAGTGCCACCTACATTACGGAGAGTATGAATGAGGCTAAAGGAGGAGAAGGCTAGGGAGGGGCCTGAAAGGTATTTCCTAAGATGCAGAGGAAAGCTCCCTTTTTAAAAAAAATTTAAGTTCTGGGATAGGTGTGTGGGACATGCAGTTTTGTTACATAGGTAAACATGTGCCATGGTGGTTTGCTGCACCTATCAACCCTTCACCTAGGTGTTAAGCCCCATATGCATTAGCTGTTTATCTCAATGCTCCCCCTTCCCCCGCACACTCCCTGAGAGGCCCCAGTGTGTGTTGTTCCCCTGCCTGTGTTCATGTGTTCTCGTTCAGCTCCCACTTAAAAGTGAGAACACGCGGTGTTTGGTTTTCTGTTCCTATGTTAGTTTGCTGAGGATAATGGCTTCAGCTCCATCTATGTCCCTACAACAGACATGATCTCATTCCTTTTTATGGCTGCATAGTATTCCATGGTGTATAGGTACCACATTTTTTTAATCCAGTCTGTCATTGATGGGCATTTTGGTTGAGTCCATATCTTTGCTATTGTGAATAGGGCTGCAATGAACATACACTTGCATGTATCTTTATAATAGAATGGAAATCTCCCTTTTAAAAGAAGCTGCTAGTTGAAATATATTTGCCCACCTGGTGGGCAAAAATCAGAAACTGTTGAGACTAACTTGGTAGAGGAGCAAGGAGAGTAGTAACTTGCGCTATTGGAGAAGGCCATCTTTGATTCTCATCCTGGCCAATGATTGTGTTTTGATTTTTGAGCATGAGATGAGCCATAGTTATTGGTAGAGAAAGGGAAGAGTCTAATTATTGGAAAACATACTGAGGTGTGAAAGAGACACTCCATAGCTGTGTCCTCTTTTTCTCCTAGATAAACTCAGCATAAATACTAGAAGTGGTAGAAGAATTTGAAGAGCTTTTTTTTTTTTTTTTTTAATTTTTTGAGACAGGGTCTCACTCTGTCACCCAGGCTGCAGTACAGTGATGCGATGTCAGCTCACTGCAGCCTTCACCTCCCGGGGTTCAAGCGATTCTCCCGTATCAACCTGCTGAGTAGCTGGGACTAGAGATGCCCACCACCATGCCCGCTAATTTTTGTATTTTTTGGGTTTCACCTTGTTGGCCAGGTTGGTCTCAAACTCCTGACCTCAAGTGATCCGCCCACCTCAGCCTCCCAAAGTGCTGGGATTATAGGCATGAGCCACCATGCCTGGCCTGAAGAGCTATTTATTCTTTAATTGGCATCAAATGAAAGAGTTCTTTTAAAATATTCACCTAGAATTTAATCTTGGACCAGAGTTCTAAAAGTGCTGCATTTGGGTAATGTTTGTGCTAAGGGATTTACATCACCTTTAGATTTATCTCTATCACAAGCTAGTTAATATCTAATGTCCCAAACTACTGCAGCATGCTACATTGACAAACGCTGCTTTTTGCTATCTAGTTCACGGAAATTTTTCCCATTATATAGCCTCTATCTGTCTTCTCTGTATGTTTTCACTCTTTTTTTTTTTTCTTCATTCTTGTGCTTTGCCTGTCCAGGTCTTCCAAAGTAGGGATCACAGGTCTACAATGCCTACAGGGCTGGGGAAGGTACACACAGGAGTGAGATGGGCTGGTGGAAAATGTGGACCGGTGACCACACCTCTGTATAGGGGCAGCTGACTCGTAGCTCCAGCGATCGTGGCCATATGGGAATGTGAGCCCACAGCTGCCAAGCCTTCCTTAGAAGCTCAAAGTCTAGATGTTGTAAATGTGACTTTTAAAAAATCTTTTTAGAAATGTTGGCTTCTACATTAGAATCAAATCCCGTATGATCTGAGCAAAGTAGCTCTTAGAGAGGTACTTTGAGAGGTATTCGATTTGAGGCTTGAGCCCCTAATTTTTGAATTATACTATATATAGGCAGCCTCAAAGCAGATCTTGTCAAGTGCCTAGAATTAATACATCTTAGTAGCTTACATTACTAATAAAACTATCAACTAAAGAAAACAGTAAATTAGAAACTTTCAAACTCAGAAGAATCTGACAAATTCTCATAAATCATTTGAAGTTAGCTTGAATTAGCATTTGATTTATTATTAGTACACGTACCAAAAAAAAACTATTACTCCTACTTTTTGGCAGCTGTGTAACTTCCTGCCTCAGTTGACAGTGCTCCTTGAGATTTATATCAAAGAAGTTAAGTCATCCTTCTTCCTAACTTTGACATTGCAGTTTACTCTTGAAAAAGAGATGGATTTTGAAGGGAAGGAAAAGGAGAATCCCTCACAATGTAATTCTGGGTCTCTGACTTTCCCACACTCACTTAAGTTTAGGTTTTTAATGGGAAAATGTAAAGCAAGATATTCCACTTAAGAAAGTAACCCCACCTCTAGTACTTTTTTTGTATAAAACTAATATTTTTTATAAGGTTAGAAATCTATAATTACAATAAGGATAAATCATTACAAGATATTGTCATCCTCATGCAAGCATTAAGCAATGAAGCATTGATATAGTCTTGGCTGAATTTTTATGGCACTTTTTAATACTTACAACTTAAAATGTGGCTTCATACCTTACGGAAGACTTAAAAGAAAACTGGCTGGGCGTGGTGGCTCATGCCTATAATCTCAGCACTTTGGGGGGCCAAGGCTGGTGGATCACCTGAGGTCAGGAGTTCAAGACCAGTGTGACCAATATGGTGAAACCCCGTCTCTACTAAAAATACAAAATTAGTCATACCTATAATCCCAGCTACGTGGGAGCTGAGGCAGGAGAATCGCTTGAACCTGGGAGGTGGAAGTTGCGGTGAGCCGAGATCGTGCCATTGCACTCCAGTCTGGGCAACAAGAGCAAAACTCCATCTCAAAAAAAAAAAAAGACTTAAAACCATGCATGTTCAAGTTGAAGTTCCTCCGCTCTGACGCTCCTTGGGTATGCATACAGGAATTTATCAACTAACTCTATGATAGGAAGAGAAGATAGAAGTGTGTGCTCGGAGGTCAAATAGACTGGTATTTGAATTTCAGATCTGTTTCTTGGTAGTTGTGGCAACTTATTTCTTCTAGGCTCTGTTTCCTCCTTCATAAAATAGAAGTGATATTAACAACTTAATAGGATTGTTGTAAGGACTAAATGAGTGGTATGATTAAGTTCTTAAAACAATGCCAGTCACACAGTAGGTGCTCAATAAATGCCAGTGTCCTTGTCTCTTTTAATAAGATACGTGGCTTACATAATCTGCTTTTGTTAACTAGAATACATCTGTCTTCTGCAGCCTAATTTACTTTCAGACACTGCCTTTCTGACGAAAGCAAGGTAGCTAAGTGGACAGAAGGAAAACTGTTTTCAAATTCCACTGTTACCTGTAGTTAGTTGTCACTGTCACTCAGACTCTCAGACTCAATCTCCTTTTCTGTAAAATAAGAATTAAATTATCTCTAAGTCCACTTGTGTTAGAGTTCTAAAAGATGTCCAGAGAGAGGCTCCTTAAGGCAGGCCCTCAGAGAGCGGCAGTGCTTTGACGGAGTAATCACAGCTGGTTGGGCTTTGCGATTCTGGTCACTTCACCGTTTCATTTCACTCGGAGTTGATTAGCCTCTGAGGGACTGATTCATGCTCACCAGACTCCCAGGATGTTGAGTGACAAACAAAAATCCCAATTAATCACTTTAAAGTAAGACCTCTGAGTGGCTCCAGAACTAGAGTGGCTTCTCTATCCAGGACACTCTATGCTGGCCAGGAAGTCCACTTAAGACCTCAAATTATGGATAAGAAATTTTTCCATGAGCATAGGATTAGAGCAAAGATAGTTGAGTTGCTCTCAAGAGTCGTTCCTGTCATGCTTTGGTAGCCTAAGCAATTGCCATTTTTTTAAGCAATAATTTGATCTAAAATAAACATCAGGGGTTGTAACCTAGTTTCTGGTTAATATTGAAACATACTTCATTTTGAGGCTCCAGAAACTCCATATGTGTCCTTATTCTGCCAACATGCCCAGTCTACCCTAGCCCCCACAGGCATGTTAAGCCCTTTGCTGTGATGAGAGTCAGGCAGGGAACTTTCCTGATTCCTATCTTCTTTGTATTCTGTCCTTACATTAATTTTGTTCATTCACTTATTCATTCATTTATTCATTCAACATACACTTAATGCCCAGCCAGTTTTTTACTTACCACCTTCCAAGTGGTCCTTCTGGACTTAAAAGTTTTAATATTTAATAAAAACACAAAAGTGTGCTGCTTTTGCTGGCAGGATGAAGGAAGAGGCCGCAGAGCTTTGGCATCATGTCAGAGCCCTGGGAAAGAAGTTCTTCAGGCACTCAAGTGTGGTAAGAACAAAGCAAAACAATGAAATCCTTTAGAAAGTACTTATGAAACATTTAGACTCTGAGAACTTGACTTTGATAAATTAGAAAGCCAGAAAAAACAGAACTAGTTCCCTCTGGGTTTCCTTATCCTTCTTATCCAAAATCAGCCAATAATCCTAATGGCTTTAAATGGCTCTATAAATGCCTCTCTGTAATTAGGACCTCAAGTAAGCATAAGGAGAGTTTCTGGGAAAGCTAAGTTAGACAAGATGTGTTAGGAGATAGAGGAAGCACAACAAAGTAACTAAATATCTAGAAAGAATAAAAGAGGATGTCAGCAAAAGGACTTTGTGGGCAGAAATATGAAATTCAGAGAACTTCACTTACTTGTTGAGTAACTACCAAATGCCTGGTATTCTAAGTTTGTAGAAAAATGCCCAAAAAAGTTTAAGATTTAGTCGCTCTACTCAAGGAGCTTGTCAAGCAAAAAAATAGATGCCAAATGGCAAGACTTAGGCTGGGCTAGGCAGATTGAGTAGGGTTTGAATGAGGAAAAAGAGACCATTCCAAGCAGGCAAGAAAGCGAGCAAGATAGAAGTCCTAGTCTTTTGTAACCTAATCACTGAAGTGACAGCCCATCATCATCTTTGTCATGTTAGCAGCAAGCCACTTGATCTACCTCACACTCAGGAGGAGAGGATTCCACAAGGGGGTGAATCCTGTGGGTAGGGGTCACTTGGAGCCATGGCAGAAGCGCCTGCCACAAAACCCTGAACCGGGCAGGTCAGACTGGACCAGAGGCAGTGGGACGGCTTGGCTTTCCTCCTCCGGGTTACCCCTGAGCTCCTCCTTGATTTTTTTCACCACCTCTCACAGTTAGAGGGCTCACCTCTACCCAAACATGGTGCAGTTCAGACGGGACACGTTGATAATTGCATTGCTGGTTCTTTTTTTTCCTGGGATAGCAACTGAACTTTTTTTCTTTTGAGTGTCATTTATATTGGGCACTATGCTCAGTGCTGAGGAGACAAAAATGAAAAAAGTGTTGCTGTGTGAATCATATGATACAATAGGAAAAAAGATACACATTACTCTTTTCAGTGGGTATTAATAAAATACAAAACAAAAGGCATATTTAACAAGACTGTTCTTCTAAATACAGTGTTCTATGTATCTGATTAGCAAAAATCATCTGTAGTGAAAATTTCTGTATAAACAAATGCTTTCTTCTGTCAGCTACTAGTAGCTGTATGTTTAATGCTCACTACTGGCCCATGCATACTGATGTTTCTGTCATCATTCTGATTGTAGAACGTAAGTTTATGATTTCCATGCCATTTACTTTAAAAGGAAAGATGGGAAAGATTCAGGCTGAAATATACCTGGATCTTCAGGAGCCTTTTGTTTTGCTTAAGTAAATTGTGTCCCTACTTGAAACACCAGTAATTTCTCTAGAAATAAGTTCTGGGTTATTGAGGACAAAAGTTGTAGATGCTTTGCATCTTCATGCTTTCCACTTTCCCTTCTAAGGGCTTGGTCAGAACGCTGCTAGTACTCAATAGGGTGAATATAAGACTGTTTCATCTCCAGCACACAGTGAAAATATTAAAGTGACCAAAGCCTCTTTTTGAGCAAGGCTGTTCCAGTTCTTAATCTTGCTGAATTTTCACAGGACGTTGTCCTAGATGGAAAGGGGAGGCTGTGCTGGGAAGGGCCATCAAGAGAAGACAGAGCTAGCAGGAAGGAAAGCCCACGTGGTATGGTGTTCTGGGTAATGGCAGTACTGGTTGTCAAATAATGGGTAAGGAAAATCGCAGAAAGAAAGCAGGTATAGTTCTGGCCTTGTGTGTGACTTTCTAGTCAGCCTTTAAAAGAAATGACTGTTGCAGGGCCCTGGCAAAGCTGGGGACAATGTGAAAGAAATTCAGCTGAATGGAGAGATGTGCTTGGGGTTGCAAGTGTTATTCATCATTATCCATCACGGTCCCTGCTCTCTAGCCACTCCCATGACAGCCTTCCAGCTCTGGCATTATTAAGTCAAGAAACTCCTTGGCTCCTACCGGGCCCAGAGTGAGAGGTCTTCATTTTCTGTGCAGGGCAGCCCCAGGAGGTTCAAGCCCCAGGGCTGCCTGATCCTGAGAACTTAAAGGAGGAGTCAAAGCTAGGTAGAACCTTGGGTTTTTCCTTGAGTCCTGTCAAGTTCAGAATCGTTGCTGCTCGTCAGAGTCAATCACCCTGGGGTGGAGTCCACTGCAGTATTGTAGGGAAATGCATGTGCTTCTGGGGCTGTGTTGGAGCAGGGCTGGAGACAAACCTTGACTCAGCATCTCTTCTGCACCAGACATTTCACATGCATTATATTATATATCATTTCCCCATTGCAGAGAAACTCTCAAAGGAAGGTAGTATTCTCTCCATTTTATAGATGAGGAAACTGAGGCTTGGAGGTGAAGAGCTAACTCCCAGATGTAAACCTAGACTTCTCTGGTTGTAAATTCTCTTTTTTCCATTATTTCCTAGTGCCTCTGAGAGAAATCTCTCCTTCCTCAAAGCAGGCAGTCGTGAGTTATGGGGATGTGGAGGTAACAGATGCAGGAGCAGCAGCCCCTGCGGCGGCCTCAGTCCAAAGTGGGCTTCTGTGCCACTTCCCTGTACTCCTGCCAGACTCAGGGCCAGCCAGCCTTCCCAAAGAGCACGTGAGTGAGCACCTGGCCTAGACTGGGGTCACAAGATCTGAGAGAAAGTGACAAGTGTGTTTAGGTTTTAAGCAAGAGCAAGTAAGTGTTGTCCACTCAAAATGTAGAAGACAGAGGGACTTAGGTAGGTGGGGTGCAGGCAGGCAGGGCCTTGCACTAGAAAAGCCCAGTATAGACAGTACAGGCAGAAGCAGCACCCAGATAAAGAAGGGCCTTAGGAAGTCATGCTGAGAGCCTTGGATTTTATCCTCAATGTATTGGTGAATCATTAAAGTTGGGGGAAGGAGGAGAGGAGGTGTGCATAAGATCTTGAGATTTGCATTTGTAGTGTATTGTTGAGGCCCTTCTGGGAGGGAAGGCCAGCCTGTAGGCAAGGATGACTCGAGGCTTTTGGCATCCTGTTGCCCTGTACTATTAAATTTTTCTTAGACTTAAGCACAGTGTGAACAGAAGCCCTATATTATGCGTGTCATTCCCCTTATGTGACTTAAGTCCTGAGACCACAGTCAGTGCTCAGTAAATATGTATAGAATAAATATTGCAAAACCTAAAGCAGTTCACTATGTGTACCTAAGAAAGTGAATAAGAAAATCTTCATGTATCTGTTTATGTAGAAGGTAATGAAAATGGATCATTGATATTTTGTTGCTAAAGAAACAAGGGTAAAAAGCATAGGAACGATTTGACATATGTGCTACTCTGGTTAAATCTTAATTCAGTGTTTCCATTATTATGGCTGTATAAATGCAATTCACCGGCCATATAAGATTATTAGGATTATTTTTTCTATCTTGTGCAACTTTTTGTTTTCCCTTGAGTTAATTACCTTGTTTTCTTATTTGTCTAGTTGTTTTATGTACCTATTGTCTCTATACTCTTTCCCTACTTGTCTCTCCTCAATATGTTTGTAAGTAATTAAATTTCTCCTCTACCCTCTTAGGGTGTCCAGTTGTGCCTAAGAATTAAACTGACATAAAACAGGTTAACAGAAGAAAGGTACACACATTTTATTAAGTTACATATATGTAAGAGTCTGCACAGGAGAATGAAGACCCAAAGGAACAGTTAGAGTTGAACACAGACACCGAGTTGGACAAAGAGCAGGACATTGGGAAAGTGTGACAAGGGAAGGGGACTTGGGCTAGGGCAGTCAATTGGGTGGAGAAGTGACTGGGAAGATCAGGGTTTAACAAGGTTTGCTGGTACAGGTTTTTCTCGAACTCCATTCCCTTTCCCTACAGATAAAAATGTTACTTTCCTCCTGCTATATGGAGGACATCTTCCATATGGGGATGTCATCTCCTTTCAGGAAGAAAAAGAGGAGGGCAGAGAGCTCTTCCTGCACCTGCTGTTTTTCAGGTGCCTTTACCTCAAAATAACCTTTATGCTGAAGTGGCATATTGTAGGGTGGCATATCCTGCCACCCATCATGTTCAGTCTCCATAGGTATTCTGACAACTTTTATCTCCTTGAAAAGTCCTCTCCCCAGCCTTCTCTCTCTGATGTCAGCTGTCTTGGGCCCAATGCCATGGCTTTCAGCTGAGGATTTTCCTCACCATTATCCCGAAGACTTCTTTGCTTCTTTATTCTGTTTTCTGGATCTTCCTTTTTCTTGTTTACTCCTTCATTTTTCAGGCCACATCCTCCAGTAACTCCCTGCCAAAGAGTGTGTGGGAAGTAAATTTTCCCACACAAAGAGTGTGTGGGAAGTGTGTGGGGTGGGCAGTAGATCTGCACATCTAAAACTATTTGGTAGAAATAACCCTCAAACTATTTGATAGAAATCTACATTAGATACAATTTTCTCTTACAATATTGAAAACATTATATTTCCTTCTAGCTTCCAGGAGTGCTGTTGAAATGTCCAATGCTATTTTGAACCTAGATCTTTAGTTTGTACCTCTTGATTCCCATATGATAGCTTTTAGAATCTTGTCTTTATTCCTTGAGTTCATGATGATGGTTCTTACTGAAGCCGTTTCATTCATGTGCTGAGTACTTAGTGGGCCCTTTCAATTTAGAACAGGAGTGGCAACTAAGGCCAGCACTGTTTTTGGGCCAGATCTGGCCCACCACTGTTTTTATAAAGTTTTATCAGAACACAGCCACACTTGTTTACATATTGTGTATGCTATTACACGGCTAAGTTGAATAGTTGTGGTGGAGACTATATGTGATCTGCAAAGCTTAAAATATCTGCAGCCACTTATGGAAAAGGTTTGCCAATTCCCAATTTAGAAAATGAAGAATTTTGATTCTGGTTTAAAAAAAAAAGTTTTCTACCCCCATTTTCTGTGTTCTTTCTGCAACTCTTGCTATTAGATGCTGAACCTCTTAGATTGTCATTTAAATATTTTTCTCTTCTCTTTTCCATCTCTGTTTTTCTTTTTGTTTGTTCTTCCGCAAAATTCCCTTTATTTCCCAAGCTTTCTATCAGTGTTTCATTCCTGCTGTAATATTTTTTTGACATCAATTCTTCTGATTTTTAAATTAACCTTTTTATTGTAATATAAAGCACAGATATCAGTCATGCCCATAATCCCAGCACTTTGGGAGGCCACGGCGGGCAGATCGCTTGAGTCCAGGAGTTTGAGACCGGCATGGGCAACGTGGCAAAATCCCATCTCTACAAAAAATAAACTGAGCCGGGCATGGTGGCACGCATCTGTAGTCCCAGCTACTTTGGAAGCTGAGGCAGGAGGATCGCTTGAGCTCAGGAGGTTGAGGCTGCAGTGAGCTGTGATTATGCCACTGCACTCCAGCCTAGGTGACAGAGCAAGACCTTGTCTAAAAACAACAGCAGCGAAAAAAAAAAAAACCCACAGATATCAAAACACACAAAACTAATATATTGCTTAATAAATTATTATAAAGCAACCACTCTTAAAGCCACACCCCTGGTCAAGGAAGAGAACATTCCCAGCAACTCAAAAGCTCCAGTCCAATCACAGCCCCCTCTGAAATACTGCATGGTTTCAACCCACTGGGTGGTGGTGGTGGTTTCAGCTGGAATTGTCCCATCTTTGAACACTGAAAGCCTTGTCAGGTGTTTATATGGTTTGCCTGCGTCCCCACCCAAATCTCAACTTGAATTGTATCTCCCAGAATTCCCACATGTTGTGGGAGGGACCCAGGGGGAGATAATGGAATCATGGGGACCAGTTTTTCCTGTGCTAGTCTCATGATAGTGAATAAGTCTCACAAGATCTGATGGGTTTATCGGGGCTTCCGCTTTTGCTTCTTCCTCATTTTCTCTTGCCACCGCCATGTAAGAAGTATCTTTCACCTCCCACCATGATTCTGAGGCCTCCCCAGCCATGTGGAACTGTAAGTCCAATTAAACCTATTTTTCTTCCCAGTCTCAGTATGTCTTTATCAGCAGTGTGAAAACGGACTAATTGTCCTCTGGGTCGTTTATTGTGACCCTCATAGTCTTTGATTGTTTCCTTGCCATCTGTGATAGCAGGATGTTTAAGATTCCTCATGTACATTCTCTGCCCTAAATTGCCCATTTCTCCAAGAAACCCTGGTTTCTGCAATGGGAAGTGGAATTTTAAGATCCCATTTTGGTTGTTAGTAATGCTCATTGCTACTAAATTAGTCATTGTTTCTAGTACTCTTTGGAGAACAGAGCATACATATTTCCCCCCACTTTTTTTTTACACTTTTACCTTATCTGTGTTGTCAGAATATATATGCATTACATACTATCCTCCCTTCCTTTTAACCTGCATGTAGTCTGTCAGCTACTAGTAACTGTATATTTAATGCTCACTACTGGCCCATGCATACTGATGTTTCTGTCATCATTCTGATTGTCTGAAACTCAGTCTTCAGTAGATTTCTCAGGATGGGATCACAAGAACAATATTCCCTGAGTTCCTGCATGTTCATAATTGTTTATCTGTGATCTTTGGCCTTGAAAGTCACTTTTGCAAAGCTACTCCTCGAGAAGAGCAACTCCAAGACACGTAATTGTCAGATTCACCAAAGTTCAAATGAAGGAAAAAATGTTAAGGGCAGCCAAAGAGAAAGGTTGGGTTATCCACAAAGGGAAGCCCATCAGACTAACAGCTGATCTCTCAGCAGAAACTCTACAAGCCAGAAGAGAGTGGGGGCCAATATTCAACATTCTTAAAGAAAAGAATTTTCAACCCAGAATTTCATATCCAGCCAAACTAAGCTTCATAAGTGTACAGACAAGCAAATGCTGAGAGATTTTGTCACCACCAGGCCTGCCCTAAAAGAGCTCCTGAAGGAAGCACTAAACATGGAAAGGAACAACTGGTACCAGCCACTGCAAAATCATGCCAAATTGTAAAGACCATCAAGGCTAGGAAGAAACTGCATCAACTAACGAGCAAAATAACCAGCTAACATCATAATGACAGGATCAAATTCACATATAACAATATTAACTTTAAATGTAAATGGACTAAATGCTCCAATTAAAAGACACAGACTGGCAAATTGGATAAAGAGTCAAGACCCATCAGTGTGCTGTATTCAGGAAACCCATCTTACGTGCAGAGACACACATAGGCTCAAAATAAAAGGATGGAGGAAGATCTACCAAGCAAATGGAAAACAAAAAAAGGCAGGGGTTGCAATCCTTGTCTCTGATAAAACAGACTTTAAACCAACAAAGATCAAAAGAGACAAAGAAGGCCATTACATAATGGTAAAGGGATCAATTCAACAAGAAGAACTAACTATCCTAAATATATATGCACCCAAACAGGAGCACCCAGATTCATAAAGCAAGTCCTGAGTGACCTACAAAGAGACTTAGACTCCCACACAATAATAATGGGAGACTTTAACACCCCACTGTCAACATTAGACAGATCAACGAGACAGAAAGTTAATAAGGATACCCAGGAATTGAACTCAGCTCTGCACCAAGCAGACCTAATAGACATCTACAGAACTCTCCACCCCAAATCAACAGAATATACAATTTTTTCAGCACCACACCACACCTATTCGAAAATTGACCACATACTTGGAAGTAAAGCTCTCCTCAGCAAATGTAAAAGATCAGAAATTATAACAAACTGTCTCTCAGACAACAGTGCAATCAAACTAGAACTCAGGATTAAGAAACTCACTCAAAACCGCTCAACTACATGGAAACTGAACAACCTGCTCCTGAATGACTACTGGGTACATAATGAAATGAAGGCAGAAATAAAGATGTTCTTTGAAACCAACAAGAACAAAGACACAACATACCAGAATCTCTGGGACACATTCAAAGCAGTGTGTAGAGGGAAATTTATAGCACTAAATGCCCACAAGAGAAAGCAGGAAGGATCCAAAATTGACACCCTAACATCACAATTAAAAGAACTAGAAAAGCAAGAGCAAACACATTCAAAAGCTAGCAGAAGGCAAGAAATAACTGAAATCAGAGCAGAACTGAAGGAAATAGAGACACAAAAAACCCTTCCAAAAATTAGTGAATCCAAGAGCTGGTTTTTTGAAAGGATCAACAAAATTGATAGACTGCTAGCAAGACTAATAAAGAAGAAAAGAGAGAAGAATCAAATAGACACAATAAAAAATGATAAAGGGGATATCACCACCGATCCCACAGAAATACAAACTACCATCAGAGAATACTACAAAAACCTCTACGCAAATAAACTAGAAAATCTAGAAGAAATGGATAAATTCCTCGACACATACACCCTCCCAAGACTAAACCAGGAAGAAGTTGAATCTCTGAATAGACCAATAACAGGCTCTGAAATTGTGGCAATAATCAATAGCTTACCAACCAAAAAGAGTCCAGGACCAGATGGATTCACAGCCGAATTCTACCAGAGGTACAAGGCGGAACTGGTACCATTCCTTCTGAAACTATTCCAATCAATAGAAAAAGAGGGAATCCTCCCTAACTCATTTTATGAGGCCAGCATCATCCTGATACCAAAGCCGGGCAGAGACACAACCAAAAAAGAGAATTTTAGACCAATATCCTTGATGAACATTGATGCAAAAATCCTCAATAAAATACTGGCAAACCGAATCCAGCATCACATCAAAAAGCTTATCTACCATGATCAAGTGGGCTTCATCCCTGGGATGCAAGGCTGGTTCAATATACGCAAATCAAGAAATGTAATCCAGCATATAAACAGAACCAAAGACAAAAACCACATGATTATCTCAATAGATGCAGAAAAGGCCTTTGACAAAATTCAACAACCCTTCATGCTAAAAACTCTCAATAAATTAGGCATTGATGGGACGTATCTCAAAATAATAAGAGCTATCTATGACAAACCCACAGCCAATATCATACTGAATGGGCAAAAACTGGAAGCATTCCCTTTGAAAACTGGCACAAGACAGGGATGCCCTCTCTCACCACTCCTATTCAACATAGTGTTGGAAGTTCTGGCCAGGGCAATTAGGCAGGAGAAGGAAATAAAGGGTATTCAATTAGGAAAAGAGGAAGTCAAATTGTCCCTGTTTGCAGACGACATGATTGTATATCTAGAAAACCCCATTGTCTCAGCCCAAAATCTCCTTAAGCTGATAAGCAACTTCAGCAAAGTCTCAGGATACAAAATCAATGTACAAAAATCACAAGCATTCTTATACACCAATAACAGACAAACAGCCAAATCATGAGTGAACTCCCATTCACAATTGCTTCAAAGAGAATAAAATACCTAGGAATCCAACTTACAAGGGATGTGAAGGACCTCTTCAAGGAGAACTACAAACAACTGCTCAATGAAATAAAAGAGGGTACAAACAAATGGAAGAACATTCCATGCTCATGGGTAGGAAGAATCAGTATCGTTAAAATGGCCACACTGCCCAAGGTAATTTATAGATTCAATGCCATCCCCATCAAGCTACCAATGACTTTCTTCACAGAATTGGAAAAAACTACTTTAAAGTTCATATGGAACCAAAAAAGAGCCCACATCACCAAGTCAGTCCTAAGCCAAAAGAACAAAGCTGGAGGCATCACGCTACCTGACTTCAAACTATACTGCAAGGCTACAGTAACCAAAACAGCATGTTACTGGTACCAAAACAGAGATATAGATCAATGGAACACAACAGAGCCCTCAGAAATAACGCCACATATCTACAACTATCTGATCTTTGACAAACCTGAGAAAAACAAGCAATGGGGAAAGGATTCCCTATTTAATAAATGGTGCTGGGAAAACTGGCTAGCCATATGGAGAAAGCTGAAACTGGATCCCTTCCTTACACCTTATATAAAAATTAATTCAAGATGGATTAAAGACTTAAACGTTAGACCTAAAACCATAAAAACCCTAGAAGAAAACCTAGGCATTACCATTCAGGACATAGGCATGGGCAAGGACTTCATGTCTAAAACACCAAAAGCAATGGCAATAAAAGCCAAAATTGACAAATGGGATCTAATTAAACTAAAGAGCTTCTGCACAGCAAAAGAAACTACCATCAGAGTGAACAGGCAACCTACAAAATGGGAGAAAATTTTCGCAACCTACTCATCTGACAAAGGGCTAATATCCAGAATCTACAATGAACTCAAACAAGTTTACAAGAAAAAAACAAACAACCCCATCAAAAAGTGGGCAAAGGACATGAACAGACACTTCTCAAAAGAAGACATTTATGCAGCCAAAAAACACATGAAAAAATGCTCACCATCACTGGCCATCAGAGAAATGCAAATGAAAACCACAATGAGATACCACCTTACACCAGTTAGAATGGCAATCATTAAAAAGTCAGGAAACAACAGGTGCTGGAGAGGATGTGGAGAAATAGGAACACTTTTACACTGTTGGTGGGACTGTAAACTAGTTCAACCATTGTGGAAGTCAGTGTGGCGATTCCTCAGGGATCTAGAACTAGAAATACCATTTGACCCAGCCATCCCATTACTGGGTATATACCCAAAGGACTATAAGTCATGCTGCTATAAAGACACATGCACACGTATGTTTATTGCGGCACTATTCACAATAGCAAAGACTTGGAACCAACCCAAATGTCCAACAATGATAGACTGGATTAAGAAAATGTGGCACATATACACCATGGAATACTATGCAGCCATAAAAAATGATGAGTTCATGTCCTTTGTAGGGACATGGACGAAATTGGAAATCATCATTCACAGTAAACTATCGCAAGAACAAAAAAACCAAACACCGCATATTCTCACTCATAGGTGGGAATTGAACAATGAGAACATATGGACACAGGAAGGGGAACATCACACTCTGGGGACTGTTGTGGGTGGGGGGAGGGGGGAGGGACAGCTTTAGGGGACATACCTAATGCTAAATGACGAGTTAATGGGTGCAGCACACCAGCATGGCACATGTATACATATGTAACTAACCTGCACATTGTGCACATGTACCCTAAAACTTAAAGTATAATAATAATAAAATTTTTAAAAAAGGAAAAAAAAAAGAAAGTCAGTTTTGCTAGATATATAGTCCTTGGCATGCATTTTCTTTCTTTGAGTATCTTAAATATGTTCTCATATTTTTTTCTAATATTAAACATTGCTATTAAAAACACTGATAAAATCTAATTTTCTTTCCTTGTAAGTCACTTGTTCTTTTCCTAGATCCCAAAGGTTTGCTTGTAGTCTAAATATTTTCCAGAATATGTCTGTTGTTCATTGTTCTGGGTCAGTATTCTCAAGTGTACACTGTGTTCTTTTAGTGTGTAGTTTCGTGTCTCTTCATTTTAGCAATTATAGTATTTAGTAATTGAATATTATGAGTGTTAATTATTATTCTCACTTGGTTTTCTGTGATGCCACATAAGATTCCCTTATGTGGCATCTTGCTTATCTGTCTTCAACATTTGTTAGGTTCTTTTGAATTGTTTAAATCTCTTCATTTCTTTTTGGTATTTTTTATTAATCTACTCTTGTGTTTCTATTACAGGTTGAGTGTCCCTTATGTGAAATACTTGGGACCAAAGTGTTTCAGACTTCAGACTTTTTCCGATTTTGGAATATTGCTGATTGAGCATCCCAAATCCAAAATCCAAAGTAATCCAGTGAGCATTTCCTTTAAGCGTCATGTTTGCCTCAAAAAGCTGCAGATTTTAGACCATTTCTGACTTCAGGTTTTCAGATTTGGGATGGTCAACATGTAGTTTAGTCTTCATTTCCAAAATGATGTTTTCTTTTATTTCTAATTCTTTATTGAGTTTTGTCACCTCATTTATAAGCTTTGCTGGTTTTTCATGTATGTACCTCTTTCACGTTTGTATAACTTTTAAATCTTTTTAGCTTATTTGAAATTCTGGTGTATTGTTGGCATGCTTTCACTCTCTATATGACATTGTATTTCTAATTTGTAACAGCTCTTTTTATTCTCTTAATCTTTTATTTTGTAGCAATCTCTTCTCATTTCTTAGCTATACTATCTTATTTTTCTAACGATAGTAAGGACAAGCTGTTCTTAAAGTTTTCTTCTACCTGCCTAATTTATTTCTTCTAATTTCCCTGCCTGCTCCTCTGCCCCCACTTGAGGCCTTTATTATTTTAGAGACTTTTCTCAAATTTATGGTAGTCCTTGGCTATTGGCTCATGTTTAAGAGTTGAACGATTAAAAAAACTAATTAGAAAGTCTATGTGCCATGGGTAGGACTTGTTCACTTCCACACTTTACCATAAAGTAATCTGATTGAGCTGTTTCTTTGTGGAATCCTCTGCGTTAGAATCTTTTCATTAATTTTTTTTCTTTGAGGCTGATCGGATTCTTCAGAGAAGATTCTTTCAGCCCCCTACCCTGAGGGGAATAAGCTTACTCATAGTGCTTTGGCAGCCAAATGAGGAGAGGAACATTGTTCCTCTGTAAATTTTTGTTTAGGAAGGCTGTCTCAGTTGATGGTTTCCCGTAGTCCAGACTTTCATTTTTACTCCCTCCAGAGAACAACCTCTGGTAGCATACCTGAGAGGAGAAGGGACATCTGCTGAGCTATATGGAAGGAATGAGGAGATCTGGAAGGTTCTAAGTATCTCGTCTCTTTTTTCAACAGTTCCTCTTGTTTTTAGGTTGATTCAACTTCCTGATACACCTGTTGTTTTCAGTTGCCATATTTTTTGTGGGTTCTGCAGTAGAAATTAAACGTTTGCATTGAACTTTCCTGGGCCTATGAAGTCAGTTATCATTTGTCTGTCTACTTTCTAAAATGCCTTGCTATTGTCTCTTCTCTCATTCTCTTTGTCTTAAGGGTGTGTGTGTGAGAGTGTGTGTGTGTGTGTGTGTGTGTGTGTGTGTGTGTGTGTGTGTGTGTGTGAGAAGCCCTGTTCAGTGTTGTTTCAGGAGAGAGAGGAGAGGCTAATGGCATGCATTCATTTCACCCCAGTACTTGGACCTGTATTGTACAGTGAATGTCAGGGAAGTTACTCTTCAGGTCTCCTGATTCTTTTGGAGCAAATGATAAAACGTTTTTCTGTTGACACATTTTGGGCGACATAGCAAGACCATGTCTCTATTTTTTTTTTTTTTTTAAAAAAAGAAATGGCTGAGCACGGTGGCTCATGCCTGTAATCCCAGCACTTTGGGAGGCCGAGTTGGGCCTATCACAAGGTCAGGAGATTGAGACCATCATGGCCAACATGGTGAAACCCCATCTCTACTAAAAATACAAAAATTAGCCGGGCATGGTGGTGGGCGCCTGTAATCCCAGCTACTTAGGAGGCTGAGGCAGGAGATTCGCTTGAACCCGGGAGGTGGAGGTTGCAGTGAGCCGAGATGGCGCCATAGCACTCCAGCCTGGTGACACAGTGAGACTCTGTCTCAAAAAAAGTAAAAATAAAAACAGAGAAATGGTCATAAAGGAATCCTATGAACAATTATATGCCAGTAAATTAAACCATTTGGATCAAATGGACAAATTACTAGAAAGGAATGCTGTAGAACATGAAGAAATGTTCACCTGGTAGTTGACATTGTGATCCATTTGCAGGCTGTTACCTTCTCCTCTCAAGGATGCAGTGGAAGTCTCAACCTGGAGAAGATGCTATACAATGCAAGAGGTGAACTCTGCCCTTAGTAAAATCCAGCTGGTGGGATATTCTCAGAAAATTGTGAGTATTCATATTACATTTCAGTTATTCATGAATGCTTTCCATTCATATTGTTGTTTGTTGTTTGGAAGAATCCTATAGTTACGTTTTTAAAGCCATTCCATTGCTGAGGATCCAGAGCCTCTGTTCTTTCCTCCGTTCCGCGCAGGATTTTATTGGTGCTCTTTCCCCACCCTCACATCTCCATCACCAGCCAGCATTCGATTGGCCAGCGTGCAGGGAGTCCGGAGAAAGGCGTCTCATCCTGTTCACATTAGATTTTATAGATTTTGGATGGGTGAAACGGGAAGAGAGAAGAGTTTGTCAAGTGTGACTTTTGAGCTCTGACCTAAATGATAAGCCTTCCCATTTCTTACTGTCATCCTGTGCCCAGAGCTACTCAGTACCGAACAACAAGGGCCTAACACCTAACTGAAAATGAAAAAGGAAAGCCAAAGTGTGTGAGTCTTTGGTCTGTTTGGTAATATTTCATCTCTCCCTTTTAATGTGTGAACCTTGAGTGCCTGGGGACATGGAAGAGAGCTGAAGCTCTCAGGTGACAAGTAAATATTATAGGATTGCTTTCTTTGTCTGCCAGTTGATCTCCATCATCTTTCTGTTTTCCTTAAAACTTTCTAGTTTACTTTATTGATTGATTGACTGAGACAAGGTCCCACTTTGTTACTCAGGCTGGAGCGCAGTGGTACAAACATGGCTCACTGCAGCCTCAACTTCCCGGGCTCCAGTGATCCTCCTGCCCCAAGTAGCTGCTTGAGGACTACAGGCATGTGCCACCATGCCCAGCTAATTTTTGTATTTTTTTGTAGAGACAGGGTTTCACCATGTTGCCCAGGCTGGTCTTGAACTCCTGGCCTCAGCCTCCCAAAGTGCTGGGATTACAGGCGTGAGCCATTGCACCCAGTCTCTGGTTTACTTTAAAATAATTTTTGTTTTTAAACTGAGGATATTTCTGTTGTTTTTCCCTGCAGAATTACCTCATGTGACTGTCACTGTAAGCTCATTGCACATTCTTACTGTGGTTCTCTTTTAGGAGCTTTTTGGTGCGGTCCAGGTGACTCCTCTGAGCTCTGGCTATGCCCTTGGGAGCTCCAACTGGATCATCCAGTCTCATTACGAGAAAGTGTCTTATGTCTCTGGATCCTCCTTGCTTACCACACACCCCCAGGTAATTCCAAATTCTCTTCTAGCAACTCAGCTTTTTGGTTACTTAAGTCAAATTCAGAATGTATCCAAGGAACCATCAGCCATTTTTAAATCTTCCAAATATGGTTTTCTACAGATACTCTCTAGCCAAGGTAGACTATTTGAGTCTCAACATTTTGACCTACAGGTTTCTCTGAAATAGTCCTGCTACCTTGAGGGTCACTCCTAGGATTCTGAAATCCCCCAGGCCTTCCAAAGACCATAGCCTGATGTGGGACACAGATGGTTATGCATTTACTCAGCAAATATTAACTGTTTAAAATCCTTCCCAAGGGCCAAGTGTCAAGTGTCATGCACACATCTGGGTATTGGGGATTCAGTGGTGACCAACGGGCAAAGCATGTGCCCGTAGATCTTATGTTGTAGGGGAGTTGATGATGTTGGGGAGAGGATGGTGTATAGTAGGTAAACAAATAAAGTGCCTGGTCATTTCCGATTGAGATACAAGTACTGAAAACAGTAAAGCAGGGTGATTTTCAGAATGATGGCCATTGGTTTAGATTGGGTGCCCAGGAAAGCCAATGGGAAGATCTCACTTGAACTGAGACCTGGAGAGATAAACCATGTCGGCTGGGCGCGGTGGCTCATACCTGTAATCCCATCATTTTGGGAGGCCGAAATGGGATAACTGCTTGAGCCTAGGAGTTCAGGACCGGCCTGGGCAATATGGCAAAACTCTGTCTCTACAAAAAATACAAAAATTACCCGGGTGTGGTGGCACACGCTGTGGTCCCAGCTACTCAGGAAGCTAAGGCAGAAGGATCGCTTGAGCCTGGGAAGCGGAGGTTGCAGTCAGCCGAGATTGCGCCACCGTACTCCAGTGCGGGTAACAGAGTGAGATTATGCCTCAAGAAAAAAAAAAAAAGGCCGGGTATGGTGGCTCATGCCTGTAATCCCAGCACTTTGGGAAGCCAAGGCGAGTGGATCACTTTAGGTCAGGAGTTCAAGACCAACCTGGCCAACATGGTGAAACCCCATCTCTACTAAAAATACAAAAATTAGGTGTGATGGTGTGCACCTATAATCCCAGCTACTTGGGAGGCTGAGGCGGGAGAATCACTTGAACTCGGGAGACAGAGGTTGCAGTGAGCTGAGATCATGCTGCTGTACCCAGCCTGGGTGACAGAGTGAGACTCCATCTCAACAAAAAAAAAAAAAAAGAGAGAGAAAGAAAAAAGAAAAACAGAGAAATTAGCCACGTAAAGCCGTGAGTGTTTGTATTACAAAGGGATGGCCAGTGAAGGGCCCCTAAAGTAAGAATAAGCTGGGCATGTTTGAAGGGCAGAGAAGGCTATTGTGGTCACAGCGTGGAGGTCAGCAGTGAGGTCCAAGAGAGTGGCAGACACCATGTCATGTAGTGTTAGCAGGCTGTGAGGAGGAATTTTGGTTTTATTTTAATATGGAGAGGGAAACTATTGGAACGTTTTAAGTTATTCATTCCAGTCATATTTGGCAAGAAGCCTAGCACATATAAACATTGTTATGAATGTGATACTTACTCCTTTTTGGTATTTGTAAATAATTTACTGTTCATTTCCTGAATGTTGGTTATTTCTATGTTTGTAATAGGGAGTGGGGGGACATTAGTTAGCTGTTGAATGGGTATATAGATACATTAGGTAACTTGTGGAAGTCCATATTACATTTGTTTATCTACATCTATTTACGGAGAGAGAGAGAGAGAGAGAAGGTCTTGTTCTGTCACCCGGACTGGAGTACAGTGGTGTAGTCATAGCTCACTGTAATCTCAAACTCCTGGGCTCAAGCAGTCCTCCCAAGTAGCTAGGACTATAGCCACCACACCTGGCCTATTTATTTTTTAACATAACCTCAAATTTTTATTGTCTTCATAATAAAACCAAAAATGAAGCTAAGAACTGGATCACTTGGCCTTTTCTCCTTTTATCCCTTCCCAGTTAAAAATACTTGTATCTCTAGTAGCCAGCATTCTCCTAGATCTGCAGTTGGGCCCAACACTTAAGCTTTAGCACAATCTCGTTTGTAGTTTTAGCCTTTTTCCAGAAGATTGGCTTGGTCTGCCTACATAGCCACCCCTTCCTGCCATTAAGCCACTTTCCCTTGGCATACAGATCATCTTTTCCCTTCTTGTACCATGTCACTCTGTGGGGTTGGTGCCAACCATGCTTCTTACACAAAGTCCAGTGGGTTTGAAGAACATTCACCATGTTAGAGCACTATCAGTAAAGAAAGAAAGAAATTATTCATTTTTTAATTACAAATAAAAATTGTATATATTTATGGTATGCATGATGTCTTGATATGTGCATGCATTATGGAATGGCTAAGTCAATAATTAACAGACCCCATTTTAATACAGGGAGAACCATGCTGTGCTCTAGTGTTGAACAATAGGATGTCTGAGCTGCCATTCTGTATTATTTCTTTATACCTTCTTTTATAGCCAAGTTTCATCTCAAGGTCTAGAGGGGACGTTGCTATTTTTTCCTGCATCTGGCGGAATTCTGGGCCCTTCCTGGTTATTGAAATCAAAAGCCCATCAATGTCACCATCATCTGCTTCATTGAATCAAAATTTTTTATTGGCAGCTTCTATCGTTCCTGATATGTTCTTCCATAAAAGACAGAAAGATGACTTGGTTGCCAACTCTCGCGATTTGTCCTGCTTAGTTCAAAGCCTTTACAGTACTATTGATGTAATTTCCAGTAAATTATTCTTACAAGGTCCATAAATTTAAAGGGAAAATAATGTCTTGAAAGTAATGAGCAACATACCTAAGTAATTAATTTTAATTTTTAGCTGGCAACCTGTGTTATATGTAAAAAAGAAAAAAATTAGATTTTTCTCTACCCACGTAATTGGATTGTGTATTGAATTGGCAGGGATGAGAAAAGTTTTGGTTTGAAAAACTTGATAGACTAATGCAGATGTTAGCAAACTGTGGC
The DNA here is from genome assembly GCF_000001405.40 of Homo sapiens. Taxonomy (NCBI): domain Eukaryota; kingdom Metazoa; phylum Chordata; class Mammalia; order Primates; family Hominidae; genus Homo; species Homo sapiens. Next base: position 28,809,364 of record NC_000008.11, on the reverse strand, counting down.
CTGGGCACTAAATGTAGCATGCCACCTATTTTGGCATATAATATTTTGTTGAAGTACAGCCACACCCACTTGTTTATGGAATGTTTATGGCTGAATATACACCGTAGGCTGGACAAGGTGGCTCATGCCTGTAATCACAGCATTTTGGGAGGCCAAGGCAAGATGATTGCTTGAGCCCAGGAATTGGAGACCAGCCTGGGCAACATGGCAAGATCCCATCTCTACGAAAAGTTAAAATAAAATAAAAAAAAGCCAGGTGCGGTGGCATGCGCCTGTGGTCCCAGCTACTCGGGAGGCTGAGGCATGAGGATTTCTTCAGCCTGGGAGGTTGAGGCTGCAGTGAGCCATGTTTGTGCCATTGTACTCTAGCCTGGGCAACAGAGCAAGACCCTGTCTCAAAAAAAAAAAAAAAGTTATAATGGCAGAATTCTACTTTAAATGTTAGAGCAAACTTTGCTAACCCCTGGTCTACTTGAGTACAATCTTTACTAACTAGGAAGAATATCACAGGCTGCTGTAGAATTCTGATAAACATGGGGAAATAAGGCTTTGGATTAAGCCTGAGGCAGTAAGAATGGAGAAAAGAGTTAAAACATTGGCGGGTCTTTAATGCAAGAAACATTTGTTGAATGCCCACTGTCTTCAGAAAAGAAAGAATAAAAGTTACAGATCTTATGTCTGCATGACATTGAGAATGGTGTTAATGGCCATTCCAGTTAACAAGGAAGAGTTGGCAGAGGGACATTTGTTGCAGAAGAGGGTAGTAGGTTTCATGAATGTGAATTTGAGAGAACATTAGACAGATGTAAATATGGGGCTGGAACTGGGATGTGGAGGCAAGTCTGGAGACAAACTGGAGAGTTGTCACGTTTTAAAAATCTAACCGGGCACGGTGGCACACACCTGTAATCCTAGCACTTTGGGAGACCAAGGCAGGCAGATCACAAGGTCAGGAGTTCAAGACCCCAACATGGTGAAACCCCATCTCTACTAAAAATACAAAAATTAACCGGTGTGATGGTGCTCACCTGTAATCCCAAATACTCGGGAGGCTGAGGCAGGAGAATCGCTTGAACCCAGGAGGTGGAGGTTGCAGTGAGCCGAGATCGCACTATTACACTTCAGCCAGGGCAACAGAGAGAGACTCCGTCTCAAAAAAAAAAAAAAAAAATCTAAATAAAGGGCTGAGGGCCAAAGACTGATCCATAGGGAACTTTTACCAACAGACAGTGGAAGAAAGAAAAATAGTCTTGTGTAAGAATGGATGGAGAGTTAAAGGAAAATTGAGGCCAAAGAGTGCAACCTCCCAAAGGGAGAAGGAAGAGAACTAGCCTTTACTGAGCATGAGGTCTCAGTATTAATTTTTTAATTGATTTGATATTTAGCAACCATGCTGAATTCTCTTAATTCTAATAATCTATTGATATTATCTTGCAAAGAAGTAACAGTTTTCTCACCTCTCTTCTAACCTTTGTATCTTTTATTTTTCTTATCTTGTGACTGAGCCCTATAATACTACGTTGCACAGCAATGATGATAGTGGACATCCTTGTCTTGTATAAGGCTGTAAAAGGAAAGCTTTTGTAGTTTCTTCGTTAAACATCACGCTTACTGCACCATGTTTATTTGTCAAGTTAAGGAGTGTCTCCTTTATCCCCAACTTTCTGATTTTTTAAAAGTCAGATATAAGTGTTATACCTTATCAAATGCTTTTGAGCATGTGAGATCAACTTTGATTTCTCTCCTTTGAGACCATTAATGTAGTGAACTGCAGTGTTAGCTTTTCTCACATTTAACCATCCAATATTCCTGGGATAAATCTTGCTTGATTACAATCTATTCTTTTTAAAATACTCTCCAGGAATGAGTTGGTGAATATTTTATTGAAGTTTATAATCTATAGTCATAGGTGAAAAATGGGCCCATACATTATTTTCTTGTACTACCTTTGTTTGTTGGAAGCCAAGGTGTATTAGTCTCATAAGGTGATTTGGGAGCCTTTCCCTCTTTTTCTAATGTCAGAAAAAAGTATATGAGATAGGGATTATCTTTTCCTGAAAGTTTGGTCAAATGTTCCATAAAACTGTCTGGACCTGGATTACCATTATTGAACTATATTTTCTGGGCCAAAATTGTGCCAGAATTTTGGCAGAGATTTGTCCTTTTTGCTTAGGTTTTCAAAATCATAGGCATAGAGCTATTTATAATCCTCTTTTATTTGTTTAACCTTTTTTGTGTAAGTCTGTTTTCATTCTAAATTTTATTTTCATCATCATCTTGATCAGACTTGCCAGAAGTTTGTCTGTATTATTGATTTTATTCAAAAAATAAGTTTTTGCTTTTAATCGTTTTGGTTGTATTTTCATCCTTTGTTCTGCCCTTTATCTCCTTCCTTCCTTCTTTACTTTGGATTTACTCTGTTTAATACTTGCTAAGTGTGTTTCAGTGTTTGCTTTTCGATAAATGTATTTAAAGCAACCGGTTTCTTAGTATAATTTTACTCTGTTACATTTTTGATACTCAGTGCTTTGTCATTCATCTCTAAGTATGTCATAATTTTCTCTATAATGTTCATGATTTAAATAACCAAAGGTTATTTTACAGTATAATTGTTTGTTTCTAGTCCATCCAGTCTGATTAGACATAGGATTAGAGGAAATGTTTTTAAGCATATGTTTCAGGATTCTAATCTTTTGCATTATAATAAACATATCCTGATGGACTGAAATTTGATTAGTCTTCCTTTGAAGCACAATCTATTTTTGTAAATGTTCTACGTGTCTTGGAAAAGAATGTGTATTCACTGTTGGGTAAAATATTTCTATATGTATTTGAGTTTTTTGCATTATTCAAGTCTTATATCTTTGCTTAGCTACTGATTTCTGAAAAGGGTGTGTTAGTTGTTGATTTATCTGTTTCTCACTGTAGTTTGCCAATTTTTACTTTTTTAATATTTCTAAGCTGTATACTCAGGAGTCCATATATTCATGATCATTGTGTTTTATCAATCAGTTATTCTTTTTATCAGGATGCTTCGATGCTTTCTTTTTTTCTCTATAAAAACTGCATTAAAAGCTAAGAGGCTTTTTCCCATTTCATATGTGCCTGGTTTTTTTTGTTTTGTTTTGTTTTTTTGAGACAAGGTCTTGCTCTGTCGCTCAGGCTAGAGCACAATGGTGCAATCTCAACTCACTGCAGCCTCTGCCTCCGCAGTTCAAGCAGTCCTCCCACCTCAGCCTCCCAAGTAGCTGGGACTACAGGCACATGTCACCGTGCCTGGCTAATTTTTGTTTTTTTTGTAGAGACAGGATCTTCCTATATTGCCCAGGCTGGTCTCAAACTCCTGGCCTCAAGCGATCGGTCCACCTTTGGCCTCCCAAAGTGCTGGGATTACAGGCATGAGCCACCGTGCTTGGCCGGGATTTTTTTTTTAATCTAGTGTCTCTTGGTTGGTGAGCCTGTTTGTGTTTCTTGTGATGACTATTGTAGTTTTACCATCTTCTTTCATGTTTTTAGTTCATTCTTTTCCTAGTCCTTTCTTGCCTTCCTTTAGAAGTGTAAATTTCCTTCTGTATATGTGAAAATGCACATTTTATTTTTATTCTTCTGAGTTATTTCTTAGTTTATTTTTTCTGTGACTATCTTACTTATCAGTATCTGTATCTTTCCTCCCAAAGCCACACTGTCCTCATCTCCCCTATCTCCCCTCATCTCTTCCTTTGCACATCATACCCTATGATGACCATGGTGAAACCATCTAGAATTTTAGTTCTGGGTCGTTTAGAACATACATAATACGGTGGTGAATATATTCCTTACTGCAACAACAGTGATCTTCATTGAGATATATTGTAAGTTTTTCAACCTTACTTTCCATAAACAGGATCTCATAACATCCTGCTAGATTGACTTTTCTTCTTCCAGGAATGCTTGAGGAATGGGAATCTAGAGGGTCTTGAAGTGGTAAGCCTGTGAGGCCTTGAATTATTAAGAATGTCTTTAATTTTTTTCTCACATTTAAATGATAGCTTGGATGGATTAAAAATCAAAGGCAAAAAACTTCGATAGGATAAAGCTTTGGAAATATGACTTCATTTTCCACTTGTATCGCTTGTTGTCATTAAGAACCCTGAAGCCATTTAGATTTGCGTTCCATTATATGGGATCTGCTTTTAGAATTTTCACTTTAATATTTGTAAGTTTTAAAATTATTTCTCTTCAATGTGTGTTTTTCCTGTGAATGTAGTATCTGTGAGATCTTCCAATTTCCTTTAACTTAAATAAATTCTTAGTCATATTTTAAATTACTTACTCCTGGTTGATTTTCTTTTCCTTTTAAGGAATTTCTAGTATTATAGATACTGACACTTCTGTGTATTGCATGTCTTTTTTCTTGTGTATTTCCCACCTACTTCATGAAGCCTCCTGGAAAAAATCTTCCAGCCCCTGAATTCATTCTCAGCTGTATTCATGCTGCTCCTCAGCCTATCTATTGAACTCTTCATTTCCACAACTATACTTTTGTTCACAGTATTTCTAGGTGTTTCTCTTTATACCTGCTCATTTTAATTGCCCTCTGTGTATTTTTGGGACATTTTAATACATATATTCCTACTCTCTGGTTCACTAATTCTCCCTGTGGGGATAGATTTTAGCTCACCATGTTTAGTAGATGCTGCCTTCCTTGGTGTTCTTGTTTGATTCCCTGTGAGCTCTTCTTGCTTGACCCTCAGGGACCCTCCTCTCATACCACTGCTTCAGGCATTGTTTCTCCTGAGTGTCTCCCTGACTTGTCACCACTTTGCCCTTGTGGTGTGAGGGAACAAGCAAGGAGTGGCTTGGTGTTCTGTGAACCTTCATCCCACTGTTCTGGCATTTCCTTCCTCATGCAGGGGGGCGGGGGGTATTGAACCTTCCACAATCTGCCAACTGTAATACGGAGGAAAGAAAAAAGGACAAAGGGTTTTTACCCAGCCTCTCCTCCACCCGCAGTAGAGGCGATTGCCTGCCATTTTGTCCTCATTGCAAGACCCCTAGTTTCCCCAGGAATTTATCCCAGTTTTGATTTAGTTTCTCAAATTTGTCAGCTGCCCTTGCTTCTGAGCGTCTCTGTCCTCTCAGTTTAGATTCTGGGAGTGTGGCAGAGCATATTGGCTCATGCCTGTAATCCCAACACCTTGGGAGGCCAAGGTGGGAGGATTGCTTGAGCTCAGGAGTGTTCAAGACCAGCTTGGACAATATAGTGGGACCCCGTCTCTACAAAAAATCAAGAAAGAAGCTGGGCGTGGTGGCACATACCTGTGGTCCCAGCTACTCAGGATGCTGAGGTGGGAGGATCGCTTGAGTTAGGGAGGTTGAGGCTGCAGTGAGCTGTGACTGCACCAGTGTGCTCCAGCCTGGGCAACAAAGTGAGACCCTGTCTCAAAATAAATAAATAAAAATAAAAATAGATTCTGGGAGCATGCCAGCAGTTCATGCCCATGTGTGGTCTTGTCAGGAGTTATAATAGACATCTTATTTTGAAATAATATTATTTTCTTCTATTTCTGATTAGAAAATTTTAATTTGTATTTATTGTAATAATTTTGGAAAATACAAAAATCTCAGAGAAAAGATAAAAACTATATGAATCCTGACATTAAGAGCTATTTGCAGCCTGCTTTTCTACTCTTTCTGATGAACTGTATAGTGAACTTTACTTAGGTCATCATGGATTCTACCACATGACATATGATATCTGTTTGGTGGTCTGTCGCGTGGATATACCATGAAATGTTTAACTCTTCCACTGTTGGACATTTAAATGGCTTAAAACTTTTTTCCTTAAAAAAACTTATTTCAAACAGTTGTACAGTCTGCCCAGAAAAAGGGCCCAGGACACAGTTTAAAAATGGTAATACTAATAGAACAAAACAAGCAGCACCTGTTGGAAAGATCCCATAAACGTATTGGCAATAACTAGCAAGCACTTTTGATTATTGAAGCTGCAGCCTTTCTGGCCCTGGCTAATCAAATGAATGGATTTGCTTGTGACCTGCGAACCTGTATTTGAATACTACATTTTGTATTATGTTGGTTTGAAAAGTCAACTTAATAGTCATATTATTTCAATAGCTTCTTGGCTACTCTGTCTGACTTCAGGGGTAGACTTGAGTTTGAGATGTGAAATTCCCCAGCATAGTATAGCAAAAGCTACATATACCTAGACGTTAGGGCTTGGTTTTATTATTTACTTACTTTATTTATTTATTTTTGAGACAGTCTCACTCTGTTGCCCAGGTTGGAGTGCAGTGGCATGATCATGACTCACTGCAACCTCAAACTCTATGGGCTCAGATGATCCTCCCACCTCAGCCTCCCAAATAGCTGGGACTACAGTGCACCAGCACATCTGGCTAATTTTTTTTTTTTTTTTTTTGTAGAAACGGGGTTTTACCATGTTGCCCAGGGTGGTCTTGAACTCCTGGGCTCAAGTGATTCACCCATCTCAGCCTCCCAAAGTGGTGGGATTACAGGCATGAGCTAGGCCTGGTTAGTTTTAGAAACTTATCTATAATAGAATGTGACACTGATGTCCTTACCAGGCTAAGATTTGAAGTATGGAAAATTGTAGGGCGTGGTAGAATATTTTGTTGTTACTCTTGGCAGTATGTTTTCATTTGTGTTTAGGTTTAGTTTGTTTATTGTTTTGATCTTTTCTCATCTTTCTGACCACAAAAGAAACCTGGAAAGTATCCATCCTACGCCTTTAGCTCTTACCTGAAGGCCTTGAAGACTCTCCAGCACCAACACCTTGGTCTCTGTTCTGGAATGAATTTGGAAAACCAAGCACAGCCAGTCAAATGGGCTGTTTCCTTCCCATATAACTTTTGGCCTTGAAGCTAAGACACGTGGTTCTCTGGTTTCTAAGGTTCCTTGGGTCTATGAGGGAGAAGGAGAGGAGAGATTATTTGAAAGCAAGGATTCCACAGGGGGATGTCTGCCTTCGAGCAGTGGTTCTTAACATTTTGTGGGTCATTAACCAAAAGCCTGATAGTAAGAATCTGAGAGAACTACTCCAAAAAAAGTAATAAAACATTTATGCACATTGACACAGACTTCGCTTTTTATTTCTGGGGACCCTGAGTTTATGGAGTCCTCAGAAGCCCATTGTTATTTATCAGGTTAAGAATCTCTGGCTTAGAATTTTGGAAATAATTTGTTTAAGAAATGAAATAAAAGAAAATGAATTGGCATTTTCCACCCAGTCATTCCCTGAGCTTATGATGTTTTATTCTTCACTGTGGGAATTCCTTCTTATCCATGGGATTGGAAGGCGGTGATTGGCCTATGAGAATGTCTCCTAGAGCTGGCACAATTCCCACACCTGTACTTCATGATCCTTTTCCCTTTGAAGGTCAGGGGAATGCTCCTATTGGCTCATTTTCTTGAGGTCTTAAAGACTCTGGCACTGGTTGGGCCTGGTGGCTCCCGCCTGTAATCCCAGCACTTTGGGAGGTCGAGGCAGGAGGATTGCTTGAGCCCAGGAGTTTGAGACCAGGCTGGGCAACATGGTAAAACTCCATCTCTACAAAAAATACAAAAATTAGCTGGCCATGGTGGCACACACCTGTGGTCCCAGCTACTTGGGAAGCTGAGGTGGGAGTCTTACTTTAGCCCAAGGAGGTTGAGGCTGCAGTGAGCTGAGATCACGCCATTGCACTCCAGTCTGAGCAACAGGGCAAGATTCTGTCTCAAAAATAAATAAATAAGTAAATAAAGACTGGCAGTAATGTAGTTTCTTAAATCTAAAGAAAATATCTTAAATTTGGATTTCTTGTATCAAGGTTTTTGTTTTTTGGGTTTTTTTTGTTTTTTTGTTTGTTTGTTTGTTTTGAGACAGAGTCTTACTCTGTCACTCAGGCTGGAGGGCAAGGGCATGATCTCAGTTCACTGCAGCTTCTGCCTCCTGGGCTTAAGAGTTCCTCCCATCTCAGCCTCCTGAGTAGCTAGAGGTATAGGCGCACACCACCATGCCAGGCTAATTTTTTTGTATTTTTTGTAGAGATGGGGTTTTGCCATGTTGCTGAGGCTGGTTTCAAACTCCTGGGCTCAAGCGATCCACCTGCCTTGGCCTCCCAAAGTTCTGGGATTATAGGCGTGAGCCACCGTGCCCAGCCGAATCAAATTTTTAAGAACTAAGGCAGTTGCTATGTAGGTTTGTTTTGTTTTTTTGTAATGATTTCTTCCCCCTGAATTTCCCCAAATGTTTTGCTGTTTCTGCAATACTATGCTCTGATCTGGAAGCTCTACAGTAAAAGTTAAACCTAATATATTTGGGGGCTAGGGTGGCAGGTAGGCTGAGCTACTAATAGTCCATGGATCAGTTGGAGGTTGGTTCCATGAAGCAAGGAGGGGGAGACTGGACAATTTACTGGCCCTCCACCTGTTTCTTTCCACGCTTGCTATCTTGTTTGTCTTATCTGGCTGTACAGCTTCTCTCTGCAGAATATTTCCTTCTCTCAGAAGTAACGTATACCATTTATGTGCATTTGTTTAGTTGTTCATTCATTACCTCACATAGTTAGTGATATTTCCTAAACCCCTACTTTGGGGAACAGAGTTAACTAGGCTATAGGAGAAACATGAAATTTACAGATGTTATAATAGGGGGAGAAGATGTGTACATGCAGAACTTTTCTCCAGGGTGCAGGTGATCCGTCAAGTGGATCTGCTGCTTCCATCTCCTCACCTGCCATGACATTATAATTTGTTTCTCCTGTCTGGACTGCTATATGGGCCTTAAAAATGTTCTCTGTCTGTTTGATCTCACCCACCTCCTTTGGTGAAATCTCCTGTAATTGCTGTTACCAGAATGTCATTTGCTGCTTCAGACTGTTGGCTTCTCACTGCCTGCTCTGTCAGTGGGCATGATCCTGACCTTTTTGGCCCTTTACCAATTGCACTCTCTTTACTCAACTCCTTTCTCCGGCCCAAAGTACACTCTCCATCCTGGCCAAGTACATTCATTTGGCATATGCATGCTGCCTTGCCCTGCCCATGCCCTCCCGCCTCCTGCAGTCTGCATGCTTCCCCTCACCTTCCTGACTCCCACTGCACTCTCCCAGTGTGAAATTCTGACGTTTCCTACCAGACCATGTTCTTTTTATATATTCATCTGTTCAGCAAATGTTTGTTTAGTAAATGCTGTATGCCAGGCATTTTGCTAGGCAACAGGGAAACAAAGTTCTTGCCTTCACGGAGCTTCAGAGTCCTGTGGGGGACACAGACAAGTAAATAGTACTTTCAGTTTGGAGTGATCAGTGCTGAGATAGAAAGTATTAGATGCCCCAGGGCACATATTAAAGGGACAACTTGGTATAGGGGAAGGGAGAGATGTCCGGGAGATGTTCCAAAGGCAGTGAGTGACCCAGGCTGTTGAAATTGAGTATTAAGTTCCTTAGCCAAGGAGTGAAAGAAAACTGGAGCAAAACATCATCTGCCAAAAAGCCATGTATTACTGACCTCAGCACACCAATGTGGCTGAGTGAGGCCCGAGTTGGGTGTTGCTGGCTAGGGGTCCCCGGCTTGCAAAGTGACCAAGAAGAAGAATCACTTGTTTGTGACTTTCAACTTTGTAAGGTATTTTAAGTTGGTACTTGGACAAGATGGCTTTTTCTTTGTGTGTGTATTTGAACAAAATGTTCCCGTTTGCAGCACTCATTGAGTGGTCATTGACACCAGTAATCTATACATTTGCCCTTTAGTGGTGAAATGGAGTTGTTTGAGGTGTCAGCTTGGTTTGGAGTGTCACTAAAAGCCTTTTAAGCCTGCTTCATCACAGTAGCCCTGGGAATCAACGAGAAATGTCTCTGAGTTAAGAGCTAAAATTACAAACATCCAGTCTGACCTGATCATGAGGTATCTTACAATGGTTCCAACTCGGTGACATTCGACATTCGTACTGTAGCACTGCCTCTGTTTGTTTGTTAGTGGTCATTTAACATTCAAAGGAAGAAGATGCTAATGGCCAAGGTTCAGAGATAATGTTTCTAGAGTTTGCTCTGTGTTATATGTTTTGTTTTGTTTGAGACGGAGTTTCGCTCTTGTTGCCCAGGCTGGAGTGCAATGGTGTGATCTTGGCTCACTGCAACCTCCGCCTCCCGGGTTCAAACAATTCTCCTGCTTCAGCCTCCCGAGTAGGTGGGATTACAGGTGCCCGCCAGCACGCCTAGCTAATTATTTGTATTTTTAGTAGAGACTGGGTTTCGCTATGTTGGCCAGGCTGGTCTCGAACGCCTGACCTCGTGATCCACCCGCCTTGGCCTCACAAAGTGCTGGGATTACAGGTGTGAGCCACTGAGCCTGACCTGTGTTATATATTTTTATCTGGATCAGTAGGTCTTTTGTTTTATTTGAGAGGGAGAGAGTCTTGCACTGCCACCCAGGCTAAAGCGCAGTGGTGCAAACATAGCTCACTGCAGCCTCAAATGTCAGAGTTCAAGTGTGAATCAGTAGTTCTTCATCTTTTTGGGGTCATGGCCCCATTTCACCACCCAGTTAAATTTATGGAAAAGTATACACAGAGGCTGGTCGTGGTGGCTCACGACTGTAATCCCAGCACTTTGGGAGATCAAGGCAGGCAGATCGCTTGAGGTCAGGAGTACAAGACCAGCCTGGCCAACATGGTGAAAAGTTTTCTCTACTAAAAATACAAAAGTTAGCCGGGCTTGGTGATGAGCACCTGTAATCCCAGCTACTCAGGAGGCTGAGGCAGGAGAATTCCTTGAACCCAGGAGGTGGAGGTTGCAGTGAGCCGAGATGGCACCACTGCACTCCAGCCTGGGCAACAGAGCTGTCTCAAAGAAAAAAAAGAAAAAAGAAAAGTTTACACAGGCACACACAGAATTGTATATACCATTTTAGAAGGTTCCTGGATCCTCTAAAGTCCCTCATCTCCCTTTAGCCCTCGGGATCATTATTGGTTCATTCTAACAAGGTCCATATAAAATGATTGCCATTTTAAGCTAACTGTGCTATCCATTGATGCCTTGGTTCCTTTCTCACCATTCTGGTTTCCTTGCAGTTGATAACTCGCACACGAGAAACAGTCTGAGGCCCCTTACACATCTGCTGCTAAGAATCACTGTCCTGTACTTCCCTTCCTCTCTTCTCTGGAAATAATGGATGCATATGTATTTGTTGGAGAAGTACAAATAGATGAGTTCTGCCCAAGCAGAGAAAAAGCTCTTACATATTTGTGTGAATATACTTGTGCAAATAGAAAATAGAAGCTATTCACATATAGCTGTCTTCACCACTGGCCTTTTTCTGTTTCCATATTAAATGTTTTTCAGGTTATAAAGCCGCTTATAACGTAAGATCAAAATTGTGTTATTTAAAAAATAATGAAGCTCATGTATCCATGCTTATATATAATAGAAGGTGAAAGGAAAATACTGAAGGCACAGCTACTCGGAGACCACAATGCAGATGTTGAGACTTTGCTATTATTTGGAATTTTATTTACTGCGAAATTGGGTGGGAGAGAAAAAAGAGGAGTAAGCCTTCTTAGTAAACTGTGTTGCTGGCTTTTTTCTTCTGACGATCCACTGGGTATTTTCAATGGAGATGAGGAAAGGATGTGTTTCAGATGGAAACCTTTATGAACTCTCCTGTGAGCTCTCCAGCTTCTCAATCCATGGGCCCTCATTTTGGTTTCTTATTTTAATCCTAATTTATTTAGAAAGGGTAATATTTTTTGAAATGCTTTGAAAACAATCAAAATTACATTCAAGCTGTGGTGAGTAAAAATAAAAACACAGCATCCTAAGAATCACATAGTAGTGTGCCCTGGGAGTTCCTAGTTCACAAGAAGATCATGGATGTTAACCTGTGAGACTTACTGAAGTCATCTAGGGGAGATGGGTCAAGAAATAGCCCCATTTTATAGGAAATCCAGCTCAGAGCTGTGACTGAGGTCATGAGGCTGGTCATGGAATTGGGAGTAGATTTGACCTTCTAGTTCCCAATCCAGGGTTCTTCATGGCTTCTATGCCACTGGGACTTAGTGTAAATCTCCTTACCTCTTTGAGTCCTAAATTCCATATTCCGATAGTGTATGCTTATTTCCTGTGCTTCAGAGTTATTCTGAGAATCAAATTCTATAACGTATGCTTCTCAAAGTGTGATTCCCCAGGCCGGCAATGGCAGCATCTCCTGGGAAGATGTGAAAATGCAGATTCTCAGGCCCCACCCCAACCTGAATCTGAAACTCTGGGAGGGGCCCAACAATCCGTGTTTTAGCACACCGTCCAGGGGATTCTGACTCATGAAGCTTGAGAGCCACTGATGACACGTGAGATAGCATTTTGAAAAGAAGAAAGCATTACAGAAATACAAGATACCTTGTTTTAATGGAGGTAAAATGTATATATGGTGAAACACAAAGATCTTAAATGTGTAATACTGAATTTTGATATAATCAGTGCCCCAGTGAAGATACAGAACTTGTTCATCCCTTATAAAGCTCCCTCTTGCCTCCTCCCATCAGTCCCCACCCAACTTAGGCAGCCAGTGGTTAAGGACAGACTATTCCTTAGAGAACATAAGAGAACTCGATGATGGGTTAAACGTAGAAAGAGCAATGTCTGTGTTCTCGTATTCTTTCACTATTTGTAGGTAATGTTCCTTTTAAAATTACTAACCATATTTCTGTGTTCTTTTTCAGCCCATGGACCAAGCTTCTCTCAAAAACAGCGATGTTCTTGTTCTGACAGGGCTTACCCAGATCCCCACTGCAAACCCAGATGGAATGGTGGGAGAGTTCTGCAGCAACCTAGGTGTGCAACCGTCTCTCATCTTACGTTGGATGATCTATCTTGCATTTATTTTACAATAATAAATATAATATTTTACAATAATGGGGGAAGGAGTGCTTACAGGGTAGCAGTTGTCAAAGGAGGGAGGCAGTATATCTTTGCAAATAATAGCACAGAAAAGAGTGTTACACTTTGAACTCACAGCAGCGATACAGTGAACAGATAGATATGTATGAATGTTTGTGTGGTTGTTTTTGAGACAGAGTCTTCTCTGTCACCCAGGCTTGAGTGCAGTGGCATAATCTTGGGTTACTGCAACCTCTGTCTGCTGGGTTCAAGCAGTTCTCCTGACTCAATCTCCTGAGTAGCTGGGACTACAGGCGTGTGCCAACACACCCGGCTAATTTCTGTATTTTTTGTAGAGACATGGTTTCACCATGTTGGCCAGGCTGGTCTGGAACTCCTGACCTCAGGCAATCCGCCCGCTTTGGCCTCCCAAAATGCTGGGATTTCCGGCATGAGCCACAGTGCCCGGCCAAACAGGTATATTTTTTCCCCACTAATATTTGGTTGGTTTTATTTTTTCTTCTTTTGAGGAAAGGCTAAATTAAGAGAGGTATGGGGCATTTTCTACCTGGAAGAAATTTATTTTCCTTCGGATATAACTGTCACTAAATCTGGAAGTTCTGCTTCTCATTTAGACAAATAGGTTGGTTACTGTCTTAGTTAGTTTGGGCTGCCGTAACAAAATACTGCAGACATTAACTTCTCACAATTCTGGAGACTGGGAAGTCTGAGATTAGCGTGCCAGCATGGTCGTTTCTTGATGCAGATGATTGCCATCTTGCAGTGTCCTCATGTGGAGAAGAGGGGAAGCTCTGGTGTCTCTTCCTCTTCTTTTTTTTTTTTTTTTTTTTTTTTTTTTGAGACGGAGTCTTGCTCTGTTGCCCAGGCTAGAGTGCAGTGGCACGATCTTGGCTCACTGCAACCTCCGCCTCCCAGGTTCAAGCGATTCTCCTGCTTCAGCCTCCCGAGTAGCTGGGACTACAGGTGTGCGCCACTGTGCCCGGCTAATTTTTGTATTTTTAGTAGAGACAAGGTTTCACTATGTTGGCCCATCTGGTCTCGAACTCCTGACCTCATGATCCGTCCGCCTCGGCCTCCCAAAGTGCTGGGATTACAGGTGTGAGCCACCATGCCTGGCCTCTCTTCCTCTTCTTATGAGGGCATGAATCCCATCATGGGGCCTGCACCCTCGACCTCATCTAAACCTAATCACTTCCCAAAGTCCCTGCCTCTCTGTACCATCACAGTGGGGGTTAGGCCAACATGAGAATCTTGTGGGGGACACACACATTCAGTCCGTAACAGCTACCAAAGAGGTATTAATGAGCTCAGACCTTCAGCTCCAGCAACTTTAAGTGATATTACTTCTGCTCTAGGAAGAAGAAGTGGTCATCTTATATTTACACGGAAGGCACTGTTCTTAGAAATTAAACTTAGCCATGCTAATAAACATAGTCTGTTTTTGTTCTTTGATACTAATGCAAAGGTAATTTATTTGTACCTTAGAAAAATAATTGGACTAATCTCAAATAGAGTCTTGGTTTGTATGTTTGTTTATAATCTAGAATCACAGACTCAAAGAACTTTAGGCTTGAAAGGAACCTTACATTTAATTCAGTCTCCCAAAGTGGGGTCCACTAACCGCATTCCCTTAAGACCAATGGGATTACTTATTAAAAATGCAAATTTGGGGGCCCTACCTTAGACCTAGTAAGTCAGAATCTCTGGGGAAAGGAGACTTCCAGAAGAAAAGTTGCATTTTCAACATGTTCTCTGGCATTTTCCACGCAAACTAAAGCTTGAAAATTACTGATCTAATTCATTCTTTTCATGTAACTGATGCAGAAACTGAGGCCAAGGAAGGTTGTAGTGGCTTTCCTGTGGTCCTGTGGGTTGGGACAAAGGTAGGATTTGAGACAGGCTCTTGAGCTATGACCAGCGATGTTGATTTTCTCCACTGTATCCTACTCTAGTACCATACTCTAGTAATAGCAAGTCCACCAGCCCTCAAGTTATAGCATCTAGGTGAGCCTAAGTACTTAAAGTATAGGGGATTTTCCTGCAGACAAATGTTAATGAAAGAAAATACTACTAACTCCTGCAGACAAACGTTAGTCAAACAGAAAAACTCGGCCTATTTTCTTATAGGTCATTCAGCCATGGTCAGAGACTGAACAGAGACAAATCCAGCAAATTTTTGAGCAGGATCTAAAACGGGAAGGAGCTTGGAGGCTCTGTCCTGAAGCTCAGCTGCCATTGGTAAAAACCCAAACCCGTAGTCACATGCTCTATTCCCAGGGACCTAGATTAGACAATGATGAGAAAATCATTATCAGCCTATAGCATCCCCTGCTTTGATGTGTTCTTCAAAAGAAGCAGCTTATTAGACATGTAAGTAAATCATAAAAACAGAAGTAGGAAAACAAGTGCAAATCTTATTTTACAAGTTTATCTTTATAACACTGCCCTTTTGATATGATGTTTTTTCTCCTCTGGCATCCACTTTTCTAGCTCTGACAGTCCGGAATGGAGGAAACGTGTTGGTTCCCTGCTACCCTTCTGGAGTGATCTATGACCTCCTGGAGTGCCTATATCAGTACATCGACTCAGCCGGGCTTTCCAGCGTCCCCCTCTACTTCATCTCCCCTGTGGCCAACAGTTCACTGGAGTTTTCCCAGATCTTTGCTGAGTGGTATGTCCGTGGTTTTTTTTTTTTTTTGTGAATTTTATTTGATTCAGGACATTCAAGCAGTAAGAATAAAAATAATCCTGTTTTTTCTCACATTACTGTGGAAATTTCATTTTGTTGTTTTTCTGTCTGTGATAAGATTGCATTATTAAAAGCCAAATCTGTTGCATTGCTAAGTTTAGAATAATAGTTGTCAAAGAGGGAAGAATGCAAGGCAGAGACTTACCTTAGCCCAGCACTTTCAAAACTGGTAACAAAAATCTTATATACTTATCACATGTCACCCTCTGCCTGTTACTAGGTGAAATGACATTCTAAAAGTTAAAAAAATTTTCAAGCCCAATCTCATGTTGTCTAAAATGTATAGTGCCAAATCTGAGAAGAAAAACTAGATTTTTAAAAATTGCAATAGTATGATATTTGACAAAATTTTATTACATCAGAAAATTGATCAAATCCTAGAGTTGGCAAAATATGAAACAATATGAAATTAGTGAACCTTTTTAGAGTTATTTAGGTGCATGTTTGAATGTAACTCACCTGACCAAAAATAAAGGGAGAAGAGGAAAATAACTTTTACAATATCCCCAGTGGTGCCTTAGAATGGTGCTTCCCAAACGTTCCGGGACTGTGACACAGGCAGTCTAGGCTGCATTTAATCCCTTTTAGTCATGAGGTAGCCGATAGACACAGCATGTACTGAGTTTCTAATTAAAAAGGAATTTGTACATCATCTTCTCATGATATATTCAGTTACGCTGCCCCCAACCCTTGCTTTTGTAAAGTACTTTTTTCATTCCCTTCTGTGGTCGTTTTTTTCCCCGCTGTGTTTAGACTCATACAGGCGTCTCTATCCCATGTACAAATTATTCTTCTTTGTCACTTTTTTTTTTTTTTGAGACGGAGTCTTGCTCTGTTGCCCAGGCTGGAGTACAGTGGCACAATCTCCGCTCACTGCAACCTCCGCCTCCTGGGTTCAAGCAAATCTCCTGCCTCAGCCTCCGAAGAAGCTGGGATTACAGGCACCCGCCACCATGCCCGGCTAATTTTTGTATTCTTAGTAGAGACAGGGTTTCACCATGCTGGTCAGCTGGTCTCGAACTCCTGACCTCAGGTGATCCACCCGCCTCGGCCTCCCAAAGTGCTGGGATTACAGGCATGAGCCACTGCGCCCACCCTTAAATAACATTAGTACATTATTATTAACTCTGAATCTTTATTCTGATTGCACCAGTTTTTCCACAAATTTTTTTTTTTGTTTTTGTTTGGGATCCAATCCAGGGTAACACATTGCATTTAGGCCTTTGATTTTTTTGTTTTTTTGCAAGAAGTTTTTTTTAGTTTTTTATACTGATAGTTTTAGTCTCTTTTGCAGTTTCTTCTGTTGATACTATGTTTAGAAAATTCTTGCCTCTATAGGTGTCACATGGCTAAACATACTTTCTTTCAGTTTTATTGTAGCTTCTTTCTTTCTTTTTTTACATCACCCCTTAACTATTTTATCTGGAATTTGTTTTAGTATATAGTATGAAGAGAAGCATTAATTTCATTTTTTCCCAAGTAGTCAAGTACTTACCTGTCCAAGTACTATTTATTGAGTAATGTTAACTTTTTCAGCTGATTTGTATTAATGCCATATGCCAGACTTTCATATGCACCAGGTTTTGTTTCTAGACTATCCTGATTGAGTGATCCATTCATTCTTTGGCCAACATGATGCTAATATATTTTAATAACTGCAGCCTCACTTATAATTGTACTCTGTGGTAAAGTACATTTCTCCATTATTTTTCTTAGAATTCTTGGAGCTATTTTTGCTTACTTATTTTTGTGGAAGAATTGTGGAATCACTGTATCAGTTTTCAGAATATCTTTTTGAGTCCACAAAACCTATAAATTACAGTTTGCAGTAGTTTTCCCATGCTGAGACATGGGATGTGTGTCTGTCTTTTAAGCTTTTCAAATATTCCTCCCGTAGACTCTTAAACTCAGTGATCATATTATTCTTGTTTCCATCGATAGTTCTATTTGCTTAAATCCATAAACCTTTAAGTGCCAAAGCACTGAGGATACAAAGAGGTCCCTGACCTTGAGGAATCTGTACCATGAAGGAAGAGGCAGCTGTGTAAACCTCTTACCACTCGGAAGTAATCTGATGGAAATATATACACACATACCCACACACACACCTACGTATATCTGTATGGTATTCAGAGAAGGGGTGGGTGGTGACCCCATTTGGGGGGTTAAGAAAGGCATTCTGGAAGGAGGTGCTCCTGAAGAATAACCAAGAATCAGCCAGACAGAAACACTATTTAAGGATGAGTTGGGTGGTCTGCCGGCGGTGATGTGTGGGTGGAGAGGATAACACAAGCCAAGACATAGATGGGAGGTTAGAATGGTTTGGTTTGTTCAGAGAACTATCCATAGTTCTTTATTGTTACAGTATGAAGTTCAGGGTGGGGAGTGGCAGGGTATGAGGCTAGAGGGATCCTGTCCATGGGGGGGATTCATTGGAGGATTCTAAGCAGGAAATGAACATGATTATATGTGCATTTTATATAGAGCCTTCTGCATTTATGTGAAGTTTGTTGGGAGGTGGTGGGAGGGGGTGCAACTGAAGTACAAGACAAGAGTCTTTGCAGAAGTCGAGGGACTGAAGACTCCAGTCTCTACCATCCTGGAGGAAAGCAAGGCAGGAACCCATATGAGAGGTGATTAGGAAATACAAGGGGCAGGACTTACTGGTTACTTGATACAGAAAAGGTAGCAATCAAGATTGACACCACAATTTCTAGTGTAGTAGATCGTGTTGACCCCAAACAAAATAGGTTCTACAAAGGAAGGGTAGGTTCATACAGCAAGTGTGGTTAGCTTAGTTTGGTTTTGTCCCTGAGGGCATTGACGGTGCCTGAGGCAGGGGATGTGCAGGTGAAACTTGTCCAATCCAAAGATCTGAGAAGCCCAGGCTGGAGTCATAGGTTGGGGTGTCCTCAGCGTTGAGGTAGTTGAGTGGCTGGGATTGCCACAAGAATGAATGGGATTGTCTGGGGAGAGGATTTGAGGTTAGAAGAACAGGCAGTGGGGAAAGGATGGACTTAAGTAATGCCTGCATTTTTGGGGTCATTAGAGAACAAATATTTAGGAAAAGTGTGAAGACAAATAGTTAAAGAAGTAGAAGAGGCCGATCAGGGTGGCTCACACCTGTAATCCCAGCACTTTAGGAGGCCAAGGCGGGAGGATTGCTTGAGGCCAGGAGTTCGAGATCAGCCTGAGCAACATAGCAAGACCTCATTTCCACAAAAGATTAAAATATTAGCAGGGTATGGTGGTGCATGTCCATAGTTCCAGCTACTCGGGAGGCTGAGGCAAGAGGATTTCTTGAGCCTGGGGGATTTCTCTGTGTTTCTGTTTCACTGTGCTGTTCTCTTTCATGCAGCCTTGCTGTAAGGCACCCTTTTTCCCTAAATAAGGAACTCAGTTACCAAAATGGATAGCTGCTAGCTCCAGACTTGCATTAACTTAGCAAGTCCCAGCCCCCCATGCCAGGACCACCACAAGCCTGTGCTGAGGGTTTGGCTTCCTCTCCTCTTTGGTGTTCTGAACGGGTGCTTCACAGCCTGGCTGCTCTGTGCTCAGCCTCAGGCCCGGCCTGCTGTTCCCTATCACTCTGGTTCCCTGGCTCTGTGCTTCCCGTTCTCAGGGGTTCTGCTCTGGCTTCTACATGGTCCTGCTTTGATGCCTGCAGAAGCCCAGCCCCTTGCTGTCCAGTGTCTGCCCTTGCTCCGAGCTAAGGGGCTTGGTTGTTTGGGTTGGTTTTGTTTTTGCAGGGGATGGAGATGGGAGGGAATAGCTCTTGAAAGACCTCTCTGATCTTTTGGAGTTTGGAGTGTTGGGGTTTGGAGTGTTGGTTGGTTGGTTGGTTGGTTTTTGAGACAGGCTCTCACTCTGTCGCCCAGGCTGGAGTGCAGTAGCACAATCACGGCTCACTGCAGCCTCAACCTCCTGGTCTCAAGCGATCCTCCCACCTCAGCCTCCTGAGTACCTGGGACTACAGGTGTCACCATCATGCCCAGCTAATTTTTGTACAGACAAGGTTGCATCTCGTCTGAACCCATGAACTCCTGGGTTCAAGTGATCTGCCCGCCTTGGCCTTCCAGAGTGGTGGGATTACAGTCCTGAGCCACAGTGCCTGGCTCTGATCCTTTTTTGAACAAGCAGTGGAAGAGTGTGCGGTACCTGAGGTCTGGCCATCAGGGAGCAGGAGGGTCTGTCACATTCCCAATTAGAGATAAACCTAGAAGCGCCATTTATTCTTCATTCTTCCTGATAATCTGGTATACACAGATCTCCTTTTGAACTCTAACAGCTACCCCCAGAAGAAGCAAACTCTAATCAGGTCCTTCAGCCTCTGTCTTAGAAAGGGGGTGGGTCCCTGTCTGCTGTGCCTGCATGAGGATTCTAGAGCAGAGTATGGAGGATCTGTTAGCAGAACTGGCCTAAGCATTATGTAGGTGGGCTTCACAATCTCTAATCATATTGTAATCTCTTCTGTATCCCTAATCTCTGCCTTTAATGCATGTAGGATAATGTCCTTTGGAACAATCAAAATAAGTTTAGAACCAAGCTCTTATATTTGTCTCCCTGAGCTAGAAATAAAGACAGAACTAGTGTCTATTTAGATAATATAAGGTAACCCTCCAAAAGCATCTTGCTCTTCCATATTTATATCTTCCAAGTAGGGTATAAAGTGATGTTTTTTTAAACCAAACTTAAACGAAACTAAGGGTAGGAAAAATTAGATACAATGTATTAATACAAAATCCAAGCCCTGAAGTCCTGAGCTCCTCCCCTCAAAGTAGTGACTATTTTTTTAAATGTCAAACCTGCACAACACCCACATATATTGATTTATCAACTGTGAACTTTTTGCCACATTTGCTTTATCCAGACATCTCAGTATTGTAAAGTCATAACTGACTAGGAAAAAGCAAATGTAAATTACCAAAAACATTCACATTGTCTCTAGCCTGTGATCCTTTGTTCTTCTCTAGTTGGAGTTACCAATGCTGCTGTTAAAAAGAGTGTGAGGGCCAGGCACAGTGGCTCACGCCTGTAATCTCAGCACTTTGGGAGGCCGAGGCGGGTGGATCACCTGAGGTCAGCAGTTTGAGACCAGCCTGGCCAACATGGTGAAACCCCGTCTCTACTAAAAATACAAAAATTCGCCGAGTGTGGTGGCAGGTGCCTGTAATCCCAGCTACTTGGGAGGCTTTGGCAGGAGAACCACTGGAACCCAGGAGGTGGAGGTTGCAGTGAGCCGAGATCGCGCCATTGCACTCCAGCTGGGCAACAAGAGCGAAACTCTGTCTCCAAAAAAAAAGTGCATGGACAAAAACAGAAGCCATGTCTCAAGGTGTAGATCACTTTCTTTGTGAAATTGACCACAACTAAATGCAATATGATACCACGGATTGGATCCTGGAACAGAAAAGGGACATGATTGGAAAAACTAGTGAAATCTGAATGAAGTCTGGAGTTTAGTTGATTGTCATTGGCCTGATGTTAATTTCTTAGTTGACGACTGTGCCAGTCATATCAGATGTTAACTCTGGGGACATAGGGTGAAGAGGCCATGGAAACTCTGTACTGTCTTTGCAGCTTTTCTTTAAATCTAAAATTATTCCAAAATAACAAGTTTATATTTTAAGAAAAAATGTATTGAGAAATTCTAAAGTTTAAAAACATACAAGATACATCTCTTCTCTGTAGGCACTGGATTTCATTCACAGTGAAATTCACTGGCGGGAAATTTTTAAATAAACTTCAGTATTTAATATTTGCACTGCTGCCACTAGGTGGCAACAGATGCCACCGTATGCTCTTCCTCACATGCTGATGTGTTTTTCCTCTTTAATAGGCTTTGTCACAACAAACAGAGTAAGGTGTATCTTCCAGAACCACCTTTTCCTCATGCAGAGGTAAGAAAACAAAATCACTGGGACATGGGAAGGAAGCAATGTGGATAACCTGATGCAGATGCAGACAGCAGGTCGTTAGATGAAATAGATTGCTGTGTAAACCTGTAGACCCCTTTGCCTCCCAAGTCAGACACAGGGAAGTATTTTAACTCAAGCTTCACTTGCTTTCCTCCTATTAACACTTTCTATTGCGCACGTGGAGCAGCCCTTCTCCAAAATGTTGTGGACCGCAGAATTGTTTCAGACTTGGGATTCGGGAATATACTTACTGGTTGAGCATCCCAAATTTGAAAGTCTGAAATCAAAATGCTCCAATGAGCATTTCCTTTGAGCATCATGTTGGTGCCCAAAAAGTTCAGATACTGGAACATTTTGGATTAGGGATGCTCAGCCTGTACCATGTTCATGCAATTCATAGCCTGCTTCTGTTCTACTGACTGCATGATGAATTGTATTTCGATACATATTACTACCTTTTTAAATTGGGTTTATGTATTGTCAGAGTGTTCTTTCCAGTTATGTCAGTCATATATGTACATTTTTAGTGACGAAAATAACATTTCAGTTCAACAAATAAAAGGCTTCTTCCTCCCTCACAGAACAAATGGGTGTTTTCTATATAGCTGAATACCTAGCTTTGTTGTCAGGTTCTTTTCACCCAAGGGTATATTATGAACGTTTTTCTGCGTCTCATGTTATTATTGCTCTACTACAATGAAGCTAACAGACAATAGTTACTCCTCATTTTTGGTTATATTTTCACTCAAAGATTCTCTAAATTGGTATCACCACCTTAGAAAACTGACAGTATTGGCTGGGCTCGGTGGCTCACGCCTGTAATCCCAGCACTTTGGGAGGCCAAGGCGGGTGGATCACAAGGTCAGGAGATCGAGACCATCCTGGCTAACACAGTGAAACCCCGTCTCTACTACAAATACAAAAAATTAGCCAGGCGTGGTGGCGGGTGCCTGTAGTCACAACTGCTCGGGAGGCTGAAGCAGGAGAATGGCGTGAACCTGGGAGGCGGAGCTTGCAGTGAGCCCAGATCGCGCCACTGCACTCTAGCCTGGGTCACAGAGTGAGACTCCGTCTCAAAAAAAGAAAAAAAGAAAACTGACAGTATCTGCTAAAGCTGAACAATGTACTCTATGCCTCCGCAGTTTTGTTCCTAAAGTATACATTGAACAGAAATGCATAGAGATGTTACCAAAAGACACACACACAAATCTAGAATTTGGTCAGGTGCGGTGGCTCACACCTATAATCCCAACACTTTGGGAGGCTGAAGTGGGAGGATCACTGGAGGCCAGGAATTTGAGACCAACCTTGACATCATGGCAAAACCCTGTCTCTACAAAAAAATACAAAAAATTAGCCCGGTGTGGTGGCACATGCCTGTAGTTCTAGCTACCCTAGAGGCTGGGGTGGGAGGATCACCTGAAGCTGAGGGAGTTCGAGGCTGCTGCAGTGAACTGCAATCGTGCTACTTACTGCACACCAGTCTGGGTGACAGAGCAAGACCCTGTCTCAAAAAAAAAAAAAAATCTAAAATTTTTGGTAATAGTACTGAAATATACTCAAATTCCCATCAACAATAGCATGGATTTTGTGGTATACTCACACAGTCCCTTACATCACTGTGAACAAATAAGCTCCAATTATATGCAGTGTAGATAAACTGCACAAACATAATGTGAGTGAAAGATCCAGATATAAAAGAGTAGATATGGTATGATTTTATTTACATAAAAGTTCAAAAACACAATAAACTGATCTGTGGTATTAGATGCCAGTGTGGTAGTGATCCTGGAGGGGAGGGGACAGTAGTGACAGGAAGGGGACAAAGAGGGATTTCTGAGGAGCTAGTAATGCTTTATTTCTTGATGTACATGTGTTCACCTTGTAAAAAATCCATCAAGGTGTACAGAGTTAGATATAAGGAAAGAGTGAAGGCTGGAATGAATCCTGTGCTGTTGGATAGAATTGATGGTATTGGTGTGAACTCCTATTTTCAATATATGTAGATACAGAAAGAAATCCACTTGTGCATGTGTGTGTATGTGTGTGTCTGTGCACATACGTATCTTCCAGCTCTGGCCACACAGAGGGCCTGGGAGCAGTGACATGCCACTAACTGAGGAACACATTTAGCTCCCACATGTTGGTTTCTAGATACCATTCTCCACTAAAAGGAACCAGGCCTCTTTGGAAAATACAAGATGAGGCTGTAAGATCTTGCTGTATGCTCAGAGAAAGATGGGGACATGTCAGAAGCCACATCTGAGGTCACTGGAACATCAAAATAAATAATGCTAGTAATGAATATAATCCACTGAATAACAGAAACTCCTGCATCCATAGTGAGGTAACTGAGTACATAGGCAAGAGGGGAAAGTTCTTCCAACAGTAAACTCATAGTTAACATAGGAAAGAACCTTAGAATTAGAAAATCACCATTTGGCAGCCACCGCAGTAATAATTTATTCCTGCAAGAAACACCAGTGGGTGCTAAAACCAGTGGGTGAAAATGTTATGAAGAACTAGATCATTTATAGTCCCAAAAAGTATGTCCCCACAAAAGTCATGTTTATTACAAAGACAGAAATAGTAACTGGAGTTTGGACAAACTTGACATATGCAGTCAACGTTAACATCACCAGTAATTGGACTAACTGACATTGCGTGGCTCTTAACACAAATTATTGAGAAAGCAGCATGATTTCTGTGATCCTGCTGCTAAAAATGCTTCACCTGAATCTAGTGAGCATTCAGACCCAAGTCGAGGATGCTCAACAAAATAACTGACCTGTACCCTTTGAGAATGTCAGAGACCTAGAGGACAAGGGAAGACTGAGGAACTGCCGAGAGAATGAAGAGATGTGACAGATAGATGTACTCCATGGCCATGGGCTGGATCTGGAAATGGAAGAAGAAAGATCTAGTTTGTTTGCTATTAGGAGCATTGATAACAGTTGGTAAAGTCTGAATCGGGTGTGTAGATGAGAGGGGGCAGTGTTGTGTCACTGTTCATTCCCTGCTTTTGATGGTTGTACTGTTATAATACATCCATGTTAACTGCGATTATCTCCCCACACTCATTTCTTTGATTGTCATATTTATAACCCCTCCTCAACTAAGGCAGGTAGACTGTTTTTACTTACAGCATGTCAGTGCAGATAGATATGTTTAGGGATTTAGTTGTTTTGTTTTATAGTTAACTAACACGTATTTCAACAAATGTCCTGCTAATTACTTTAAATGTAATTGCTGTTTTCATACTGTAAAGGATAGGTCTTTTATGAACCAGGATGCCAAGTAGAAGGTTTTGAAGAAGTTATTTTTTGGTCCCTGTAGTCTAAATAGTATTTTGGCAGCCAGGGTTTTTGCAAGCTGTGTCAATGCCATAGTGAAACACAGGCTAGAAATATTATAAAAATGTCAGAAAATTAAGTGTGGCAAAACATCTTGTGGTGGACTTTGCTCTTGAATGTCTGTTTTGCTTCCTTTGCAGTCAGCCTTGCTGTAGAGCTTGTTTTCTAGGAGTGTGATCACATTCTCACTCACACACCTGTCACAAATGACCTGGTGCCATTTAGAGTTAGGAATGTGAGTAGACTGTGGTCGTACCATGAGGGTTCCTCAGGTGCACTTGTCGTTGTTAGGGCATGAGGGAGTCAACCCTTGGTAATGTTACCAATGCCCATGAGAAACGGTGGTTCCACCCTTAGTACTGGTAACAAATTACTGTTCAGAATTCCTGCCCCACAGCTTCATTTCCACTGGTCAAATGCAGTAAGTTGGCTAGAAAGGTAGATCCAATTGGCAAAAAACGATGAATTTATCTTAGTTTCTGTGCATTGATCAGTAGAGCTACAGGAACTATAGATAATGCTTAAAAGTGACTTACGTGTGCAGAGACCTGCTGCTATTCTTAGAATCACATTCATCATCTTGACATCTTAGGATACAATAGACCCTTTTTGACAGCCACTCACCCATTTAACTGAGACAACTAATGATTTTGGCCATATAGTTTATAAAAAGAATGTCAGTTCAACTTGCAGACTACCTGGAAGGAACGTGGGAATTCGATGTTTGCTCCGGCTTTACTATTCATATTCCATCCAAGCATGCGACAGCTGATGAAGATCTCCAGGACAGTGTTAGTGTCTTCCTAATACAACCAGGTCTCTTCAATTAAAGATGAGGTCTTCAAGGTGAAGAGAGTTTGGCTTCTGTTTGGGGTATGTCCTATTCTGGCCACATCCCCACTCTTAGGGTGACTTCATTTGCACTTCAAGGTGTTGCCCAGGGCCCTCTCATGCACAACATGTGGCAACAGGATTGAGCCTATCACAGGCCATTGCTTTATCCATGAAACAGCCTTCCAGAGCAGTGCTTCCTTTGGCCTGGTTGATATTTAGGGTCTGTGAAGTCTGGGTGTCTAGCCTCTGGATGCTGGGGTGGGGCAAGGAGGCCTGGGCAGCAGGCACAGTGTCTGAGACGTTACAAGATGCCATCTAGTCATAACTGTCTTTGCTATTGCCTTGAATGGGCCTGACACTGGGAGATGATTGTCAAGTGTTATGCTGCAGGGGAGACTCTTGGTTCAACACGTACACTTGAAAGAAAGCTTTGAGGCTGCGGGGCACCTGCTTCTTTTTTTTTTTTTTTTTTTTTTTTTTTGAGACGGAGTCTCACTGTCGCCCAGGCTGGAGTGCAGTGGCGCCATCTCGGCTCACTGCAAGCTCCGCCTCCTGGGTTCATGCCATTCTCCTGCCTCAGCCTCCCGAGTAACGGACTACAGGTGTCCGCCACCAGGCCCAGCTAATTTTTTGTATTTTTAGTAGAGACGGGGTTTCACCATGTTAGCCAGGATGGTCTCCATCTCCTGACCTTGTGATCTGCCCACCTGAGCATCCCAAAGTGCTGGGGGTTTTTTTGTGTGTGTATGTGTTTTTTTTAGTGACAGGGTCTCAGTTACCCATGCCAGAATACAGCGTTGCAATCATAGATTACTGCAACCTTGAACTCCTGGGCTCTAGCCACAGTATCCAAGAACTTTTTTTATTTTTTGTAGAGACAGGGTCTTGCTTTGTTGCCCAGCCTGGTCTCAAACTTCTGGGCTCAAGCAATCCTCTTGTCTTTGTCTCCCAAAGTGCTGGAATTACAGGCGTAAGCCATTGTGCCTAGCCCATTTCTTAATATAACTGTCTGTGTTACCAGGACATCACATTTCTAAAAGCCAATTTGATCTTTGTCGTGCATGTGTGTGTGCGTGTATGTGTGCATGTGTGCACACATGTCCACATGCTGTACACATTCAGAGAAGCTTCTCTAGTAGCAAACAACAGAAATGATCCCTGAAAGTACAGTCTTTGGTCTTGGTCCTTATTCAGTTGCTGCAGTAGCTTAACACAGCTCTAGCTTTGCAGGAGGAGGTCCTGTACTGGCAAACAGTGTTTCTGGTGTGACGAATGTGGTTACTGTCACCAGGACTTGGTGATTCACGAGTGTTGGGAAAGTCACTTGTACTTCAAACAAGAAGTGATAATGAGAACTTCAGGCCTGGTGTGGAGTGTCAGGCAGCTTATAAAGGAAGAGTCCAGCTAAAGCAGGCCATAACAATCTGAATATGTTTCCAGGAAGTATGTCAGTATTACCAGAAAGACTTGACTTGCCCATGTGTTCCACAAATCACATTCTGGGTAAAAACTATTTTAATAAGATTCACTTGTATTTTTTTAAATTAATAAGTGTTACTTTTCACAGCAGTTTTAGGTTCACGGCAATCATATGCCCCTGCCCCACACACGCAGTTGCCCACTGCACCATCCCACACCAGAGAGGTGCGTTTGCTACGGCTGATGAACCCACATTGACACGTCACTCTCGCCCAAAGCCCAGAGTTTACAGTAGGGGTTCCCTTGGCGTTGTGCTTTCTATGGTTTTGAACAAATGAACAGTGACCTGGATCCACCATTACATCATCACACAGAGGAGCTTCCTCACTCTGCAGATCCTCTGTGCTCAGCCTGTTCATTTCACTCTCCACGAATCCCTGGTGACCGCTGAGCCTTTTACTATCTGTATAGTTTTGCCTTTTCCAGAACGTCATACAGTTGGAATCATAGGGGCCTTGGCTTTTCAGAGTGGCGCCCTTCACTTAGGAATAGGTTCCTTCATGTCTTTTCGTAGCTTGGCAGCTCATTTCTTTTTTAGGGCTGAATAATATTCCATTGTCTGGATGCATCAGTTTCATCCTTCACCTGCTGAAGGACACATCTTGGTTGTTTCCACGTTTTAGCAATTAGGACATTCATGTGCAGGTTTCTTGTGGACATGATTTTTCAAAATATCTTTCAAAGTGGCTGTATCCTTTTGCATTCCCACCAGCAGTGAATGAGAGTCCTTGTTCTTCCATATCCTTGTCAGCATTTGGTGCTGTGAGTGTTCTGGATTTTGGCCATTTTATTATAACAGGTGTATAGTGGTATCTCATCATTTTAATTTGCAGTTTCCTAATGACATACGGTGTGGAGCATTTTTTCGTATGCTCATTTGCCATCTCTCTTCTCTGATGAGGTGTCTGTTCAGGTTTTTTGCCCACTTTTTAATAGGGCTGTTCATTTCTTTTTGCTGAGGTTTCGGAGTTCATAGATTCTGGGTCACAGTCCTCTCTCAGGTGTGACTTTTGCAGGTATTTTCTCCCAATCCGTGGCTTGTCTTCTTTGTTGGTATTTTAGATCCAGTCCCGCTCACCCTCCCGTACTTTGGTTCCCCCTTCAGCCTGGGCAGGCTCACATTTCTTTGTATTTTTTCTATATTTTCCAGCTCATTCAGACCAATAAGCTGAAGCACTACCCCAGCATCCACGGAGACTTCAGCAACGACTTTAGACAGCCCTGTGTGGTGTTCACCGGGCACCCTTCCCTCCGCTTCGGGGACGTGGTCCACTTCATGGAGCTCTGGGGAAAATCTAGTCTCAATACCGTCATATTCACGGGTAAGTGAAAAAAATAAAGAAACAAATTGGTTCTCTCCACTGAGGCCATGAGTGAATGCACCTACAAGGTAGAGACCCAGGGAAGGATTTTGCAGTGAGACATAAATACAAACATTGTTCTACTGTAGGTACCAAAGAATGAAGAAACCGCAGAGAAAGAGTGAAGCAGTGTGTGCCATTGGACAGCTGGGCATCCAGCGAGGCCTTCATGCCTGTGTTTTCAGATTTCTCCAAGACAGAATCCTGCTGAGTGCTTTTGCTAGGATATCGTAAGCCATTTCAAGAAGTGCAGTGATTCAGTAACGGTGTTGTTTTACCTGTTAGGAATTGTTTACAGAGGTAGATCTTTTTCTTCTGATTGTGGTTTACTCTAACTGTGGATTTTCTTCTGGAGACAAATCCCTCAGGGGAAAAAATTCCTTTGATAAGGTCAAGTAGAGTGTTTACATAGATAATGACTGTATCATTTTATCAGTGTAGCGTGCCCAGCCCTTTGAATGCTAGGTCTTTTTTGCTTATCTGTGATAGGGGATATCTTGGAAATTATGCACAGACCTTTTTTTTTTTTTTTTTTTTTTTTTTTTTTTTTTTTTTTAGCTCATCAGTCATCATTAGTGTTAGTGTATTTTATGTGGGGCACGAGATAGTTCTTCTTCCAGTGTGGCCCAAAGAAGCCAAAAGCTTGGACACCCATGGGTTAGGGTCTTCAGTCGGCCTTGGGTTTTAGAAATCTTACAGGCTATGAAGAAAAAAGAAAAAAAAAAAAAAACCTTGATTTGAAATCTGGCCCAGCTTGCAGCAACCTCAGCCAATTCACCAGCAAGCATGACTGTCCCCACAGTAAATGGGACTGTCAGTAGCTACCTCTGTGGGTCACTCTGGGCACCAGGCACAGAACCCGGCACATGGCGGCTGTTGGGAAAGCACTGTCACCAGCTCCCTTCCTAGCTTTAGGAGCTGGGAATCCAGTTACACCAGAAGCACTGGGGTGACGCTTCAGCCCTTCCCCCAGCTTTCATTTGTGACCTAGAGGCCACCAGGAACACGCCTGTGGTCAAACCAAGTTGGGTTTATTGCCTCATTTCAGCAAGGGGAACACACACCATGGGTAAAAGAAAAGCAAAAAGACCTTGCAGGACTCCGGCTGGTGTTCGGTGATGCGCAGGTGTTCGCGGAGGTGAGGCGTCACCCTGTATTGGGTGGCGTCAGGATGCAGGGTCATTCTGCGATGGGTTTCTTAACTCATTCTTATCTAGAACACAGGAAGAATGGAGCCGGCATAGCGGGAAGTTTGCTTATGCTGTGGTCAGGAAAGTTCTGTGTTCCGTGTTCAGGATGATTACAGAGGGGTCTTGTCTTTGGCCGGATCCATCATTGTCAGACAAGGTGTTGGTGTTCCAGGAAGTTGCGTTCACACAGCAGGAGGACACATGGCTTTGCTGTGGGTGCCAGGCCGGCTCTTGCTGATACCAGGCCAGGCAGAAAGTGCCAGGAGAGGCCCCGGTCACCAGGACTGCTTTCCTCTTCTCAGGCCTGCTTTGGGCTAAAGGTGGAGGAAGTTGGGCCACAAGATATTGATTGACAACACCCAGAACTTCATAGCTGCCAAGATTTCATTAATTAGGAGGTTGTCCAGAGAATGTCCTATGTAGTGGGGCTGAGGTTGGTGTCTCCTGCTCCTGCTGCTGAGTGGTGACTCGACATTTGACATGACAGTGGTGACAGCATCTACACAGCACAGTAGATAACCTGGCCTTTAGTACAAATGTTTCTTCAGCTAAAAGGAAATCAGGACTGTGTGATTTCCTGTGACAACTCTGGGTAATGGGTTTGCATTTAAACTGGTTTATGGGGCTTCCAGGGCAGAAGTTGTGTCTGGGAGAGGTTGGGGCCATCTTTTTTTATTGTTTTGTGACTCCTGGATACATGAAAAGGGGGTCAGTATTCTCAGAGAAGCACAATCCACTGGAATGGGCATTTATGTACCTGGCAGCTCTGCCAGTTTGTCCTGACAACAGTGGAGACGTCTCTGTGTCTGGTGTGCCTAAGCCAGGGTCCCTCGTCGCTGGGCACAGACTGTGCTGGGAATCAAAGTGTCACATCAGTTAGGACCGAGCGAGGTCTTTTGGCTCAAGGCAGGCAGCTCCCTCGAGTTGGGGGAATGTTCCCTGCCAAGCAGGCTGCAGCAGCCCTCAGGAGACAGGCTGAGCAGAGGGCGAGGACTCTTCCCGGTCTGAGGGGCTGGGGCTGCTGGGGAGCATCCCAGTCTCAGTCTACAGACCATTCACGGGCCTGGAGGCGGGGCCGTGCGCTTGTCTTCCGGGTGCATCTCACACCTGGGCGTTAACTCAGAGCTGATTCTAGGTTCCCGGGTCTGTACCAGGCCTCTCCACTGTGAAGTCAGTTTTTCCCATTGTATTAAATCAGTACCTTGTGGGGGACTCTTTGAAACTATATACATATTCTGTTCTCCCTCAAAATGGTATCTGATATTTTTAGCATTTGTTGATGATTTTCATCTGAATAAGTGATGAACTGTAATGGTTGCCAAACGGTGGTTTTGGTTTTTATTTCATCGTTTGTTTCTTGGCATTTCGTTGTAAAAAGAGCTTTCTTTTCTCCCCCACATATGTATTTCTCCCTCATTTACCTCATCTGCCTCTGCTGAAGCTTGGAGCCCACCCACAGGGTCCATCCCAGCCTGCCCCTCCTTCCACGGGGCCCCTTTGACCTCCGTCCCCCACGTGTGCTTCCTGGCTCCCTCCTGACCCCCTGACTGTCTGTGGGCCCTCAGCGCCCCAGTTGCTGTCTGGCTTGGCAGCTCCTGTGTAGTCTGCATTGTAAGATTTCTTTCTTGTACTTTCCCTAGAACCAGACTTCTCCTACCTGGAAGCCCTGGCTCCTTACCAGCCGCTGGCCATGAAATGCATCTACTGCCCCATCGACACCCGGCTGAACTTCATCCAGGTGTCAAAGCTGCTTAAAGAAGTGCAGGTAATGAAGGACACTGCTTGTGCCTTCACGTAGTCATGTCACCTTGGTGTGGCTCATGCTTGTGTGGGGTGAGGGGAGAGAGATCTAGCTGTGTTTGATTCTTGTCTTCAGTTCTCACGCATCTGCAGAATGCTGGGACACATGCCAGCCCCCCTCCACACTGAAAAGGAGTGGTCTTTACACCCTGACCGCAGTTTCCATTCTAAAGAAATCAGATGTGGAAGGGAAAGAAAACCATCTGTGTCCGCTTAAAAGCAAACCCTCTCACCCCTGCCAAAAAAAAAAAAAGTCATTCTAGAAACATACTCACTAAGCTGAGACAGTTTAAATGAAACGCGTTACTGGGGCCGTGTCGCACGTGTAGGCTGGTACCACAAACAGTGCTGTCGGGTTTGGGTTTTGTGGCAGTTTTTGGTCATTTGTTTCACTTCACATTTTCTGCCCTGGAGAAAGGGAAGAAGTAGCTGGGGTGCAGTGTAGACCAGGAGGCGCGCGTAGCAGGAAGGCAGGGCCACGGAACCACTGTGCTGGCTCAGCCACTGCTCGCTGGGTTTCTGGCTCTTGAGAGTCGGGAGAGGAACTGGAATTGGCAAGGAGGACAGCTGACACCGGCGAGGAAGAGCTCTCCCTTTCCACTCCCTGGTGTTCCCAGGAGTGAGATGAGGGTGGAGGGGCCCAGCACAGCACCTTCAACCTCAGGATGAGAGAGGCCCTTTCACAAAACTCTAAGGCAGGGGAACAGGAAACAGAGAAAGCCGGAGAACCCCAGGAGGGCCCCAAGAGCGGATTCTGGTGATTATTAATGTGCTTGCCCAATGAAGAAAGAATACTGGCACTCTCTAGGTATGATGAGAGCAGACAGCAAACGTGGGGCCTGTCTACAGTGATTCGCTACCCCAATGTATGCTCATCCACGTTAGAAGCAGCAGTGAAAGGCGTGTTGCTTTTCATTATTAACTTCAAATCCCAGTCCCTAAACCAGCTCTTGACGCCCCTCTGTCAGGTGCTAATCCTGGAAACTGGAGGCCACCTGGTCTCCACTTTAGGTGAGGAAAACCTGGGAGAAGCCATCAGACTGCACCTGTGGCATGAGATGCTTTGAGACAGGTCAAGAGGAGGAGCAAAGGGCAGTTTGGAGGAGAAAAGTATTAGCCCTAAGGAACAAGTGCTTTTGGAAGCTCAGCCCGGTCAGCCTGGTGGAAAGCCGTCTTCAGCAGGGAATTCAGGGCTTGGTCCAAGCTCTTAAGTAGAAGCAGGGACAACACAGTGCCCCTGTGGGCTGCCAGCATTCCTTTTCATTTGGGTGATATTTGTGCAAAGTAAAAATTGGTTTACTAATCTTTTTTTCTCAAGATAACAAAAAGAGACATTTTGTTTAAAAAAAAAAACAAAAAAAAAAAACTCTGCCTCTGCTCCTTGGTTGCACATGGTGAGCACATGAGCTGAGGAGTGCCCACTGCCTAATACCAGCTGACCTGCAGATCCAGCGGAAACTCCAAACCCACAGCGCCAGCCCGGCACGAAAAGCCACAGCTCTTGGTAATCAGCCAAGAGCTTATAATAGCAGGCATGTGGGAATGTTAGAGAAAGACCGTGCCCCGAGGAAGCCCAGAGACCGCTGGGAGCAGACACATGGAAGTTACCGTGAAACTTATGTAAAGAGTAAGAAAGATAAATTAAGCTGAGGCAGTTTAGGGGTTTCCGAGATGTTTCTTCTGCCCCAGTGCCTTCACGTTCCCTCTCCTGTCTACGGTTCATTGGGCTTGAGAGGATGAAAGTTCACCTTGGCCTGGAAGTGGTGAGCCTGTAATGGCGGGGAGTGGATCGGGGTCAGGAATGGGCCTTCCACAGGGGCCACTGTACTTCACACCACCTTTCTCAACTGTCCCATTGGTTCCTCAGCCCCTGCACGTGGTGTGTCCTGAGCAGTACACTCAGCCGCCCCCAGCCCAGTCCCACAGGATGGACCTCATGATCGACTGCCAGCCCCCCGCCATGTCCTATCGGCGGGCTGAGGTTCTCGCCCTGCCCTTCAAACGTCGGTACGAGAAGATCGAGATCATGCCAGAGGTGAGCTGTTCTCCTTCCTAGGGTTAAACTAGAGCTTTCCACAGAGGCTCTTGGAGATCGTGCAGGGGTGGCCTTCTTTTGGATTTATGTCAAGTATAAATGAACCAGGCTGCGCGCAGTAGCTCACGCCTATAATCCCAGCACTTTGGGCGGCCAAGGTGGGCGGATCACTTGAGGTCAGGAGTTCGAGACCAGCCTGGCCAACCCAGCCCAGCCAATATGGCAAAACCCCATCTCTACTAAAAATACAAAAAAAGTAGCCAGGTGTGGTGGCACGCATCTGTAATCCCAGCTACTCGTGAGGCTGAAGCCTGAGAATCGCTTGAACCAGGAGGTGGAGGTTGCAGTGAGCCGAGATCACACCACTGCACTCCAGCCTGGGCAACAGAGTGAGACTCCAAGTATGAATGAACAAAGAACATGGACCCTTAACCAAGTAACCGGGAAGAGGGGGGATTTTCAGGGCCTTCTTGTTTTTCAACTAATAAAATAACAGCTGTTAGTCAGGACTGCTCCTTACCTAGCATTCAGCAGCGTGAGCCCTGGGCCACATCATGGGTCAGAGCCCTGGGAAGTGGAGATGCTGACACCCGCTCTGTCCCTAAATACCATAGGATGGTGACTTTTCTCTTCCTTCCTGGACCTCAGTTATGAGTGAGTGTCAAGAGTTTGCTGAATTCAGAGGTAGATGGGGGAGATAACAGGAACCAAAAAATAAGGATTGTAAACTTGGTTATTTATATCCTCTTGAGCATACTTGCAGGTTTTGGTCTATCAAAGTCTAAGTATTTTATAGGTCTGTGAACTCTTAGCTTCAGTTTTAGCAGGGAAAGAGCCAAAGCATGCTGTCCATGTTGAACAGCTGTGGCATGCTGCGCTTGGGCCACTCCTCTGAGAGGGAGACAGAGAGGGACGCGGCCTCTCCTGAAAGACAGCGTTGAGGATGGTTGGAGGCTACCTCTGGCTTCCTTTCACCTCTTGAGGCAACTTGAATGTGTTTTCAACAGACAGGAAAAAGAAATATAAAAACTTATTGTTAAAACCAGTGTGCCCAAACTTCTTTTGGAGTCTGAGGTTCAGAAATGGCCTCCAGACCTTGGGTTGGAGGTCTTGGCTCCTGAATGTGACTCATTTCCATGAGCCTGGAGAGGCTGCTAGGGACCACCAGGTGCCATCTTTATGGTTGTTTAATGTTTAATATGTTTTTATCATTTTGTTATGATTTTTTCACTTTCTCTGGATTGTTTTTGTCTGGTATTTTACAGGGGCTGGGATTGACGGCCTTGGTTTAGATTTCAACTCTCTAAGCCAGCATTCCTTAAACCTTTTGGTCTCAGACATCCTTACAAATAGAACTCCAAAGAGGTTTTGTTTATGTGGGTTATGTCTATTGATGTTTGCTATATGAGAAATTAAAACTAAGACATTTTAAAAATATTCACTTAATAATACAAACCTATTATATGTTAACATAACTAAGGGATAAAGACAAAAGCAAAAATCAGTCCCAGTGCCAGGGATAAATGTTAAGATTTTGATGTATTTGCCTTGTCTGTTCACTGTGTGTGTGCCTACTGGAATCACACCTCATACACTGTCGTCTTTTTCACCTATCAGTAAGTACATTATATCATTTAAGATATTTCAGCCAGGCATGGTAGCTCACTCCTGTAATCCTAGCACTGTGGGAGGCCGAGGCGGGTGGACAATGAGGTCAGGAGTTCAAGACTAGCCTGGCCAAGGTGGTGAAACCCCATCTCCACTAAAAAAAATTAGCTGGGCGTGGTGTCACGCACCTGTAATCCCAGCTACTTGGAGGCTGTGGCAGAGAATTGCTTGAACCGGGAGGCAGAGGTTGCAGTAAGCCAAGATCATGCCACCGCACTCCTACGTGGATGACAGAGCGAGACTCTGTCTCAAAAAATATATATTTCAGCTGGGCATGGTGGCTCATGCCTGTAAACCCCAGCACTTCAGGAGGCTGAGGCGGGGGTGAATCACTTAAGGTCACGAGTTCAAGACCAGCCTGGCCAACATGATGAAACCTTGTCTCTAATAAAAAAACAAAAATTAGCCACAGGCGTGGTGGCAGGCGCCTGTAATCGCAGCTACTCGGGAGGCTGAGGTTGCAGTGAGCCAAAATCGCGCCACTGCACTCCAGCTTGGGCAACATAGCGAGACTCCGTCTCAAGAAAAAAAAAAAAGATATTTCAAAAGCTTCAGCTTTAATGGTTGCATAATGGTCTGTCATAATTTAACAGTTCCTTTTTTCATAGATTTTTTTTTTTTTTTTTTGAGACGGAGTCTCGCTCTGTCACCCAAGCTGGAGTGCATTGGCGCGATCTTGGCTCACTGCAAGCTCCGCCTCCCAGCTTCATGCCATTCTCCTGCCTCAGCCTCCCTAGTAGCTGGGACCACAGGCACCCGCCACCATGCCCAGCTAATTTTTTTGTATTTTTAGTAGAGACGGGGTTTCATCGTGTTAGCCAGGATGGTCTCAATCTCCTGACCTTGTGATCCACCCGCCTTGGCCTCCCAGAGTGCTGGGATTACAGGCGTGAGCCACTGCGCCTGGCCCCTTTTTTCACAGATTTTCATTTCTGGTTTTTCTGTGTTATAAATAACACTTTTAGGAGCATCCTTTTACATAAATCTTTGTCCATATATGTTTATTTCCATAAGAAAATTTTCTGAAGTTAGAATTTCTGGGTCAAAGATTATGAACATCCCTTTCTGGCTCGAGGCTATATATTGCCAGCTTGTCCTCTAGAATGAGTGTGACAGTTTATACTCCCACAGCAGAGCTGGAGACAGCTCTTACTTCTGCCTCCTTGCTAATATTGAATGTTGTCCTTTTTTAGTTATTTTCCAATTTTATTCAAGTCTTTTCCAGTTATATAAGTATACACTGTTATCTAATTTTAAATTGTATGTCTTTTTTTTTCTTTTTTTGAGACGGAGTCTCGCTGTGTTGCCCAGGCTGAAGTGCAGTGGTGAGATCTCTGCTCACTGCAAGCTCCACCTCCTGAGTTCACGCCATTCTCCTGCCTCAGCCTCCCGAGTATCTGGGACTACAGGCACCTGCCACCACACCTGGATAATTTATTGTATTTTTAGTAGAGACAGGGTTTCACTGTGTTAGCCAGGATGGTCTTGATCTCCTGACCTTGTGATCTACCCACCTCGGCCTCCCAAGTCCTGGGATTACAGGCGTGAACCACCGTGCCCGGCCCTATGTCTTTTTTTGAGACGGAGTCTTGCCGTGTTGCCCAGGCTGGAGTGTAGTGGCACAGTCTTGGCTCACTGCAACCTCTGCCTCCCGGGTGCATGCAGTTCTCCTCCCTAGGCTCTCGAGTAGCTGGGATTATAGGCACATGCCACCAATCCTAGCTAATTTTTGTATTTTTGGTAGAGATGGGGTTTCACCATATTGGCCAGGCTGGTCTCAAACTCCAGTCTGCCCACCGTGGCCTCCCAAAGTGCTGGAATTACAGGCGTGAGCCACCGCACCCAGCCAAACTGTACGTCTTTGATCATTAATGGAGGTAACTGTCTCAATCCAACTTGCTACAGTAATTGCCTTTAAAATGGACATTATGGCCAGGCACATTGGCTCAGGCCTGTAATCCCAGCCCTTGGGAGGCCAAGGCAGGAGGATCACTTGATGCCAGGAGTTCAAGACCAGCCTGGGCAACACAGCAAGACCCCCGTATCTACAAAAAAATAATAAATTAGCCAGGCGTGGTGGTTCATGCCTGTAGTCCCAGCTACTGGGGAGGCTGAGGAGGGAACATCACTTGAGCCCAGGAGGTTGAGGTTGCAATGAGCTATGATCACACCACCACACTCCAGCCTGGGCAGCAGAGTGAGGCCCCATCTCAAAAAAAAAAAGACTCCTTCAGAGTCGTCTTGGAAATAGTGCATGGCTGCCCAGGGAGAGCGCAGAACGCCATCCCCAAAGCTCCCACCCCAGCCTTGTGCAGGGAGGAGGGGCCTGTGTGGAGGAGGCCTCAGGTGAAGAACGGGATCTGGCGCACACCCTGCTCCTCGGCAAGGGCCGCTTCACGCTCGCCATAGGCCGTTTTCTTATTTCATGAAACAGGCCTCACGTACCACTTGCCAATCTGCTTAAGTATCCTAAGCTGCTTCCTCTGCCCGTTTGGTATTGATCTTCATGTTTACATAATGGCCTCTTGCATGTTTTTGTTTTTAAATAAAGGTGGCTTGGCTAGGTAGGGGTCTACATGTCTTAAAAACCATGCAGCTAAACCCAGCAACAGAGCACCTAATAAGGTCAGGCTGCACGGCAGGGCACCCATCAGGTGCAGGTGGTCGGAAAGATACCACCCCCCAGGTAAAGCCGTGGCTCCCACCATCAGGAGAAGTCAGACTTTCAGGAAGAGAGAGCTCCCTCAACCGCCATGCTGCTGTCCCCGTCCTTCCTGCCACTGGTCACCTGGAGAGGGGATGAGGGTGAAGTAAAGGCCAGAATGAATGAAAGGCTGCACTTGGTGTGTCACCTGGGCGACAGAGCAAGACTCCATCTCAAAAAAAAAAAAATTGTTTACCTTTAAAGTTATTTCATCTTTTTAGACTGCAGTGATGTAAATACAGATTAAAGGAAGAGTAATGGTCATCATTAAAGGCCCCCAGCCTGAACTGCGCCCTTTGCTTTCAGCTCGCAGATTCACTGGTGCCCATGGAGATCAAGCCTGGCATCTCCTTG
The DNA here is from genome assembly GCF_000001405.40 of Homo sapiens. Classification (NCBI taxonomy): domain Eukaryota; kingdom Metazoa; phylum Chordata; class Mammalia; order Primates; family Hominidae; genus Homo; species Homo sapiens. The sequence continues at coordinate 28,771,032 of NC_000008.11, read as the reverse complement.
GCAACTGTCTCGGCCGTGCTGCACACCAAAGATAACAAGCACTTGCTTCAGGTAGGGGGTGCTGGGTGGGAGTGCAGGGGACCCTCTCCCCAGCAAGAAACCAGACCACCTAACAGATTATATTTGAAATAGCGCTTCATGTGAATTCTTGTTGAAGAATTATTTCCCTGGCCATGTGCCTCAGAGAGGCTGCTGTGCCCAGAGATGAGGCCGCACGTCATCCCAAGGGCTGCCACAGGCACATTCTGTTGGGGAGCGCTGCCACGCGAGGCAGGGCTGTGGGGAGACGTGCAGGGTGGCAGGTGCAGCCCTGCCCTTGGGGGCTGGAACCGGAGGGCACCTGCGTGAGGCTGTGGCTACCTGAGAGCCTGGTCCTACCAATGACCCACACACAGGTGGGTGGCACTTCAGCTCCAGGGCAGGCACTGTGTCTTAAGAATTCCTTTCAGATCTGGACTGTGTCACCTTTATGCCACATGTAGAGTTGCTCCTAGCTACCACTTAAAGTCTATTAGACCCTGTGCTGGGTCCTTGACCCGCCTTGTCTTACTGAGCCGTCAGAATTCACTGCTGTCATCATTTCGTAGGCAGCTTCTCTAACCTTGGCCAGATGGTGGCAAAGGTGGGGTTTCCCCCTTTGGTCTGACCCCACAGCCAGTGTGCCCAGCCACGGGGTCATGATGTACCTGCAGCACGACACAGTGTATTCTGGAGAATTTACTCAGCAGATACTGAAGTGAACCACCTGAAAATTTAAAAATGGATCTTGATAGAAGGCAGAGATCTTAGCGAATAAGGTGTTGGTAGGCTGGACAGTTGAGCATTAGAGCGCGTGGATCTGGGGCTCCCGGCAGCCAGGGAACCTGAACCGAGTGCCGGCTGAGGAAACCGGGCCGGGGCTCTGTGGCCTGTGAGGACAGGATAGTCTCAGGCTCTCAGTGTGGCCTGCGGTGGCCCCTGCTGCTCAGAGGAAGCTCATGAAAGCCACTCTTTCCTTCTGCTCTAGCCCCCTCCTCGGCCCGCCCAGCCCACGAGCGGGAAGAAGAGAAAGCGGGTGAGCGATGACGTACCAGACTGCAAAGTCCTGAAGCCTTTGTTGAGCGGTTCCATCCCTGTGGAGCAGTTCGTGCAGACCCTGGAGAAGGTGAGCTGGTTTCGCTGGTGCCGTGAAAACTCCACACGTGGCAGCCTTTCCCTGGCTCACTATGGCCCCCTGGCTGCAGGGAGTGGATGTTGCTGCTTGTCACTTAGTCCCCACTGTCCTGTGGCATCTGTTTGGTCTAAGGTCCTGCTGGGAGACCCAGGAGAAAGAAAGCAGAGTGAGGAGTGCCCCATCCTTCCTCCCAGCACGAGGTCACCAGAAGGCCTCTCCAGACTGAAGAAAAAGCTGCTTCCACACACACATGTGACGAGTGGGGCAGGGTAGTGAGGCCAGGACAAAGAGGGACCCGGCCCTGCCAGAGTCTTGCACTTCCACAGATGACTCCTTGCTGTCAGAGGGGAGCCAAGTCTCCAGTCGACTGTCAGGATTTGCAGGAGGCAGTCGGGGGAGGGGACACTGGCCCTTCCCCTCTGTCTCAGCAGCCCTGATGGCTGCTTCTCCCAGAGATGAGATTTCTTGACTATGATTAAAAGAAAAAAATCTAACCTTAAAGGTTGTAATTTTGGCTTCAGTCACAGGACTTCAGAGATGACTTTATTAGGATTATAGAATCTTTGATAGGAAGAAGGAATTGGCTAAAGGTAATACTGTTCATGCTGCTGCTTGCAAGAACTGCAACAAATTACAATCATTACAAGGAAGGAGATTTCTATGAACTTTCTATCCAATGTAAATATCACAGTTGCCGACTTTCAAATCTTAAAGGCTTTCCCTTTCCTAGGATTGGTTTTCTCCACCTGTCTTTGATTTTCCCGTAGGGAAAAAGGCTCTGGCTGGGTGGTTGCGGCTCTCTTCCACCCTCCCTGAAGACCTTGCAGGGCTCCTGGGCCCTGTTAATGGGCCTCAAGCTGGACTTTTAAAAACTTAAGATGAGGACCTTCTGCCTGGCCCAGCCTATGTCCTGACCCAGTGTTCCACCCCGGCTCCTCTCTGCAGAAGGAGCAAGCACCTGTCCAAGTCCCTAGGGGAGCCTGCAGCCATGAAGTACAGGTGGCCTCCCCACACCGAGGCCCTTCACCTGCTGTGTGTCTGTTTCAGGCACATGCCTCCTTTCCATGTCACGTCTGATTTGTAAGGAATTTCTGTCCTTAGCATTAGCAATAGCTGAGAAGTTTGCACTGCTGCCTTCTCTCCTTCACTCTTGAGAGGGCTCTGCCAAGTCCCACAGGGGTATCTTGGTGTCACCTGGCATTTTCCTGGGAGCTCAGACAGCTGAAACTTAGGAGGGAGCTGTCACCAGGGAACGGCATGGTGCAAGCAGCTGAGCGTCCCAGACTCCTGAACACAGTGCTTGGACGTGCCCTCAAAGAACTCACAAAAGCTTAGCCAGGTTGTGGAAATTCTGTTGTTTTGCATGAGCTTTTGCATGTTTAGGGTCTCTTTTCAAGTATAAGAAACTATCACTATCATAGGCCTATGACTAGTCTGAAGAATTGTGTTGAGACGTGTCAGTTTCTAGAAAGTTCAGTCGAGTCTGTGAAGTGTCATTTACAGATCTCACAGATGTGCAGTCTGCCCAGCCCACCTCTTTCTTTTCTTCTGGAGCAGCATGGCTTCAGTGATATTAAGGTGGAGGACACAGCCAAGGGCCATATCGTCCTGCTCCAGGAGGCTGAGACGCTCATCCAGATTGAAGAAGACTCGACCCATATCATCTGCGACAATGACGAGATGCTCAGAGTGCGACTGCGGGACCTTGTCCTCAAATTCTTACAGAAGTTCTGAGTGGGCCATCTGAGCTACTTCCCTGAAATCCTGCAGTCCCTCACTGGCTGCCCTCACAAGCCACCTGAGGAGTGGCATGAGAGGCCATTAACTGTGTCTTTGTGGTGTCCTCTGGCTTAAGGAGTGAAGAGGTGGCTCTTGAGGGAAATGGTCTGGACTTATTCCCAGCACTGTTTCAGGCAAGAACTTTCCCTTTCAACTTCAGGCTCATTTTCTTCTCAACTCTGGCTCTCTCAAGGAGCTGGAGGGTGGCAGAAGTGGGACAGGAGAAGTTTTCCAAGAGGTTCATGGGAGGCGGAGGTGACTGGCTGGCTGTCTTGCATCAGTCCCAGGCCTCGGCCAGGGGAGCCAGCCTTTGGTTTCGTTTACTTGCCTACAGTGCTGTACGCAATAAGATGATGATCCCAAAATATGGTAAAGTGAACCCATCTGTCTGCATTTTCTACTCTGAGCCCATTTGTTAATAAACACTTATTTTTATATAATTAGCTGTCCTCTGTTGAACCTACCATCTATATATTGATTTAGTAGCTGAAAAAATATGAAAATATACAGAACAGCATGAACTTAGAAAACACCACAGGAAATTGAATTTTGATGTGTATGTTAAATCATATAATTTGCACTGTTTATAAAAACACAGATCTGTTTCTCCTTACATTGCATAAGAAGGTGCTCACCTTTAAGCTGTGGCTGCACGGAGAGTGATGCAGGTCGGTACACCAGCCTCAGGCTCCACCTGCACCGCCTCTCCCACAGATCCTCAGTCTCTGCATTAAACCGGGCGTTACTCACAGATACCCTCAGAGCCACTGGTCGTAGGAAGCTTTCAGACAAAAGTAACCTCACAAAAGATGACTGCTTTTGAAATGTATAAAACCAACAGTTACCAGGTGAAATAGCACGAGCTGTGACACCCAGGCCAACTTTGCGAGTATTAAGAACAAGTCTTAGCCCTGGCAGGCGATGCTAGATAGTATGCCCAGCGCAGGCTATTCTTAACCATCTTGTTGGAGTGATTGATTGATTGAAATTCACTCAGAAGTCAGTCCTCCAACTCGGCTGACAACTAAACAGCACACAGGGATTTAGTGACCCAATAAATACATAACATGAACAGCTGCAGAACTGACTGCTCTGGCTTTATGGCGCATTATCACTCCTCTTGGAACAATCGTATTGGTGGGAATGAGTGCTTCGCTAAAGCAGGGAAAAGACTACTTCATGTTTGCCATCTCCAACCTTGCCAAACCTGGGCATGGGAATGCTTAAGTAGGTTTCTAATTTTCCAAGGTTTGGGTCCACTCCAGTCAAGGGATAGGCTACAGAATAAACGAGAGGCTTCCAACCATGGGGCAGGACTGACATTACAAGAGATGAATGTGCCATGGCTATGAACATTTAGTTTTCTTTTTAGAATTGCAAATAGACATCCCAAGCAGGCATACTTCCAATAGAACCTTTGAAAGAATCAAGTGAAATTAAATTTTAAAAACATCTGAGGGCCAGGCATGGTGGCTCACACCTGTAATCCCAACACTTTGGGAGGTCAAGGCAGGCGGATCACAAGGTCAGGAGTTCGAGACCAGCCTGGCCAACATGGTGAAACCCCGTCTCTACTAAAGATACAAAAAAAATTAGCCGGGCATGATGGCACACACTTGTAATCCCAGCTACTGGTGAGGCTGAGGCAGGAGAATCACTTGAACCCGGCAGGTGGAGGTTGCAGTGAGCCGAGATCATGCCATTGCACTCCAGCCTGGGCAACAGAGCAAGACTCCATATCAAAAAAAAAAAAAAAAAATCTGAAATGCAAAAACAGTGTAAGCTAGAGCTCAGGAGAAACCAAAAATGGTTATTTTATTTAAATGTCCTAGCAATGCTATCTAGGAATGATGGGATCTGTCAAGCCTGTCTGCCGTGAAAGGGCTTGATCAGAGAGCCCAGTGCTGGTCCCTTGAGGGGGTTTGCAAAAGAAGTGAGCAGTAAGAACAAGCGAGTCAGTGGGTGCCCGATGAACAGGGTGCAACTTAGTAGGTTTTAATCAAGTCATCACCACCCACTTAGTGGCAGAAGTCAGAGGCAGGAAGCAGCAAAGACTCATGCTTTATAAAAAGCAGAGAGAAAATCCAGAGCCGGCCTTTCCAGGTATGAGAAGAGCAGTTATGAGTAACTGCCTAAAGTTCAGGTATTTGGATACCATGCCAGGTTGGTTAGAAGACTCCAAAGAAGTGGCATAAGTGGCAGACGTGGCCTGGCTCTATCAGAAATGCGGCCCACCGACATTAACTGACATTGACTGACACTGACATCAACCTGGCGAAGACTCTGACATCCAGAAAAGTTTGTACTCAAACCCAGTGGAATCCTAATGATTAATTGAAAAAAACTTAATAGTGCAGAGACCTCATATTATTTAAGTCTTAGTACAAAGTGATATATTAGGTATCTATTGCACAACAAATTACCCCAAAACACGGTGGCTCACGCCTGTAATCCCAGCACTTTGGGAGGCCGAGGCGGGCAGATCACGAAGTCAGGAGATCGAGACCATCCTGGCTAACACGGTGAAACCCCATCTCTACTAAAAATACAAAAAATTAGCCAGGTGTGGTGGGCGCCTGTAGTCCCAGCTACTCCGGAAGCTGAGGCAGGAGAATGGCGTGAACCCAGGAGGCGGAGCTTGCAGTGAGCCAAGATCGTGCCACTGCACTCCAGCCTGGGCGACAGAGCGAGACTCCGTCTCAAAAAGAAAAAAAAAAAAAAAAAGAAAACCTGACTTTTCTCATCTCACTGTTTCTGTGGTCGGGAATCTGGTGTAGTGTGGCTTAGCTGGTCGACCCTGGCTCAGGGTCTCCTCTCCACACGGCTGCAGTCAGCTGTTGGGTGAGGGAACAGAGCTTAAGTAACTTTCCGCAGAACCGCCAGTGAGTGGCCTCTGCCTTACCGCAACACCGTGGGTGAGTATCAGGTCAGCAGCCAGCCAGGAAATGGCAATCTGTCTTTTAGGCCATTGCTTTCCAAGTCACATCTACTCCATCTCTCCTGATCCCTGAAGAGCTTGAAGCTTTTGGCCCTCACAGTTGTCCTATAAAGGCATTTCCAAACTGTAATGAAGTATCAACAGAAACAAGAGTGAAGAAACCTTTAAACCTGCATAATGACATATTAACAAGAGTCAAGCAACGAGTGGGAAGGGAAGGAGGACACTTTTCCTCTGGCCCTGAGTCCAGTTTTTTTCCTGCAGCCAAGAGGAGTAGTTAATGCTGTCTCACTGCTTTATGCCATCTATAAGAAGGTAGACAACACTTATCTTTCAAATGCACTGCAGTGGGACTACACATAAATAACAGTAGTCTTCTTTGAACCTAAAATAGAGTGGAAATAACCAATGACAATTATGGAGGAAGTCACAGGTAAATCCTGGAGACCAGCAGTGCCAAGCTGAGCCACAGGGCCATTCTCACTGTAGACTTGAGCCAGCCTCCATCAGGAACTGATCTTCTAAAGATCAAATACCAGAGTCTCCACTGCTCCTTGGCAGCCCATTATGGGTTTTAATCACATCATAAAGCATTATATACATTATGGCCAGGTACAGTGGCTCACACCTCTAATCCCAGCACTTTGGGAGGCCAAGGTGGGTGAATCACAAGGTCAGAAGTTCAAGACCAGCCTGGCCAAGATGGTGAAACCCCATCTCTATTAAAAATACAAAAATTAGCCAGGCGTGGTGGCAGATGCCTGTAATCCCAGCTACTCAGGAGGCTGAGGCAGAGAAATGCTTAAACCCGGGGAGGGGGCGGGGGGATGGAGGTTGCAGTGAGCCAAGATCGCACCACTGCACTCCAGCCTGGGAGACAGAGCCAGACTCTGTCTCAAAAAAAAAAACAAAAAAAAAAACCATCTATCTATCTATCTATATATATACATGTGCACACACACACACACATGCACACGTTAAATGTAAACTTTTGAGACACAGGACCACAGATCTTTGAAAGGGGTGTAAACGCCCATCTCCTCAGGCATGTAGAATATTTCTTGCTTCTCTTCTGTTGGCATTGCAGGCCATTGAAAAAAATGTGCAAAGCCCCCGTGTAATGGTGTTTGTGTTAGAAGGATTTACCCTTTACCTTTTTCTACAATAAACATTCCTAACCCATGTGTAAGCCTCCCTGATGTAGTTATCAAATCAATCACCAGTAAAAAGTAACTTAATTCTCCTACAATAAATTCTGAGTTACCAAACACATTATCAATTAAAATAAGTTTGCTAACGTTTCCTTAAATTATCCAATATAAGTTTTTACTCTAGTAACTATTTACATTTGCTTCACATACTTTGGAAATAATGGACTTTCATTTCACAAAGCCTTTCCCAATCATCAGTAAGCACCTTCCAGTCATCAGTGGGCATTAGTCGGCAGCTGCTCACATATTCGGTGTGTTGTGCCCTCTCTCATGGCTTTAGCTCACCGTCACAGATAAGCATTTCTCCCAGACTTACAGCTAGAGAGGAGCACATTTCCAGGACCATGAGCACCCTGGGGGCAGGGTCTGTTTTTTCCACCTTGTCCCAGCATGAGGCTTGTGGAAGAAGGTAAGGAAAGAAAATTTCAGAAATATTTAGGAATTACAGGCCAAAACAACATTTCCTGGTGGGTCAGTTTTTTAACTGCAATGTTCTAAACATGGGAACCTGCACATAAGTGTAAAAATCCCTATCATTTAGCCCATGCTTTAAAATAGCTACTCGATTCAGTGGGCAGCTTCCTGATGAGATGAATCAGAGGTTGGTAACTGTGGCCGAAAAGCCAAATCTGGCCCACAAGCAGAGTTGTTAGAAAAAAGATGCAACAGAAATCACATGTGGCCCACAAAGCCTAAAACACTGGCTGACCCTTTACAGAAAAAGTATGCCAATCCCTGCTCAAGTGCTGTGTGTGGGAACATTTCTGTAGTTTATTCAAGTAAAGGTCAAATAATGGAATGGCAATGTAACAGCTCCCATCAGACCTGACCCTCCTAGAGGTAAAACTATAAACTCCAGACGTATGTAGTTACGTAAGTAGGTAGATAGAACAACCTACCACAAAAAAACAATTCCATTAGAGATTTTATCACCCTTGTAATAATTATTAAAACAACTAGACAAAAAAAAAGTCATAGATGACCTGAACAAAACTGTCAAAAACTTTGACTTAATTGATACTTTTTAGAATACTTGCTCTGCAGCAGCAGAATGTTTACTATGAAAACCATATGCTAGGTGATAAATCTCATTACATCTGAAAGGACCGAACGCATACACAAAACCTTCTCCCACCACAATGGAATTAAATTCAAACTCAACGAAGTATTTTGGAAAACCACAAATATTTAGAAATTAAACACTTCTAAAATAGCTCATGGATCAAAGAAGACATCCCAAAATGAATTGGAAAGTATTTTGAACAGAAAATTAAAGCTCAACATGTACAGGATACTGCTAAAGTAGTGCTTAAAAGTCATCTTATACCTTTAAATGCTTACAGAAAAAATGAAAGACCTAAACTTGATCTAAATTTTTACCTTAGAAGACTATAAAAAGAGCCAAATAAACCCAAAGAAAGTAGAGGAAAGAAATCATAAAAATAAGCAAAACATGAGCAAAACAGAACAGAGAAAACTAACAAAGCCAAAAGCTGATTTTTTAAAACATCAGCAGAACTGATACACACCTCATTAGACTGATCAAGGAAAGACAGGACCGACTGCCCATATGGGCAGTGAAAAAACTTTGGTTATCACTACAGATCCTACGGATATGAAGAAGACAGCCAATCAGAAAGGAAAGGGGGGTATTACTAAAGAGCCTACAAATATTAAAGGGATAAAAAGAACACCAACTTATGCCAACAGATTTACCACCACAGATAAAATGGAAAATTTCCTTTGAAGACACAAATAGACAAAGCTCATTCAATAAGAAAAAGAACTTGATATTCACTTAAGAAATTAAATTTATTATCTTCTCACAAGGAAAACTCCAGGCCTAGATGGTTTCCCTGGGAAACTATCAAACATTTAAGGAAGAAATAACACCAATCTTGTATAACCTCTATCAAAAAGAGGAAGGGGGAATATTCCAGTCCCTTTTAAGGGGCCAGCATAACTCTAATACCAAAACCTTATAAAGTCATTACCAAAAAAGAAAATGAGAGGTAAATATCTCTCATGAACATCAATGCAAAAAAAAAAAAAAAAAAAACTTACCAGCAACCTGAATCCAGCAATACACAAATAGGATAATATGACATGACCAAGTAGGGTTTATCCCTGGAATGCAAGGATAATTAAATATTTGAAAGCCAATCTAATTTATAATAGAATAGAGGATCATTTCGATAGATACAGGAAAAAAGCATTTGATGAAATTCTCTAACAGCACTCAGCAGACAGGAATAAAAGGGAACATACTCAACCTGATAAAGGTTATGTATGAAAAACTTAACAGCTCAGTGAAATACTAGAGCTTTTCCCCAAATATTGAGAGCAAAGCAAGGTGCCGATCCATACTACTGTTCTATAGTGTTCTCGGAGTCCCAGTCATTGCAATAAGGCAAAATTGAAGAGGAAAAGGCAGGCAGGCATACAAACAGATAAAGCATAAAGGTAGGAAAGAAGTAAAACTGTTTTCAGATGAGACTTTTTACATAGAAAGTTCTAAGAAATCTAGAAAACTACTGGAATAAGCTCACAAGACTGCAAAATACAAGGTTAGTATCCAAAAGTCAACTGTATTTTATATATTAACAAGTTTTTGAGAGAGAGTCTTACTTTGTCACCCAGGCTGAAGTGCAGTGGCACAGTCATGGCTCACTGCAGCCTTAAACTCTCAGGGTCAAGTGATACTCCCACCTCAGTTTCCTGAGTAGCTGGGATCACAGGCACATGCCACTGCATCCAGCTAATTTTTTTTTTCTTTTTACTTTTATAGAGACCCACCTTGGCTTCCCAAAGTGCTCGGATTACAGGTGTGAGGCACAACACCTGGCCAGAAATAAAATGTTTTTAAAACAGCAACTTCATTCATAATAGTGTGAGATAACTTTTGAAAAGATATGTAAGATCTCTACACTAAAAGTCTCAAAACCTTGCTGATAAAAATTAACGATTTGAATAAATGGAGAAATATGCCATATTGATGGATTAGAATACTCAATACTAACATTTTAATTCTGCCTATTGATTTATGGATTTGATGCAATACCATCCCAGCAGACAGCCACACCACAACCTAACCCAATGTTTTAAGTAGGTAAAGGACTTGAATAAACATTTTTCCAAAGATGATACACAGATGGCCAATAGCACATAAAGAGATATTCAACACTGGTCATTAGGGAAATGAAAATCAAACCCATGACCAGGTACCACTTCACACCTACTAGGATGGCTGTACCATTTTTTTAAATTTTTATCAGAAAGTAAGTGTTGGGAGAAGTGGAGAAATTGGAACCTTCATACGCTGCTAGTGGAATGTAAAATGACACAGCCGCTACGGAAGACGGTTTGGCAGTTCCTCAAAAAGTTAAATACAGAATTACCATATTGTCCAGCAACTCCACTCCTCTATAGATACCCAAAAGAATTGAGAGCAGGGACTCAAATATTTGGCCACCTATGTTCTTAGCAATATTATTCACCACCTTAGTAACCAAAAGATGGATGCAACCCAAGTATCCACCAACAGATAAACAGATAAAACAAAATGTGGAACATACACACAATGAAATATTATCCACTCATAGAAAAGAATGAGATTCTGATACATGCTGCAACGGGTGAACCTTGAAAACATGCTAAGTGAAATAAGCCAGACACAAAAGACCACATATTTTATGATTTCATTTATATTCAAATATCCAGAATAGATGAATCCATAGAGAGAGAATAGAGGTTATCAGAGGCTGGAAGTAGTGGGGGAATGGGAAGTTACTGTTTAATGAGTACAGAATTTGTTCGCAATGAAACAGTTTTGTAACTAGCTAGTGGTGAGGGTTACACAACATTGTGAATATACTTAATGGAACTAAATTGTACACTTCAAAATGGCTAACATGGCAAATTTTATGTTTAAATTTTTTTAATCTGATAATGCCAGGTTTCTTAGAAGAGACTGGGCAGTATTGAGATGAATTTTATGTAAGCATAAGAGCTAATGTACAAAAATCACAAGCATTCTTATACACCAATAACAGAGAGCCAAATGATGAGTTGAATGCTCATTCACAATTGCTTCAAAGAGAATAAAATACCTAGGAATCCAACTTACAAGGGACGTGAAGGACCTCTTCAAGGAGAACTACAAACCACTGCTCAATGAAATAAAAGAGGATACAAACAAATGGAAGAACATTCCATGCTCATGGGTAGGAAGAATCAATATCATGCAAATGGCCATACTGCCCAAGGTAATTTATAGATTCAATGCCATCCCCATCAAGCTACCAATGACTTTCTTCACAGAATTGGAAAAAACTACTTTAAAGTTCATATGGAACCAAAAAAGAGCCCACATTGCCAAGTCAATCCTAAGCCAAAAGAACAAAGCTGGAGGCATCACGCTACCTGACTTCAAACTATACTACAAGGCTACAGTAACCAAAACAGCATGGTACTGGTACCAAAACAGAGATATAGACCAATGGAACAGAACAGAGCCCTCAGAAATAACACCGCATATCTACAACTATCTGATCTTTGACAAACCTGAGAAAAACAAGCAATGGGGAAAGGATTCCCTATTTAATAAATGGTGCTGGGAAAACTGGCTAGCCACATGTAGAAAGCTGAAACTGGATCCCTTCCTTACACCTTATACAAAAATTAATTCAAGATGGATTAAAGACTTAAACGTTAGACCTAAAACCATAAAAACCCTAGAAGAAAACCTAGGCATTACCCTTCAGGACATAGGCATGGGCAAGGACTTCATGTCTAAAACACCAAAAGCAATGGCAACAAAAGCCAAAATTGACAAATGGGATCTAATTAAACTAAAGAGCTTCTGCACAGCAAAAGAAACTACCATCAGAGTGAACAGGCAACCTACAAAATGGGAGAAAATTTTCGCAACCTACTCATCTGACAAAGGGCTAATATCCAGAATCTACAATGAACTCAAACAAATTTACAAGAAAAAAACAACCCCATCAAAAAGTGGGCCAAGGACGTGAACAGACACTTCTCAAAAGAAGACATTTATGCAGCCAAAAAACACATGAAAAAATGCTCACCATCACTGGCCATCAGAGAAATGCAAATGAAAACTACAATGAGATACCATCTCACACCAGTTAGAATGGCAATCATTAAAAAGTCAGGAAACAACAGGTGCTGGAGAGGATGTGCAGAAATAGGAACACTTTTTACACTGTTGGTGGGACTGTAAACTAGTTCAACCATTGTGGAAATCAGTGTGGTGATTCCTCAGGGATCTAGAACTAGAAATACCATTTGACCCAGCCATCCCATTACTGGGTATATACCCAAAGGACTATAAATCATGCTGCTATAAGGACACACGCACACGTATGTTTATTCCGGCACTATTCACAATAGCAAAGACTTGGAACCAACCCAAATGTCCAACAATGATAGACTGGATTAAGAAAATGTGGCACATATACACCATGGAATACTATGCAGCCATAAAAAATGATGAGTTCATGTCCTTTGTAGGGACATGGATGAGATTGGAAATCATCATTCTCAGTAAACTATCGCAAGAACAAAAAACCAAACACCGCATATTCTCACTCATAGGTGGGAATTGAACAATGAGAACATATGGACACAGGAAGGGGAACATCACACTCTGGGACTGTTGTGGGGTTGGGGGAGGGGGGAGGGATATCATTAGGAGATATACCTAATGCTAAATGACGAGTTAATGGGTGCAGCACACCAGCATGGCACATGTATACATATGTAACTAACCTGCACATTGTGCACATGTACCCTAAAACTTAAAGTAAAAAAAAGGAATATATTATGAAATTATAAAATTGAAAAGAAAAGGAGCTAATGCCATAGAACTAATTCTAAAATTTACAGAGAAATACAAAGTAACTATAATATTGAAAGCAATCTTGGAGATGAACAAAGTTGGAAAGCTGCATTCATCAAGACCGTATGGAACTGGCACGAGGATGAACAAAGCAGCATAACAACAAAGATGGCTCAGAAACAGAGCCCCACTTCTATAATGACCACCTTTTCAACAAAGGGAAGGGAAAGTCTTTTTAACAAATGGTGCTGCAATGCCCATATAGAAGAAGTATCAGAAACCTGACCACTGCCACACACCATAAACACTGAGATGGATCTTTAATTATAAGAGCTAATACCATAAAGCATTTGGTGAAAAACACTGAAAATATCTTCATGATGTTGGGTAGGCACAGGTTTCTTGGGTCACAGAAAGTAGTAACAAGAGAATTGTATCTCCTCAAAATTGAAAACTTCTGCTAATCAGACGACACCATACAGAAAATGATTAGGCAAGCCACAAATTAAAAAAATAATTTACAAAACATATCTGACAATGGACTAGTGTCCAGCGCAAAAAATTCCTGTAACTCAGCAATAAAAAAGACTAAATACATCCATACGATACTATTCATTGAGAAAAGAAACTGGTTATCAAACCGGGAAAAAGATACAAAAGAACCTTAAGTGCATATTATATTACATGAAAGCAGCCAATGTGAAAAGGCTACATGCTGTATGATTTTATGTGACATTCTGGAAAAGGCCATAGTGTGAAAACAGTAAAAAGATCAGTGGTTGCCAGAGATTCAGAGAGGGAGGGAGGGACCAATAGGTGCAGCACAGGAAGTTTTTAGGGGAGTGAGACTGTTCTGTGTGAGACTGTAATGGTGAATATATATCATTACATATTTGTCAAAACCCATAGAACATACAACACAATGAATGAAGCCTAATGTAAACCCATGGGCTTGAGTGAATAATGTGTCAACACTGGCTCATCAATTGTATCAAATCTATCACACTAATGGCAGATGTTAATAAAGGACAAGTGAGGGGTGAGGTGGAAGAAGAAGTCTCTTTGTACTTCTCATGCAGTTTTGCTGTAAATCTGAAACTGCTCCCCCCGAAATCTATTAAAAATGTAGGAAGAAAAGAAAGCAATTCAAAAAAGGACAATCCAGTTTTTCTTAATGGGCAAAAGATGTGTACAGATAATTCACAAAGGAAATATATATAAATGGCGTAAACACATGAAAAGGTGCTTAAATCACCAGTCATCAGGAAAACGCAGAATGAAATAAGACACCATTACTCACCAGAATGGCTAAAATTAAAAAGACTGACCAGACCATGGATCAGTGAGGATGTGGAACTGGGAGTCTCATAATTACTGGTGGAAGTACAAAATGGAATGATCGCATTGAGAAAAGGTCTAGAAGTTTCTTACAAAACTAAACATGTATACATCTACCATATTACCCAACAATTCCACTCCTAGGTATTTACCCAAGAGAAATAAAAATCCACAGAAAGACTTGCACATGAATGTTCACGGAAACTTTATTCATAATATCCAAAAACTGGAAAAAGCCCCAGTACCTATATAATAGAACGGACAGATTTTACTCAATTCATACAAGGGAATACTAAGCAATAAAAAGTAACTAATCACCAATCTATTCAGCAACGATGGATGCATCTCCAAAACGTTATGCTGGGTGTGTAGAAGACGGACACACACAAGAGTAGAAATTATAGGACACCATTTATATGAAATTCTAGAATATGGAAAACTAATCCAAAATGAAAAAAACCATCAGCATTGGCTATGTCTGAGGATGGAGGACGTGGGGACTGACTAGGAGGAAGGAGCAGGAGGGGACTTTCTGGGTTGATAGTAGTGTTCCATATATTGAGAGGGGTCTGGGTTACACAGGTGTGTGCATTTGTCAGAACTCAAAAGAATGCACACTGAAGATGTGTGCATTACAGTGTGCACGTTTAAAATAAAGTTTACATTAAAAACACAAACATTGACCTATAATGAACAGTTGTATGCCCATGTATTTAGAAGGAAATGCATTGATGTTGCCACTTTACTCAGAAATGTACCTCAACAGTGCACCATGAAAGGATGAATGGCAGGATGGGTGAAGGGACGGGGCATGGGTAGATGGGACGCTCCAAGGCGGGTCCAGTAAAATGACATAGACATTTATGCCCTAGAAATGATTTCAACATTGCCGTATGTTTGAAATGTGGGACCAGTCGTTTAAATCAATAGAATGTAAGTAGTTTCAATGCTAACATGACAGTCCTACAACAGGACCAGCAGCTGTACTTTTTTTTTATTTTTATGAGACGGAGTTTCTTGTTGCCCAGGCTAGAGTGCAATGGCGCAAATCACAGCTCACTGCAACCTCCGCCTCCTGGGTTCAAGCAATTCTCCTGCCTCAGCCTCCTGAGTAGCTGGGATTACAGGCACGTGCCACCACACCTGGCTAATTTTTGTATTTTTAGTAGAGAAGGGGTTTCGCCATTTTGGCCAGGCTGGTCTCAAACTCCTGACCTCAGGTGATCCACCCGCCTTGGCCTCCCCAGGTGCTGGGATTACAGGCGTGAACCACCGCACCCAGCCTGTACTCTTTCATAAACGTCAAGACAGATGAAGAAAGGTAAAACAATTTGCCTAAGCTGTGATTTCTAAGTGACCCTCTTCACTTTGTCAAAGCATTCATTCATGAGAAAACTATGGAACTCCTGTGTTCTTGAGAGGCTGCAGTCCGGTGTGGGAGGCAGAGCAGTGGCCAGCACACAGCATGGTGAGGCGACAGAGCGTGGGGGCTCTAATAGGAGGTGAGCAGGGCACTCAGCCAGGCGCTGGCGCTCAAACCTAGCGGAAGGCAGAAAGAGCCATGAAGAAGTGGACACTATTTTACTCCAGTAATAGTTCATTTTTATTGTGTCAAACAGTGGACTCTACGTATATTATATTATTTAACTTTTAACATATGCTTAAGAGATGGGCACAACTTTTGCCACCGTATGGTGGGATTAGAGCCTAAAATAGT
Source organism: Homo sapiens (assembly GCF_000001405.40). Taxonomy (NCBI): domain Eukaryota; kingdom Metazoa; phylum Chordata; class Mammalia; order Primates; family Hominidae; genus Homo; species Homo sapiens. The sequence continues at coordinate 28,755,033 of NC_000008.11, read as the reverse complement.
AATAGATAACTTGCTCTCCACCAGTGTGATGGGCAGCCCAAGATCTGCACCCAGTCTGTTCCAGGGCCCAGACCTTTACCCACTACATTCTCCTTTCTTCTTTTCAGTATCTTCATAACATTCTAATTTTTTTGTAGAGATGGGGGTCTTGCTATGTTGCCCAGACTGGTCTTGAACTGGCCTCATGTGATCCTCCCACTTCTGCCTCACCAAATGCTGAGATTAAGATGTTAGGCACCACACACCACCATCAACATTCTTCTTAACACATTTTGTAAACCTTGTGGAGCCTTCCACTTCAGTGATGATCCCATCAACAGCTAACATTTACCACCTTGGCAGACCGTAAGTCCAAGACACAACTCGACAGGTATAGACTCAAAGCAGACATCATATCTCTGTGTATAGGAAGACACATTTTCTACAGCCTCATGCCACCTTCTCAAGTCTCTCTGGTCCCAGGACAATCGTAACATGGAGATGGATGGCTGGAAGAACAGGAGCTTGACAGCCAAAACTCCAGACCCAAAGAGGAATGCCCCTCGATGACATCTCACCCATCAGCTGCTGCAAACTTGCCTGATCAGTCGTGAACCCCACTTGAGGAGGGACACCGACTGTTAAGTCTCACCCATTCTTAGGACTGTCAGTGTGACCAAAGCTGCCACCTGCAGAGCCCAGGAGAGGAGTCCTCGCCTTTACCCCCTTTCCCATCTCCATCCTTCTCCCCGAAGCCCACAGCTCAGTGCCCTCTCCTGAGGAAGCCTCTGATCCCACAGCCAAGCACAAGATCTAGGCCTGTGGGCACCAACAGGATGGGGCTCTGCAGTCAGGGAGCGTCAGCTCGGTGCAGGTACAGGTGCCTTAGTGACCTATAGGTCAGGGGCATGACCTATGGACCGAATCGAGCCATTCACAGTGAGGCCTCACCTGTCCTGGGATCGCAGGCACACACAGCTCCCCACAACCACTACACACACACACACACACACACACACACGCATTTTAAATTCCCATGAAAAAATTAACTTTGCATATATGGGCCACATGCCCTTCCACATCCTGCTTAAAGCACCTCAACAGCCCCTAAGTTCCTGTTTTGTCAAAATGACTTGCCCTGGAACCGGGCACAGGCAAGGCTGCCCATGTGAGTGTGAGTCTGTTCACCCATCTCTGGTCCACAGCCCACACCAGGGCCTGGTCAGGCTGCCTCCCATCGTCTTCTGCGAGCAGGCCCAGCTGGCATACACAGGTGGCGACCTGGAATCAAGCAATCAAGCAGGTGCCTTCTCTCAGGTCACTCTTCCATACTTGCTGAGGAAAACCACAAAAGACCTCCAAGCTGCTTGAGTTAAAGTCTCCATTTATTTTTATTTTTTTACAAAAATCCAATGTAAGACCATTGTGCTCGTGACGAAAAGGGGTGGGGTGGATGGACGTGGCATGGATATCAAAGCTTCCCCCCACAAACTAGGAGCTCCCCACTCTGTCCGGCGCAGCTCCCAGAAAGATCCCATCCTTCCGGACAGGACCCCAGCTGGTGAGCCCTGGCCTGAGGCACAGTCCACACGGAGGAGCACTGCCCAGGGAGCCAGCGCTCACAGTGGCCTGCAGAGCCCTGGGACGGTGTTATGGTAAGACAGCCCAAACCGGAGCAGCAAGCCGGCCACCCAGAGAACGAGGCGCTCCTGCACCCTGCGAGCCAGGACAAGGTGGCCAGGGGCGGCCCACAGACAGCCAAGGAGACCCGGGGTCTGTGGCGCCGCTTTCCCATCTCAAGCGAGTCACAGGTCGGCGGCTTTCCCGTGGTGAGAAGCACCTGACCAGTGACACTGTGGCCACCTTGCTGCCTCTCGCTGAGGAGGGCGTGCCCCTCAGAGCCTGTCTGCAGTCCTTCAAGCCAGTGTTCCTTTCAGGGTCAAGGAGGGCTGTCCTTGTTGGAAGCACCGGCACCACAGCCCTCCCTGCGGCATGTTTTGGTGTCAGACCACTCAGCCCTTCTTAGATCCACCAGTGACATTCGGGGCCCGACAACCTGGCTCCACTAAAGGGAGAGGCCCTGGCTCCACCACACAGACGGCCCCAGCTCACTGAGTCCCGCTAAAGGGGGTCCCACCACACAGACGGCCCCGGCTCACCGAGTCCCACTGAAGTCAGTATGTGAGTTCCTCACATTAAAAGAAACCAGATGAAATAGCAGCCACAATATAGCGCCACACACCACACTCTTTGGCTCCCCGAGGGAAGAAGGCTACTGCTAAAAGGAATACAAGTCAGGAGTCAGGTAGAGGGCAACTAGAAAGTTCTGAGGAAGGGCGTCTGACCCCCACTGCTGGGAACATAACCACACTGCCTCAGCAGGGGAGCTACAGGCTGATGCTGGGGTTGGGGGCGGGGAACCTTTGGAAACACAGTCCTGGCGGCGGCCGGGTCCGGTTTGCCAATGGGGAGAGTTCCCTTAAGCCGAGCTAGCCCTACAGGTGGGTGGGAGCTACACAAAAGAGCCCAGCTTCAAAACAGTACTTGAAGAGGACCCACGTGGTACAGGCAGGTCAGAGGAGAACGTATTCCAAGAAATAGAAGCACAGGATGCCAAGGTCTAGGGAAGACGGAACTGGCTTAAGGCATGTGCATGACCAGGACAAACCTGAGCTTTTGTTCAGTTGCTAGAAAACTTCCAGAGTCAACTCCACTTCCAGAAAGTAGGGTTCAAGAAACACGTCATGGGCTAAATCCCTGACAAATGCCACTCACACCCTCCTAGGTTCCCCTACTGCCACCGTGACCCAAAAAATTAGCTTATTTCAGTTTCAGCCCAGGGAACAGAATCCTAAGCAGGGAGTGGAAAGTGGTAACTCGGGTTGTGAATGCCCGTTAGATTCCAAGGCTGGATGTGAGCTTACACAGCAAATCACAGCCTCCCATTGTTCTAGCACATACCAAACCTCGGGGAGTCCTACAGCCAAGCTGACATTAGGGGTCCAAAAACCACAGATAACACAGGATGGGGCTCCAGACAGAGGCGGGGGGAAGGTGAATTTCACCAAGGAATTATCCCAAGGCAGGCGCCTTGCTGTAAAACTTCCCGGCCAGCCGGGTGGGTTCCTCGAAGGACACTGGCTTGCTCTACACTAGGGAGAGGAGGCTGACCTGCAAACCACTTCAGACCACAGCAGATGTGCACGCTGCTGATCTCCTGTCCAATCCAAGAAAGAGCACTTCAGAAACGCCTGAGGCCCACAGCACGTGTGTTTCAACAGAAGAGCAGGATAGAAAGAGCCATCTGGGAGTGGCGTCTTCAGCCCCTATTCTTTCTCACTCTTTGCTTCCTCATTCTCTCTCAAACAAGAGAGAAATGGGAGAGCAGGGATAAGTACGGAGGCAAGCCTGGCCTAAAGATAAATCCTCAAAAATCGCTGGCCCCAGCAGCAGGAAGCTGAACAGCCCACCAGGGTCAGGCGCTCCCAGGGATTCACTGGGAAGAGAATGTGAGTTACAGGTTGCTGACTGGCAACAGAAAGGGTAAGGAAGAGACCTTGTCCAGGCCCGCAAGAGGGCCAAGTTCATCCCTTTCTGGTTGCTGCACACAGATGGCGCTGGGGAGGATGGGAGATGATCTTTAAGGATAAGCCAGTGACACAAGGCCAGGACCCATCTCCGCCAGAATACAGAACAAAGGAGCCTGCGCGGTCCCTCCCTTAGAAAGGCAAAACTCACACTCCCCCAGCCAAAAATATATATGTATGCAAGTGTGTGCATGTATTTATATACACACACATATATATAAATAAGCCTTGAATGGCAAATCTGAAACTTTCTCTTTTTAAATAATCATAATAGTTGTTATTGAATGTAAAAACCACGAACCAGCTGTCCTGGGCGTACGAACGGTGTGAGTGACTCTGCAGAGTCGCCACAGTCCTCAGTGTAAGCTATCAGTCAGTGCCCTGTGTGGGGAACCCCGGGGACTCCGCCCAGGGCTCCAGGCCCAGTGTGGCTGACTTCAAGATAAAGGCAGCGGTTTCCTTCCACTCCTCCTGCTGCCCCTTCCAGCAGAGGCTCTGGGCCACCCACCAGCAGATGTGCCCAAGGTCCTGCAATGCCTAGGAACCTTGGGAGCCATCTTCCTCCCTCTGCTCATCCTCTTCCCCAGACCGTGCGCTGCCCCTAGATGAACTTGAAGCACTTGGTCTTGTCATGGGGCAGGCGTGTCTTGAAGAGCACAGAATCCACCCTGAACTGCGTGTACAGGAGGGGCATGTAGCCGTACACCTTCACGAAGAAGTTGATGCACTTGTGCCGCTCGTGGAAGTGGGAGTCATCATGAGACAGGGCCTGAGGGCATCCTGGGCATCGGAATGTCCACCGTGAGGTCACCTGGAAACGGGAGAGAGAGACAGAGTGGGAATCCCAGCTAATACTGACAGAACCCTTGCAGCTGAGCCGATCCCACACTCCCATGTCCATGGTGAAGACGCTGATCCCCTCAGGGGCAACATCCCTGCAGAGCATGGCAGGAACCAGAGCCCGGCCCCAGGCCTCCTGCCTACCAGATGTCTCCAGAACATTGTCAGGTATTCTGTTGAGATGGCCTACGCTTCTCAGATGCCAAAAGCCTTAACGTGTGTAGTGTCAGCTGTCTCAGTAAGTCTACTCCTAGTATGTACTTGGTTGCAGAGCCATAGGTAGGTACCGAGTTGTTTGTTTCATCAATGTTTTGAATCAAAATATTGAAGACTACCCAAAGAGGGGCTTTGGGTATTGAAGACTACCCAAAGAGGGGCTAGTCAAAGAGGGGCTATCATTCTTGAATACTGTCCATAAAAAAGATGCTTAACTACATTTAAAGCCATGGGAAAGTGGCCATACTACAGTCTAGTCATATTATTATTAATTAGAAAATGTCTAACTAAAAAAGTATGAAGAGGGACAGCTTCATTACAATGTGGCAGGCCGAATGGCATAAAAACCCCTCAGAACACCTGAACATGCAAGAAGAAATACATAAACCATCTCTTTAAATACAGGGCAGAGCCTGTAATAAGAAATGAAATTACCTGGTGATTAATTCCAGCACTTTGGGAGGCCAAGGCAGGAAGATCGCTTGAGCCCAGGAGTACAAAACCAGCCTGGGCAACAAAGCAAAACCTCATCTCCACAAGAGATAAAAATATTAGCTGCGTGTGGCAGCAGGCCAGCTATCTGGTGTAGTCCCAGCTACTTGGGAGGCTGAGATGGGAGGCTGCTTGAGCCCACGAGTTTGAGGCTGCAATGAGCTATGATGGTACCACTGCACTCCAGCCTGGGTGACAGTGAGACCCTGTCACTCACTCACATACATACATGCATGCATGAATAAACAATGAATAATGAATGAATGAATGAATGAATGAATGAATGAATGAATGAAATCCTCAGAGGCCAAACAATGAAAAAGCAAATCCTGCAAGATAGCCATGAACTTGGGTTTTAAATGGGCTGGAGAAGTGACACCTGCAAAGCGGGCTGGGGGCCTTTGGAAACACTGGCTCCATGGAGGGGAGCAGGGAGGGGTGGACGCCTCACAAAGAAAGATGGGGAAGAAGTGTCTTTAAATTTATCTTCTACTTCCTTTTCTTTTCACCTAAGTCTGATCTTTTTATCCCATTTCACTGAAATTTAATAACTATGATTCTCATTTTCAATAGTTCCATTTAGGGCTTTCCAATCTGTTTGTTCTTTTTGGAGTGATTTGTTGCTTTTTTATGTTTTCAGGTTACTAATTTTAAGCCTACTTGTTTTATAGTCTATCTAATGGCTTTATTATTTGAAATCCTTGGAGAACTATAACCTGTTTGTTATATGTGTTCACTCCTGCTCATGATCAGCTGTTTTCTTGGTGGCTGACTGTTGACTTTACATTTCAAGCTCATCTTCAATGAGGCTTTACCTGTGCGTGTCCTATGTGACCTGAGGTGAAGAAATTTCTCTTTTTCTTAAGTGGGAACTTCCTCTGCTGAGAGTAATTTCTCCTTATAACAGATTTTTGGTTTTATTTTGTCAAACAGTCCAAGGGTATCGACGACTGGGTCTAGTTTTCTTTTTTGTTTTTTCCCTGGGGACTCCCCATATTGCCCAGGCTGGTCTGGAACTCCTGGCCTCAAGAAATCCTCCTGCCTCAGCCTCTCAACATGTTGGGATTACAGACTTGAGCCATCTCATGTGGCCCTGGGTCTAGATTTCATACAGAATGAGTCCCTAAGCCCATGGAGGCTCAAAAGACTATTTAACATTCTCAACCTACACTTCCCCAACAACCTGTCAGAGTCAAGGTTAAAATAAACAAGGTATGTGTCATCTCCCCGGGGCAACGGGTAGGAGATCTCCATTCTAATTCTCCACCCTTAACAGGCTCTACACTCCTTCACATGAGTGATAAAATCCAAGCCTCTAGACAACTAAGGTGAGAGCAGCCCCCCATGGTGGCCTCAGTGATGCCACCACGCTTGCCACCCTAAGTTTTAGTCCTCCCACCTGCTTCCTTTCTGGCAATTCTCTTACCTTTTTATTAGCTCAACTATACACTGAAAAAATAAGTTTGTTACTTATAGTGATCAGGTTTTCAAACTACCTAATCCACTATAGTACAAAACCCAAAAATTTACTGTCAAGTTTTTTTTTTTTTTGAGACAGTCTCACTCTGTCTCCCAGGCTGGAGTGCAGTGCGGTGATCTCGGCTCACTACGAACTCCGCCTCCCAGGTTTATGCCATTCTCCTGCCTCAGCCTCCCGAGTAGCTGGGACTACAGGCGCCTGCCACCACACCTGGCTAATTTTTTGTATTTTTAGTAGAGATTGGTTTTGCTGTGTTAGCCAGGATGGTCTCGATCTCCTGACCTCGTGATCTGCCCGCCTCAGCCTCCCCAAGTGTTGGGATTACAGGCATGAGCCACAGCGCCCAGCCTACTGTCAAGTTTTTAAAAAGCAGACTGCAAATCAAGTATATAAATTTAAAATATAAAAATAAGGCCAGATGTGGTGGTTCCCACCTGTAATCCCAGCACTTTGGGAGGCCAAGGTGGGCGGATCACTTGAGCTCAGTTTGAGGCCAGCCTGGCCAACATGGCAAGACCCTGTTTCTACTAAAAATACAAAAAAATTAGCTGGGCATGGCGACACATGCCTGTAATCCCAGCTGCTGTGGAGGCTTAAGCAGGAAAATCACTTGAACCCGGGAGGCAGAGGTTGCAGTGACCTGAGATCGTGCCACTGCACTGCAGCCTGGGTGACAGAGCGAGGCTCCATCTCAAAAAAAAAAAAAAAAAAGAAAAAGAAAAAATACATATATACGTATTTTTACACACATATGTGTATATATATATGTATGTATAAATAAATAAGTCACCACGATAGACAGGATACCAGAGAACCAAAAGAAATAAGCCAAAAGTTTTGGTACTTTTGATTTCTTTCTGCATGTCTATCTTTTCTCAAATAATTTTTAAATTTCCATTATAAATTAAGGGGAAATTTTTTAATTGAAAGACACATCCCATAACTTAATAGTGGAAGAGTAATCATTGTGTACAGCCAGTATGCGCCGTCAGAGCCCAGGTCCCAGAGTTTAAACTGGGAGGAGACACAGGCCAGTGCTCAAAGGGTGGCTCCCCTCAGAACCGAGTCTCTGGACAGTCATGACCTCCACAGGTCCCCCTCCAGGGTCCCACCTGTCTCCTCACTTCTCCCCTCACTCACTGCTGCTCTCTTAGAACCCTTCGGGATCACGTCAGCACTGAGTTATTGCTCTTCCACGGTTCCCACTGGAGCAGGATGTAGGGGTCAGGAATCTGGGGAAGGATGTTCTCAAACAGCATCTATGTCCAGTATTCCATGGGGCTCTCACTGGATCTAAAAACCTTTCTCATCATTCCAGACACCAGAATCCAACCCCAGGAGAAATGCCCTTTAACCTGCACATTATTCCATGTGACACAAAAGGTGACTTTATAACTGTTGTTTTCACGGAAGCAGTGGTTTCCAAATGTTTTAATCATGTAATCCATCAGTAAAAAAAACATTTAAGCTGGGTGCGGTGGCTCACACCTGTAATCCCAGCACTTTGGGAGGCCAAGGCGGGCAGATCACGAGGTCAAGAGATCGAGACCAGCCTGGCCAACATGGTGAAACCCCTTCTCTACTAAAAATATAAAAATTAGCGGGGCGTGGTGGCACACGCCTATAGTCCCAGCTACTCAGAAGACTGAGGCAGGAAAATCGCTTGAACCCGGGAGGCAGAGGTTGCAGTGAGCCGAGATTGCACCACTGCACTCCAGCCTAGCAAAAGAGCGAGACTCCATCTCAAAAAAGAAACAAAAAACCATTTAAGACTGCATCCCCAATATATTTGTAAATATATAACTGTGTTACATAATAAAACATGCAAAAAATTTAAAAAGAATGAAGCAACTATAATATTAACTGAAGTCTGGACATTTACTTATTTAACCAATATCGTGGATCACAGTTTACATGGAAGATTCCAGGTAACTCAATCTAAGAAAAATATTCGTTTTATGCTTAGTAACAATGAGGAAAATCCTTGATAGCTGCCAAGAACCTATATCACCCCAGAGAACCAAGACGTTCACTTGCATTTCGGCTTCCTTACCACCTAAGCCATCTGTTTTCTCAAAACTTTACAGGTGACTTTTCAATCTCTTATCCTGAATGAAGCCTATTTATATTCTGTGTTCTCCTTGCAAAAGTAGTACATTATTCAAAGAAATAATATGACATTAACTCCCCATTCGTTAGTCAATATTAAGATATTAACATTATTGAAAGAACACTGCCAATCATACGAAGCAGTCAAACCTCCCTAACTCAAACAAGGAATAGTTTGACAGTAAAAATTTGAGGTATTTAAAGCACAACAAAAAAATTACTATTTTTGAACATAAAATAGTACATATACCTGATACCATTAAAATTAGGTAAATAAAATATTTAATTCAAACTGGTTCTTTATTATGAAGTAAATAATTAGATTCATAAGTTGAAGGAATTACTAAGAGTTAGAAAACACTCTTAATTTCAGCCTTTGAATTTGAAAAGTCATCCCAATCTTGAATTCTTCATATATTCCAGAAAGATGAAGAAAATTCACAGAGAATACTCAGTTTTGAAGTTTTCACTTGGTAAGAATCATGTGCACCATGTCTAAATTACTTCCACCTGCACTGAAGAGATGGCTTAACTAATGAAACACTGGCCTAATAATGCAGTAGACAAACACACTTTAACAAAGATGAAAAATTCCCCATGTCTGTGCCTGCTCAGGTAACTGATGCTATTATTAGGTACCTAATCACTCAGATACTTTAAATTTTCATGGACCATGTCTTCTGGTCTACTAGAGAGGCATAAATTGATGCATACATCTTGACTCAAGTCCAGTCCCTGGCTACATAAGAAAGGATATATAAGGAAGAGAAAATTGCACCCATCATTAATTGCTTTCTAAAACCTTTGCCTCCCTACCTCAAAGTCTACAAAATCTTTTCACTGTTTAATATGAGACCTACCACTGTACCTGGAAAACATACTGTTTTTATATAAATACTTGTGACTATTTTTCACAATTTAAAAAAATTGATACATTATGTTGCTAATTATTCTTCTCTTGTGAGGCTTTAGCAGAAGTCTCGGCAACAGATGAAACCCTGGGACAATCAGGAGTGACATCCTACGCAGGGGCCACAGTTGGCCTCCACATGCATTTCTTTGTTATGCTTTGCTGCATGGAACCAGCGTCCTCTGGTGGCCACCCTGCTTAGCACTCAAGCTACGACTTCTTTCTCACTACAATGCCCAGGCTGGAGTGCAGTGGCTATTCACAGACACGCCCATGGCACATTCAGCCTTGAACTCCTGGATTCAAGCAATCCTCCTGGCTCAGCCTCCTGAGTAGCTGAGACTACCAGGCATGTGCCACTACACCCAGCTTCTAAAGATGATTTCATTATCGTTATTAGTACATGCTGGTGGGTACTTAGTCTAGAACACAATTATTATTATTATTATTTTCTTTTTGAGACGGAGTCTCACTCAGTCACCCAGGCTGGAGTGCACTGGCATGATCTCAGCTCACTGCAATCTCTGCCTCCTGGATTCAAGCGATTCTCCTGCCTCAGCCTGCTGAGTAGCTGGGATTACAGGCGCATGCTACTGTGTGTGCGTGTGTGTGTATTTTTTTTTTTTTTGAGATGGAGTCTCGCTCTGTCACCCAGGCTGGAGTGCAGTGGCGCGATCTTGGCTTACTGCAACCTCCGCCTCCAGGTTCAAGTGATTCTCCTGCCTTGGCCTCCTGAGTAGCTGAGACTACAGGTGCGTGCCACCACGCCTGGCTAATTTTTTATATTTTTAGTAGAGACAAGGTTTCACCGTGTTAGCCAGGATGGTCTTGAGCTCCTGACCTTGTGATCCACCTGCCTCAGCCTTCCAAAGTGCTGGGATTATAGGCGTAAGCCACTGCGCCCAGCCTAATTTGTATATTTTTTAGTAGAGTCGGGGTTTCACCATGTTGGCCAGGCTGCTCACGAACTCCTGACCTCAAGTGATCCGCCTGCCTCAGCCTCCAAAAGTGCTGGGATTACAGGCATGAGCCACCGCACCCAGTCGAACACAACTATTTACTCATGGCAATGTCACCCATGAAGGTAAACCTATTTCATAAAATTAAATAATATGCCTTTTTGATAATAATGAAAATAAGACCTCATTAGTTTGTTGACCCTTCTAAGGACATCAGGTATAAATCTCTTACTGGAATTTAGCATTTTCTTCAATTATGAAACAGACAAACACAGACGAAGCACAGTCACAAATATTCATTTGGAGTGACAGATTCTATAGCATTATTGGTTCTAATAACATCTGCTTCTGTGAGGACTGAGCTATCCTAACCCTTACCAGCATGCTCTAACTTGCTGACAGAGCCCACAAAGATGACAGGAAGTGGGTGGAACCAGGCTTTCTGTGCACTGAGTGTATGTGTTAATACCTCCAAGAAAAAAACACAACAATACCCTCAGAACTTCTAGAATTCTGAGGGTATTTTTGGTTGTGAGCAAATAATTTATATAGTACTTATGTGCCAGGCACTATTCTTAGAGCTTTACATATATTAACTCAGAAATTCTTAAGTTTTTTGTTTGATGGACATCGCCTGTGCCTCTGGCTTGGCAATCTGGTCAAGACTGTAGACTCCTCAAAGTAATGTTTTTAGGTATATAAACTACAATACACAGGATGACAAAGGAAACGAGTTACAGTAAAACACAGTGACATACATGCTCTTTTCTTAATGTATTAAATCACAACATCTAGGGGAAAGGGAGTAACTGCCGTGAATTCAAAGCAGTAACAAATACAAACAATACTTTTTGCAGATATTGCAATAAAGGTATTGTGATATGAAGATATCAGTGATTTCTACTGGTGACAAATCAGTTACTACAAATACTCTTATGAATTATAGCCTGTTTCATAACTGAAGAAAATGCTTTATTCCAGTAAGACATTAATAAAAATAATGATGCAACATCTTTCCCACCCAAGTTCCAAACCTTCTGATTTCTATCCATTGCCCTTAGGAATGAAGGGCCCCTGTAGTAACAACTCATTTAAGCTCACAGACAATCCTTTGATGAGGTAGGTAGTATCATCCCTATTGTACAAATGAGGACTCTGAGGTACAGTGCAGTTACGTGCTGCACTACTGCAAAACAAGTGAAGTAAACATGCACGCATCCACAGCCCCACCAGTGGTGGGACCTCACCTTGATGGGGGGCTTCCGAGTGATGTGGGAGACAAGGAAGTTCATGGCAATGTCCTCACAGTTGATGTATTCATCCACCATGTCCCGGATGGCCTGGGGCATCACATAAGAATACAGGTAGGCATAATACTGTCAGGGGAAGAAAAAGAACCACATGCTCTGTTACAAGACACAGGTTGTTGGCTTTCAGCCAAAATATGCATGGATGGAGGGGCTGTTTGGGTGTGGCAGTAACTAGGAGGTATTACTGGCACTTAGGGACTGGGGCAGGGGATTCGAGACATCCTGTCGTGTGGATCTTCTGCAGTGAGGAATTATCCCATTCAAACTGCCATCATCACCCCCTTTAGTAACAGAATGTCATATCATCTCCCTGGTACCGCAGTGATTTTGAAATCAATACAAAGATTTGTCAAACTAGGTCAGATGCTGGTTCAATTGAACACTATTTTATCTCTAACAATGGCCAAAAAAAAAAAAAAAGATAAGTGAGAGAAAAAAGCCTGGTTATTTTCTCAGACCTCAATAAATCACAGAACCATGAAACACACGATCCCTCACTGCCTCCTGTACAGATTCTTGAGTCTGGTCAGTACTCGCCATCGGCCCTGGCTACTCCCTGCTGCCAACCACCTTCGTCTCTTGCCTGGATTCTCCACATCAGCTCCTAAATATTCTCCCTGCTGCCATATTCTCTTCCCCATGTGCTAGTCCCAGCGCAGCAGGTGATTGTGTTAACACTCAAACCAACTGAACATATCACCCCTTCGCTCCAAAGCCTCCAACACTTCCCATCTCACTCAGAGTAAAAGGCAAAGTTCTCAGACTGTCCTACAAGGCCCACAGAGGGGTGTGTTGGAGCCACTCACACCTGCTCATGAATGGCGCTTTCTACATTTTCAGAATGTTGTCAGCTTGTTGTTAAACATAGCCATTATTAAAGATGTAATTACATAAACTTCAAATTAAATAAATTAAAATTATATTAAAAATCCATGCAATAAACACCTTAAACTCATTACTTCCTAGTTAATATTTTACTATTAACTTGAGGTTACCTATATCTACTGTTGATGTTGAAATTACTATGTAATGGTGTACAACTGTGTATCTCTTCCCAAATCCGTGTTCAGTGACTCATGTTGATAACTTCAAATCAGCCAAGGTAAGAGTATTTATACCATAGAAATCAGCAAATACTACAAGACAGGGCACATGTTAACTGCTATATGTTGCAATTTGCTGTAATGAACAAATGAATAGGTGAGGTGCCCAGTTAAACTGATTAACTGATGAACATATTGCATTACCTACAATATAATATGTTGAGTGAAATAATGATAAAATTTTTTTGTAACACAGAATAAATGTGCTAATTATCTTATAGCAAAGTACTTAAGAGTTGGTGAACTTAAAAAAATGAATTGTAATTTTTTTTTTAACAAAAAGGTGATCCAGGCTGGGCATGGTGGCTCATGCCTGTAATCCCAACACTTTGTTTGGGAGGCCAAGGTCGGTGAAATGCTTGAGCCCAGAAGTTCAAGGCCAGCCTGGGCAACACAGGGAGAAGACCCCATAGCTACAAAAAAATAAAAAATTGGCCAGATGTAGTGGCATGTGCCTGTACTGCCTGCTACTCAGGAGGCTGAGGTGAGAAGATCACTTGAGCCTGGGAGTTCTAGGCTGCACTGAGCCATGGTTGTGCCACTGCAATCCAGCCTGGGTGACAGTGAGATTCCGTCTCAAAAAAAAAGAGTAAGAATAAATAAAATAAAATAAATACACTTTTTAAAAAAGGTAATTCAAATTTATTGACCCTTTAAATGGCCAGTGACTGTCCTTCGTATGCTGATGAGAATATATTAACATAACACGTCTTGAAAGAAATGACATTTTAACAATAAGAACTGCCTTTTAATAATAATTTAAAAAAAACTGATGAAAGCATTATCAGAATAACTGTTCAGAGGTATTTCCATCAGTATGTGGTTTTGCTGTCAAAAATGATTTATGTTGACCAGGCGCAGTGGCTCACGCCTATAATCCCAGCACTTTGGGAGGCCAAGGCGGGTGGATCACTTGAGGTCAGGAGTTCGAGACCAGCCTGGCCAACAGGGTGAATCCCAGCTACTGGGGAGGCTGAGGCAGAAGAATTGCTTGAACCCAGGAGGCAGAGACTGCAGTGAGCCAAGATTGCACTACTGTACTCCAGCCTGGAGAAAGAAGCGAGAAGACTCCATCTCAAAAAGAAGAGAAAAAAAAAAGTTTAATTTAGAAACAGACCTGACTTGCTATAACACACAGTATCCAATCAAGATTTTCAAAAATAATAAAACATATTCAATCCTACTGCTTTCACTAAAATTTAAGAATTGAGTGATCACATTATTTTAAAGTTTTGTTTCATCGTTATTTCAACCTCTAAAAAATATCTATCAGTAATAGACACATGCATAAAATTTATAAGTAAATATACATATATATTAGGTACAGGTCTAAAAAGTGTTATTGACAGGCACTTATGATTTTAAAAAAAAAGAAAAAAACTTGACAGCTGTTGATCAGAGAGGACCAATCTAACTGCTTTCGTGGACCAAGCAAGTAAGACAAATGAGTGTAAAGAAATGGGTGTAGGCCGGGTGCTGTGGCTCACGCCTGTAATCCCAACACTTTGGGAGGCCAAAGCGGGCGGATCATGAGGTCAGGAGTTCAAGACCAGCCTGACCAACATGGTGAAAACCCATCTCTACTAAAAATACAAAAATTAGCCAGGTGTGGTGGCATGCTCCTGTAATCCCAGCTACTCGGGAGGCTGAGGCAGGAGAATTGCCTAAACCTAGGAGGTGGAGGTTGCAGGGAGCCGAGATGGTGCCACTGCACTCCAGCCTGGGCCACACAGCAAAACTCAGTCTCATAAAAATAAAAAAAGAAATAGGTGTAAGAAAAACGAGGAGCCACAGGCAGGTAAGCGCATGAAGGCCCCATCATGGGCCTCAACTACAGGAGCAGCCGCCATGACGCCCCAGACAGGACCTCAGAGGACCTGATCTTCATTTGTATTGCAGCTCAGGTCTTTTTGTGAAATCTTGTGATTTTTAGAAGTTGTCAGTGCATAGGACAACACTAGAGGGCCCAAAAATCTCTCTGTAAGCCAACTGAGGTTTGGGCGCTGCTAGTCTGTAATCTTCTTTATAGATTTTCACACAGGAAAAATACTAAATTTCATTAAGTAAATGATTTCTTGAAAGTAGAGGTACCTGACCATTCATGGTTTTAAAGAACAGTCTGAATCTGGGAAGGCAATTCAGAAGATAAGTACATCCTCAAGGTATGAGTAGACGCTGCTAAGATCAGTGGCTCCTTCTTAGCTGAGCAAGTGTGAAAATCTTGGCCAGTTGCTGACACCCTAATCCTCTGACTCTACTTGCAATCCTCAGTCCAAACAAGGCCCACCGAAGGAAAGGAAGTCCTGAGGTGAAGTGCAAGAATGGGATGAGTGTATCAACTTCACACATTAAGTTTTTAAAAGAAAAAGAACAGCTGAAAGTTTAACGACTGCTTAGGCTGGTTCAAACGTCCCTATATGTCAGGCACGGTTCCTCACATCTGTAATCCCAACACTTTGGGAGGCTAAGGCGGGCAGATCGCTTGAGTCCAGGAGTTCGAGACCAGCCTAAGCAACATGGCGAAACTGCATCTCTATAAAAATTACCAAAAAAAATTAGCCAGGTGTGGTGATGCGTGCCTGTAGTCCCAGCTACCCAGGAGACAGAGGCAGGAGGGTCACCTGGGCCCAAGAGGTGGAGGCTAAAATGAGCTGAGACCCCACCATTACACTCCAACCTGGGCGACAGTGAGACCCTGTCTTAAAAAATTAAAAAAGTCCCTATAAAAATGAATTTTATTGTTCTATTTGAGGTGACTGGCAAGATGCCACCATCTGAGATGGGAGATATGTAAGGGAGAAAAGACTTCAAGGAGCTAGGGAGAGACGGTGAGCTTTCCTGGGAAAAGTTTACCTGAAGTGTCTGAGGGACAAACGGGAGATATGCTGGAAACAATGAAATATACAAACGCAGACCTCAGCAAGAAAGGCCAAGGCTGGAATACAGATGAGGAAATTACCAGCCTGCAGATGCTAAGAAAAGCCTCAAAACCTTGTGTGTGAGACAGAACGCCTAGGGAAAATAAGAAGAGCAACAGAGGCTAGACCCCGGGACACTTCACCATTCATGCAGAGAGAGTGGTGGGAGGGTCTTCCGTGAGGACAGTGGAGGCACCAGAACCATGGAGGGCATGGATGCAGACAAAGAGAAGGAGGCAGGTGCCACCGTCTTTGGTGACTGTCAGGGCACGATGAAAAGGCTGGTTGATGGCAGCAAGACAGACGACAGGAGCTGCAAATGAGACTTTATGTGACAGCTGGGAGGGAAGTGTCATTGGTAAGCAATGAAAATGTTCCCTACACCTGCCCTGTGCCAAAGCACAGATGTGGGGAAATGAGTGCCTCAAAGTCTACAGGAAAAGGCTAATGGGAGCACTGTCCTCAGAGAAGACTCAGGGCACAGAAGAGGTGCTCTGTGTGGTGGGCAGTGGGGGTAATGCCAGGGTAATCTTAGAACAGGGACTCCTCAGGGCCCGGGAACACTTCAGGAGGGAGGTAGAGAGCGGCACTCACGGACACAGAAGGCAAACCACATACAGCACTGTAAACTTTCTAGAAGCTACATCGTTAAAAAGTAAAAAGAGACAGTAAAAATCAATAACTGTATTTAACCCAGTAATCCAAACTAACTGCATTTCAAGATGCAATCAACACAAACAATTACTGAGCTATCTGACACCCTTTGTTACAAGTTTTTGAAAGCTGTTGTGCACTTTACACTGAACAGCACGTCTCCATTCTGACCAGTCATGCACCAGGTGATCAGCAGCCACTTGTGGTCAGGGGCCACTTTACAGGATGGAAGAGGTAGAGAGGGAAGATGGGCCAGGAGAAAAAAACAGAATACAGAACAGTAGAGGAGGAAAGACTGCAGGGTCCTAAGCTTCAGATATTCAGTGAAAATCAGATTAGGAGGCACAGTGAAAGTAATAAGCACTAAAGCATCACAAAGAACTGGCAGAGCCACACAGAGGCTCATCGTGGGGCCCGGGACAGGCATGGTATATCTAAGTCAGAAAAGTGCCCAGGTCACCTTCTGATGGCTGGGCCATATCTAGGGTGGCAGTGTTAAAACTGGAAGGTATTTGAGGTGTCTTTAGCCCAGTGCCCTCAGTTTTACAAACGGAGAGCCAACGCCCAGAAAGATAAAGTGGTTTCCAAATGGCCTATGTGCAACTGTACAGGCAGCCCTCTCATCTTGACTTTTTATCCCAGAGTTGCTCTAAGCATCTTGATCATTGTCTGTAAAAATAGAAAAAACTGACTTCTAGCACAAAAGAAACATGTAAGAAGCGTTAGGAGAGCTAAGCTGAGGGCAGCATTCCGCTACCACACAAAGGTGAAACTCTCACCAAGTCGATGCCATTATTACCAGCTTTTTCTTACCTTGTGAAAGAAGGCAGCACCTGTCAGCACCATGGACAGCTCACAGGAGTAGTTGGAGTTGTAGAGCCAGGACTGATGGGGGATGTCCCATGCGTGGTAACGGCCAGGGAAGCCCACGATGCGGTCCCGAGCTTCTCTCCACACCCTTGAAAAACACAAGTGCATACACAGACCTGAATACAGAGCTCTAGGGTCATCAGAAGTGTTCACAGTTATTGCCTCCACCTTACAAGCTCTGGCCCTTAGGCTTTTACTTCTCGTATCCTTTCAAAATAAAACAAAATCAACAACAAGCCAAACAGGATAAAAGCAAATAAGGTATCATATTCAGCTTCCTTAATAAGCACCTGCACATTGTCCCTCTAGCAGTCAGCATCCTCCAGCCCTTCCAGAAAGAATAAGCCCTAAGTTTGGAAAGGGGATCTCCAGAATGGGGTATGTACAATATCTACTAAGGAGGGCTCCAGAATGGGGTATATACAATAATCTACTAAGCAGCAGAAAGATGATATCAATTTCAATTCTTTTTTTAGCTTATTTAATTTCCAAGAAAGGGCTTGGTGGGATGGCTCATGCCTGTAACCTCAGCACTTGGGAGGCCAACACAGGAGGATTGCTTGAAGCAAGGAGCTGGAGACCAGCCTGGGCAACATAGCAAGATCCTGTCTCTACAAAAAAAAATTTTTGTTTGTAATTAGCTGGGTATGGTGGAGCACACCTGTACTACCAGCTACTTGGGAGGCTGAGGTGGAAGGACTGCCTGATTCTAGGAGTTCAAGGCTGCAGTTAGCTATGATTGCACCACCTCCCTTGGCCTGAGCAACAGAGCAAGATCTGGCTCTAAAAATGAATGAATGAACAAGCATTTTCTAAGAAAGGCTTTGTTTTTAATAAGCATGACATATTAGTTCAGAAGGACATGTATGTAATTTACATATATTGCACACTTTTCTTTTACAGAGAAGGAACATAATAAAAAGGTTTAGAGAGCACTGGTTTAACCACAGAAGACTACTGAACTGCACCACTCCTAATTCCAAATTTGAGCAGGGCTGACGGAGAAACATGTATGATGAGAAGTGGCCTACAGAACCATACAACTGAAAGGTTTCATTAAATGGAAGAAATAAATGGAGACTTCAGTATGTTTCAGTAGAAACTTCTATATCATCTCCAAATTTATAGGTAAATTAGAACAAATAAAATTGGTCCCCAGTTTCACAGGATAAATTGGAGAACTGAAAGCGTTTAAGCTCCACAGGACCTGACAGGCCTGCAGAAAGGCTGCCAGAGATTTAAACTGCCTGCAAACTCCCTCATCACTTACATGGAACTTCAGTTCCTAAGACACAGAAGATTTTATTTCAACAGAGTTCCTCTCCTAATAAGTCTAGAAGCATCTAATCTAATCCAAAAGAGGAGAAATCACAACTTCTATCACAATGTAACAGCCTTCTAGGTGGGTTTTTTTAGACAACTGATTTTTTTTAAATTGTGGCAAAACAAACATAAAATATACCATCTTAATCATTTTTAAATGTATGGTTCAGTGGCATTACGGACATTCACAGTGTCGTGCAACCATCCCTGCCATCCATCTCCAGAACTCTTTCATCTTCCCAAACGGAAACTCTGTCCCCATTAAACACTAATCCCCACTCCCACCTTCCCACAGCCCGGCAGCCCCTATTCTACTCTCCGTCTCTATGAATGACTACCTAGGGGCCTCACATAATGGAACCACAGTATTTATCCCTCTGAGTTGTTTGCACTTCTGTTACGAATAACGCTGCTCTGGCCATTTGTGTATTCCTTTCTGTATGGACACATGCTCTCAAGTCTCTTGGTATACCTTTTCTGTCCCTTATGATTGATTGTATCTGCCTCTTTCTTGGCTACCTAAGTTGAAGTGAGTCAAGATCTATCTTTGCCAGAAGAAAGAATTCTTAGACTTACCCTTTCCTTTGAACTTAGGTCTGTTTCATTCCCATTAAGGTGAAATAAGCAAATTGGGGAGATTAATAAGAGAAAGGTTTTAGATCAAAGGATGCCCAAATGCATGAGAAAAGGGTCAGGGTAGGAAAAGGTTAGGATGTATAGACAGCAATGATAATTCACCAGCTCCATTACCAGAGGCTAAATCTCAAACATGAATGACAGTTAAGAGACACATTAAAAGGCTTCCCATTATTCTCTCACCACCTGCAAATCTGCTGGAAAATAGCACGGGCAAGGTAAGAAGTCCCTAAATCAGGGGCTTGGAAGCTATGTTAATGCCAGCTATGTTAATAGGCTTCAAACTCCTTAAAGCTGGGCTCCTTATCAAAATCATTCTTGGATCTAAGGGTTGGCAGTTCTCCTGTTAACACTCCACGACTATGCTCACCACGCCAGTCCTTCGGCACGCTCCAAACTGCATCACGCTGCAGCATAAACACACTCCCTACCGCCCACCCCCACCACTACCACCTGCAGCAGCAAAGATCATGCCTGGAGTTACTGCATGGCTTTTTTCCTTTCATAAAAACAAGTGGAGAGAGTCAGCTACTATTATCGTGTAAAAAAAATACACCTCGGTTTACCAGGATTTTTTTTTTAATCACAGCTGTCAATAGACTTGGTTCAATAATACACTAAGCAAGAGGTCAAAGGAAATGTGAGAGGCTGGGTGGGGGAGAATAAGAACAGATGTTCTAATTTTTCAGAAATGTGTCAAATCATTCTTTACAGATGGATTTAAGACAGATGAGCAATAAAGCCTCTGCTCCTTTTATCTGAGCATCTGCTCTTACAAGCCTAAGCCAAAGGCAGCTCCAGAGCCAGGTAGGTCAGGTTAGGCCTTCAGTGAACAGAATGGAAGCACAGAGAAAGAACTCTCTCTATCCTGGATCCACACTTAATTTGAAAAAGATCGCCAAAGAAATCTACTCCAGTGTTTTTTTTGTTTTGTTTTGTTTTGTTTTGTTTTAGCTCTGTTGCCCAGGCTAGAAGTGGCATGATCTTGGCTCACTGCAACCTCCACCTCCTGGGTTCAAGCAATTCTCCTGTCTCAGCCTCCTGAGTAGCTGGGATTACAGGCGCACGCCAACACGCCCCGCTAATTTTTATATTTTTAGTAAAGGCAGGGTTTCACCATGTTGGCCAGGCTGGTCTCAAACTCCTGACCTCAGGTGATCCACCTGCCTTGGCCTCCCAAAATGCTGGGATTACAGGTGTAAGCCACTACACCCGGCCTCCAGTGGTTTTCAAATGATGTGGGGAAGAACTAATTTTTCCCCAAAATTATTATAGATTAATACTTTGGTAAAATACAACAAAAATGAACTGCCTGGTTTCTTAAATATGACATCCAAAGCACAAGCAACCAAAGAAAATAGATCCACTGAACTTCAAAACACGAACCCTGTGCTTCAAATAATACCATCAAGAAAGCAAGAAAATAACCCATGGAATGGGAGAAAATTGTGCAACTCCAATCACTGATAATGGACTTGCATCTAGAATATATAAAGAACTCTTATAACGTGATAATAAAAAGACAATCCTGGCCTGGTGCGGTGGCTCATGCCTGTAATCCCAGCACTTTGGGAGGCCGAGGCGGGCAGATCACCTGAGGTCAGGAGTTCGAGACCAGCCTGACCAACATGGTGAAACCCTGTCTCTACTAAAAATACAAACATTAGCCAGGCATGGTGGCAGGCGCCTGTAGTCCCAGCTACTTGGGAGGCTGAGGCAGGAGAATGGCGTGAACTCGGGAGGTGGAGCTTGCAGTGAGCCAAGATCACACCACTGCACTCCAGCCTGGGTAACAGAGCGAGACTCTGTGTCAGAAAAAAAAAAAAAAAGACGACAATCCAAACAAAAATGGGCAAAGAATGTGAAAAGCCGTTTCTCCAAAGAAGATATACAAAGGCTAACTGATCAATAAGCGCATGAAAAGAAGCTCAACATCATTGAGAGAAATGCAAATCACAACTGTATGGCCGGGTGCTGTGGCTCATGCCTGTAATCCCAGCACTTGGGAGGCTTGCTCGAGGCCAGGAGTTTCAGACCAGCTTGAACAATAAAGTGAGAACCCATCTGTACAAAAAAAAAAAAAAAAATGTAAAGATTAGCCAGGTGTGGTAATGTGAGCCTGTAGTCCCCGCTACTCAGGAGGATCACTTGAGCCCAGGAGTTCAAGGTTACCACATGCTAAGATTGCACCACTGCACTCCAGCCTCAGCAACAATGTGAGACCCCATCTGTGTGTGTGTGTATATATACACACATACACACACACACACATTTATATATAAAATTAGTTATCACTTTACAATGACTAGGACGGCTATAAATTTTGAAAATGGAAAATAACAAGCATTGACGAAGATGTGGAGAAGCTAGAACCTTCATACACTGCTGGTGAGAATGCAATATGGGGCTGCCACCGTGAAAAACAGCCTGACCGGCTCAAAATGTTAAAGCAGCTATCATGATCCACCCACATTACTCTTAGGTATCCACTCAAGAGGAATGACATGTTCATACAAAAACTTGCGCATGAAGGTTCACAGCATTATTCATAATAGCCAAGAAATAGAAATGACCCAAATATCCATCAACAGAAAATGAATGAAGAACTGGTACCTGGGCTGGGCACCGTGGCTCATGCCTGTAATCCCAGCACTCTGGGAGGCCGAGGCGGGCAGGTTGCCTGAGCTCAGGAGTTCAAGATCAGCCTGGGCAACATGGTGAAACCCCATCTCTACTAAAATACAAAAAATAAAATTAGCTTGGCATGGTGGTGGTCCATACCTGTAATCCCAGCTACTCGGGAGGCTGACATGAAAGAATCGCTTGAACCTGGGAGGCAGAGGTTGCAATGAGCTGAGATCAAGCCACTGCACTCCAGCCTGCGCAACAGAGTGAGACTCCATCTCAAAATAAAAAAGAACTGGTACCTGCTACAAGATGGATGAACCTTGAAAACATCATGTTCCGTGAAAGAAGAGAGTCACAAAAGGCCATGCATCGTTGTACAGTTCTATTTATAGAAGATGTCCAGAATAGGCAAATCTATAGAGATGCAAAGATTGAGTGGCTACCTAGGACTGAGGGGTTTGGAGAAAAATTGGGAGTGGCTGTTAATAGGTACAGGGTTTCTTTCAGTGGTGATGAAGATTTCTAAAATTAACCATGGTGATGTTTGCACAACTCTGAATATACTAAAACCACTGAATTGTACACTTAAATGAGTGAATTTTATGGGGTATGAATTATATTGAAGAAATGTTGTAAAAAAAAGAACTGCAAGAAAAATAATCATATACTTGGATTTCATAGTAAATGTCAAATTGCTTTACAAGTTTCTGAATGCTTACCCTCAATTTTTGTACTTACCTCACCATTAACAGGTAACAAACTGTCCCTAAACCAACATCCCAGTCCCTGAGATACCTGGAGTAGCCTTCATCTACTCCATCCTCTTCCCTGCAGTGACCCTCAAGTGGGATCCTTCAGCAATTCCTAAGACTCAAGAAGGCAGGAGAGTTGAAGGCCGGGTGCAGGTTGGGAGTGTGACAAACCTGCATTTGAACCCAGAGCTCTGCTGCCACTTTCTAGCTTCTACGTGGTTCTGTTCTCTTCTATCTCAATTTACTCCTACATGAAATGGAGACAGCTACAATTTATGTCATCAAATTTTAGAAGGATGAATGAGATAAGACAAAGTCCTAGGCTAGTCCCTGGCACACAGTACGGGTTCAACATATGTTTACCATCATCATCATCATCATCATTACCACCACCTCCTTTTCCTCCTCCCCTTCTTTTTCCTTTTAAATCATTGCTTCTGACACCCTCCTTCCCCCAAATCTTTTTGGGTCCAGGATCCTGGCACTGTTCCATTGCTCCAACACACAGCAACATGTCACTTTTGCCTTCCCATTCCTCTAAAAACAAAACCCTCCTATTTCCTTTAGAGAACTACCCTACCCGTTGCCTCTACTCTCTGCCCATGTGGTTTGGATTTAAGGATGATACACCTGCAGCACCAGGAACAGGCAGGTAACCAGGGTCTAGCCAATCAAAGAATTCCACCTTCCTGGCCACAGAGGAAAGGCCTGTGGGAACACAGAGCGGAGCCTACAGATGAAGAGAGATGGACTCCTCCAACGCCATCTACGAGCCTGCATCCAGCCACGTCCTACATCAGCCCTGACTATCTGCAAGGGGTTCTCAGTTACCATCAGCCAAAAAATTCATTTTGCAGCCTAATCCAGGTTTTCTGTCACTTGCAACCTAAAGTTTTGATTGGAAATTAGTCTCTCACCGGAACCCAAACATGATTTCGTCATGGCGGAGGTGAGCATCGTCATCAATGGACAGGATGGCCTCTGTCTCAATTTCATTCCAGGGTAAGAATCGGTTGTTCAAACTGTTCTTCTCAGTACGGACCACCTGTGATGAGGAAGGAAAAACATTAAAAATTAAGGCTGTGTTATGAAAGGCCAAACAAAATCTGTATTTAGGTCCAAGGAGACCATGGCTGGATTTACTGAATAATTTTGCCTGATCTCCGCGCTTGTAAAATCTAGCATATGCCTTTCAGGAATAAAAGCTGCCTTATACTTCAATAAATGTATATAGATTTACCTTTTAAGCTTCATTCATTAGTTAGCTAATTTTCTTGTGAATCAAGCAAAAGCTGAAGATTATTTTATACACGCAATAAACACGATGTAGGGAAATTAAAAACAACTCTCCCAAGAGAACACAAGGTGGCAGAGTGGATCTGAGATTCCAATGGCTATGGAATTCCCAGCATGCTTGTTAATTTTAAAACCCAACTCAGAAACCTCATGAGTCTGTCACTTCTGACTCCCAATTCTAACGCCTTTTTGGGATATAAATCCCAAAAAAGAGCACAGCCCATCTGGTCGAGATTAGTTACTTCACCTTTGAAATTCCTACCTACAATGCTGACTACTCGTACACAAACTTTTTCCTTCTTTTCAAGGTATCATGTACTCAAGTACAACAGCTTCTGCGTCTTCAGCAAATCCCAATTCAAAACACATCTAAGTGATTCAACATACATGCAAAGCAGTATTTCCTTCATAAAACAGAAACTGGTGCTTCAAATAGTACAACTACATAATGAAACAATTTTTATTTAACCATATCTCAGTTAAGTATAGTTTACCTACAGTGTGGGTGAGTAGCTGTGTTATTCACCTTGCCACCTAATACTCATATAAATGATGACCACAGCCAGTACTTGGATGGCTCATTTTATTCTTAGAGTGTCTTTGTCTAATTAGTCCAACCAAAGGGGAACCATTATTTTGTTCTCAAACCCCAAAAACAAAGAGCATCTCATGAAGAATAATCTTTTTAGAATGCCACGAAAAATCACCTTACTTCCAACAGACTATTTTACTTGTACTGAGAACAACCTCTACCTGGCATGAATTAACTGCATCCGAGGACTTAAATTTATGAATGGTTTCCAAGGAGCTCTGTGACCTACTAGCATGTCTCTTCAACTTCAAATACCTTCTCTTCCATCCTCCCCCTGGAGGTCCAGTTCAGATGCCTCTTGCCACACCCTCCTTGCCAGGAGAATCATTTATTCTATATTCTTAATGCAGAGCCCTCATACTTCAATTAATTCATTCTAGCACACTTAAAATCCAATTAATTCAGAGCTAGAAGGGCTTTGGAGACTATAGCGTCTGTCACTTTACACATGCAGAAACTGAGGCCCAGAGTGATGTCATACAACTGGCAAGTTGCAAGAGCCAAAACTCTAATTCATAACTTTAAAAAAAAAAAAAAAGCGAGTTCTCGAAGTCTCATCACTATGTTCCCCCCAGGCGTCTCGAACTCCTGAGCTCAAGAGATCCTCCTATCTCGGCTCCGAAAGTGCAAGGATTACAGGCATGAGCCACCACGCCCGGTCCTAACTCATACTTTGATTCCAAACCCAGTCCTTTTCCTGATAAACTTTTGTTAACTTTATAAACTTCTTCAAACCAAAGCCACCATAGAAAATGCTTTTTTTTTTTTTTTTTTTTTTTTTTTTGAGATGGAGTCTCACTCTGTCACCCAGGCTGGAGTGCAGTCGCGCAATCTTGGCTCACTGCAGCCTCTGCCCTCTGAGTTCAAGTGATTCTCCTGCCTCAGCCTCCCAAGTAGCTGGGATTACAGGCGCCTACCACCACGCCTGGCTATTTTTTTGCATTTTTAGTAGAGACGGGGTTTCACCATCTTGGCCAGGCTGGTCTTGAAATCCTGACCTCATGATCCGCCCACCTTGGCCTCCCAAAGTGCTGGGACTACAGGCACGAGCCACTGCACCCAGACATTTTTTTTTTTTTTTTTTTTTGAGATAGAGTCTCACTGTGGCCCAGACTGGAATGCAGTGGTGTGATCTCGGCTCACTACAACTTCCACCTGCCAGGCTCAAGTGATCCTCCTGCCTCAGCCTCCCAAGTAGCTGGAACTACAAGCAGATACCACCATGCCCAGCTAATTTTTTTATCTTTGTAGAGACAGGGTTTCACCATATTGCCTAGGCTGGTCTCGAACTCCTGATCTCATGGCATCTGCCTGCCTCAGCCTCTCAAAGTGCTGGGATTACAGGCATGAGTCACCACACCTGGCCTGAAAATGCATTATTAATCTGTGTACCATCAAGAAAAAACAATGTTGCCAATTAAGAAGGCATGTGAAATTGATGATCCCTTGTTTACTTGATTACAGAACTTAAATTTTTTTTTCTTTTAAGAGATGGAGTCTTGAGTTGTCACCTAGGCTGGAGTGCAATGGTGCTATCATAGCTCACTGCAGCCTAGAGCTCATTAGCTCAAGTGATTGATCCTCTTGTCTCAGCTCCCCAAGTAGCTGGGACCTACAGGCATGCACCACCACACTTGGGTAATTTCAAAAAAAACTTGTAGAGACACGTTCTGGCTATGTAGCCTTGACTGGCCTCAAACTCCTGGTCTCAAGCATTCCCCCTCCCTCAGCCTTCCAAAAAAAGTGACAGGATTACAGGCAAGAGTCAACACTCTTGGCCAGAGCTTTCTTTAAGACTTCACCTCAGCCCCAGAGGAGGTCCTGCCCAACTCAAGACAAAGAAGGATCTGTAACAGATTCGCCACCACAGTTAACAGATGTCCAAGCCAAGCAACAGACCGAGAAATCCACCTTGCCCTGCAGCATGTCTGACCAGCATAAAAATTCCCAAGTGTACAGCCCAGGGTATCCTAAGCTCAGAGTCCACAATGACAAAACGAAGGACCGAGTGAGGCCTAGGTCAGACGAGAGAGCAGCAAGGAGAGCAGATGCCAAGTGCTCACCTTAGCAGCTGTCGGTTCCACTCGCCAAAGGGCGGGAGGGTGGCAAGAAGGGGCCGGACTTGAATGGCAAGCTCAGCAATGGTAAGAGGCCATCCATTGTAAGACACATCTCAATTTCAGAGATGACAAAATGTAAAATAAGGTCCGCCTTGGAAATGACGGCATATGGTAGCTGTTCACAAACTCCCTCAACAAACTCCCCTCGAACATTCACTTTACCTAACACACCTAGCATTCACTCAGTACAGAACTGATTCTGCCAATTCAGCCAAACAAAGCTCCCCCTCACACAGCTTAAAATGAAGAAAAACCACTTCAGTTCTTGAATATTGGCTTGTAGATTATCAGTTTTGTGGGTTAACCTTCAGGTGGATTATCTACAGCACAATTAGTAAACCAGGAATATAGCAAGGAGCTTCAGAGTTCAAAGTGTGAGGCGAAGACCAGCAGCACACACCACCGGAGCCTGTAGGAGTGCAGGCACACCCCAAGCCCACTGAGTCAGAATCTGCATTTTAACATGCCCCTGGGGGATTCCTGTGCACATTAAATGGGGAGAAGCACTGGTACAGAGGGAGAAAGCATGGCTTTGGGGCCAATCAGAAAAGCTTGGGTTCAAATTCCAACTCTTCCTCTTACTAGACGTGTGAATGCCAGCACCCTCTCTGCTAAATCAACATAGCACCACACTGTTTGCAAAATCTGAAGTTACTTATCAGCCAAACTTGACAATCCTATAAACAACCTAACTCTGCACCTGAAAACGAAAAACAAGAAAAACTACAATGATTTGATATCTAGATCATATCCAAAATTATCTAATTTACAAACAACCAAATCAAGAGAACCTACTTGTGCTTTAGAAGACTTAGGTGGGGTCATGCAGCTGGAGGTCAAATATCAAAGTGTTTTGGCCTAGATTTCACACTAGTTTTTTTTAGTAAGTTTATTAAAGTCCATTACTTAGATATCAAGAAGCAACAAGAGAACAACTACTAAGGACTCCAGGAACACAGGGCGCCTGCCATCTCTGCTCACCCTCTGAGCACAACTGCTCTGGGCTGGATGACAACAGCTGTTCAGGTATAGCAAACTGCATTTTAACAATCAGAACAGCAATCAGAATAAAAGGGCCAGGCATGGTGGCTCACACCTGTAATCCCAGCACTTTGGGAGGCCAAGGCGGGTGGATCACCTGAGGTCAGGAGTTCAAGACCAGCCTGGCTAATATGGCAAAACCCCATCTCTACTAAAAATAATTTTTTAAAAATCTAGCCAGGCATGGGGGAGGGCACCTGTAATCCCAGTTACTCAGGAGGCTGAGGCAGGAGAATCGCTTGAACCCAGGAAGTGGAGGTTAC
This sequence comes from Homo sapiens, assembly GCF_000001405.40. Taxonomy (NCBI): domain Eukaryota; kingdom Metazoa; phylum Chordata; class Mammalia; order Primates; family Hominidae; genus Homo; species Homo sapiens. The sequence continues at coordinate 28,726,955 of NC_000008.11, read as the reverse complement.
AGTGAGCCAAGATTGCACCACTGCACTCCACGCTGGGCAACAGTGATTCCGTCTCAAAAAAAAAAAAAAAAAAAAAGAAAAGAAAAGCTGTTAAAGATTCACAGAAACACAACACCAAGCACTACAGTTTTGTCAGTTAGCTGACAAAACTAACTGCAGTCAGTAAGTCAGCTTTAAGAATTCAGAGCAGTGGTTCTCAACCAGGAACAATTTTGCCTCGGGCTACATGTGGCAATGTCTGAAGGGATTTTTGGTTGTCACAACTGGAGAAAAGGGTGCGCTACTTGCGTCTAGTATCTAGTGGGCAGAAGCCAGGGATGCTGCCAGATCCTATAGTGCACAAGACAGCCCCCACAACAGAGAATTATCTGACCCAAAATGTCACTGTGCCACTGCTGAAACACCCTGATTTAGAGTCAACCTGCAGGAAGACAGTAAACCAAAACAGCACTTGGAAGACTAACTATAGTTCATTACCTAAGATGTTCCCCTTTTCCCTATAGCCGCAAAAAGATTTCTGCCCTCACAAACTTTGCAAACGCCAACTAAAACTAAATGGGTGGAAGAGTAAAAGTTTTCTTCTAACAGTTTTGCTTCAAAGCTGCAGTGCTTAATGGCTAAACAAAAGCTCAGCAAACCAACTATTATCCATTCTGGCACCAAAATCAGAAGAACAGAAAGGCTCAAACATTTCTAAATGCAGGCCGGGCGCAGTGGCTCACGCCTGTAATCCCAGCACTTTAGGAGGCCGAGGCGGGCGGATCACAAGGTCAAGAGATCCAGACCATCCTGGCCAACATAGTGAAACCCAGTTTTTACTAAAAATACAAAAATTAGCCGGGCGTGGTGGTGTGCGCCTGTAATCCCAGCTACTCAGGAGGCTGAGGCAGGAGAATTGCTTGAGCCCGGGAGGCAGAGGCTGCAGTGAGCCGAGATTGTGCCACTGCACCACAGCCTGGGTGAGAGAGCGAGACTCCATCTCGGAAAAAAAAAAAAAAAAACACTTCTAAATGCAGACTCACAGATCAGCACGGCCTCTAAGAATCTGAGAAAAGACAGATCGAACATAAAAGAAACAAGTCAACCAGAGGGACTGTGTCATATTTAGGAAAGGTTCTCATTTTTGTTGATGTTGTTTTGTTTCAAATCAAACCAACACTCTTCCCTCAACCCCACAATACTGGCTATTTCTTCATGTTACTACAGCATATTGCTATTAGATGCCTTATGATTACATCTTAGTAACTTGCAAACAGGAAGACTCACTTTCAAGTGATTGCTTTAATTACTGGTATGACATTAACCAAAATGAATAGACCACAGTGCCTGGCAATATAGCAGATGTTCAACAAATGTTTTATAAATGAATGAATGGGCAGAAAATAGAACATAATTTAGCCCTGCCATTCTATTTACAGAATATGAAATAAAGACTTGAGAAGTTTCTAGATCAAAATTATAGGTAAACATTCAATATCTTTAATAATCTTAAAGAATGATAGAGAGGAATTAGGAAACCTCTTAGTATTTAGTGTAGTTTTCTATAGCAAAAAACCCATCCACCTCCATCAAGCCAGGAGCAATGCCCACTCTTTGCTTGGCCTGTCTCACACACAGGGCTCCCTGACGGTGCCTCGCTAGCTCTTCTGCACAATATCATTCACGGGACCCTTGACCTTCTCCTATCACAAAGGAAAAGGGACAGCAATCGTGGCCTGGAACCTGCCACCTATGAAATTTGGCCATTTAAATACACTTGAAATGCCCCTTTTCAGATTACATCCGGCCCAGCCAAGCCCGACAATCTCCATCCTCCAACAAAACATATATACGTACATAATACATCCCTATAGCAAATCCATATCTGAGAATGAAACTTAACATCAAGCCATCACACAGGCAAGAAAGGAAACAGCAACTGACCTTAGTTCTCCATCATCCCCTTCCTCCAACTTAAAAGAGGAACCATCAGAGAACTCAGGAATGAGGAAAATGAGATCCAGGAAGAGGCACACAGTCATGCCCACCCAGCTCAGGAGGACCTAGGTAACAGAGCTTGAAGTGAGTGGGGAGGGAGGTGAGCGATGGGAGGGAGGTGAGCGACAGAGAGAAGATGATAGAAAGAGGACTACATCATCATCATCATTATTATTATTGAGATGGAGTCTTGCCCTGTCACCCAGACTAGAGTGCAGTGGCACGATCTCGGCTCACTGCAACCTCTGCCTCCTGGGTTCAAACGATTCTCCTGCCTCAGCCTCCTGAGTAGCTGGGATTACAGGCGTCCGCCACTGCACCTGGCTAATTTTTGTATTTTTTTTTCTTTTTTTCTTCTTCTTTTTTTTTTTTTAAAGCAGAGACAGGGTTTCACCATCTTGGCCAGGCTGGTCTCAAACTCCTGACCTCGCGATCCACCCATCTCGGCCTCCCAAAGTGCTGGGATTACAGGCGTGAGCCACCACACCCAGCCAAGGACTACATTATTTAAGGGATTCATTCAATAAACGTCAAGTGATGGGGCAGAAAGCAAGAAAACGCAAAGGAAGAAAAGAGAATAAGAAGGTAACAGTGCATTGGTTTTCCATTTATAACTTTACACAGGGATGTCATACAGTACAAACAAAATTGTACATGTTTTAGATGAGACAAGTCTGTTTTAACTTATAAGAGAAAAAGTTGCCAATGATCCCAGTGCAAGTGCAGGTAAGAAAGCCTAGGTTAGCAGGTCAACAAATGAGAGAATGCAGATAAAGACCATCCACAGTGCCTAGCACACAGAAAATGCCCAAAAACTGTTAACAATTATTATAACATGATATTAGCAGTCTCTATTTTAATTTTCATACATTTTACATGTATATTTCATATTCTGTATGTATTTTAATTTTTATACATTTTCTATATTTTATACATATCTTTATTTAAAAAAACAAGTTTGTGCTTCTCCAAGAAATTTACACGTGGAAAAAAAAAAAGAAAAAAAATACATATCTATTGTCAGAAGTCCTAAGACCTGGTGCTGGTGGTGGCTCACACCTGTAATCCCAGTACTTTGGGAGGCAGAAATGGGCAGATCACCTAAGGTCAGGAGTTCGAGACCAGCCTGGCCACCATGGCAAAATCCTGACTCTACTAAAAATACAAAAATTAGCCAGGCGTGGTGGTATGCGCCTGTAGTCCCAGCTACAAAAGAGGCTGAGGTACAAGAATCACTTAAACCTGGGAGGTGGAGACTGCACTGAGCCAAGATCACACCACTGTGCTCCAGCCTGGGCAACAGCGTGAGACTCTGTCTCAAAAAAAAAAAAAAAAAAACAGTCCTGAGCCCTCATTCTAATACAGGTATCAGTTAGTCAAGTGACCTGAAGCAACAGAATTCTTACAGTCTCAGATTCCTTACTTTGAATTAGTAAAAAGAGTACACATACACTAAGAGGGGAAGACATTACCTCAAGAATCAATTTGCTGCAATTAGTAAATTATGCAACATGACTTTCCAGCAATTGCTTTCAACTTCTGTATTTCTTAGTATTCATTTTTGGTTCGGGGTAGCCTTGTTTTATATAATTTTCCTTTGCAGCCATACAGCCCATTCGCAAACAGAAACCCACAGCTATAGCCACCAAGTTATTAAGTAAAATGTTGTCAAAGAGAAAGACGAACCACCCAGATGTGCCAGCTCCTAGTGAAGTGCACCAGACCTTGCACAGTCTTGGACCTGGAGAAGCTGGACAAGGTTTTTCCTGCTGGCTTCACCTAGCTATCACAATTTTAGGAAATTATCGTCTCATTCGTTCAAGGGATATTTTTAAAAGTAGAGTGGGCAGAAATAAAAAAATACAGCTTACCAACACTTTAAGGAGTAAGCCCTGAGAATGATCTCCACTCTCTTGCCTGAGGTCTAGCCAGAAGCCAAGCCTCTTAGCCTGAGAGGCGGAGTCCCCAGCCAGAAAGTTCCTGACGCCAAGAGTGCACTACGGATGCAGCTTCTCTTCCAGTCTTCCCTTTTCCCTAATAGACTACTGGGGAGAGGATGAAAATAACTCCCCTGGAATGATATTTATATTACCCAAAAAAAGAACTCTCCCTGTTCAATTTGAATATCAAGGGCTGGGACAGAGGGAAAAGGGCATTGAAAAATAATAATCTTGTATCTCTCTTTTTTTTTTTTTTTTTTTTTTAGAGACAGGGTCTCCCTCTATCACCCAGGCTGGAGCGCGGTGGCACAATCACAGCTCACTGCAGCCTTGACTTACCAGGCTCAAGCAATCCCCTCACCTCGGCTTCCCAAGAGCCTGGATTACAGACATGCATGATGCCTGGCTAATTTTTTCTATTTTTTTGTAGAGATGGGGTCTCCCTATGTTGCCCAGGCTGGTCTCAAACCCCTAGGCTCAAGCAGTCCACCCACCTCAGTCTCCCAAAGTGCTGGGATTACAGGCGTGAGCCACTGCGCCCGGCACTATCATTTTCATTTGGAAAAAAAATGGTGCATTCTGACCTCATCACTTCCACAGAGACCTTGCAGTCTGCAAGGATGTGTGCTATGCTGATCTCTGAACTGGTTCTCTCTACCACCGCTCCTCGCCTAGGCTACTGCAAGTCTTTTTGCTTCTGCTCTTTTCCCCATAGTTCCATAAAAATCATGTGCCTCCTCTGCTCAACACCCTCCAAGGGCATCCTAAGGCAGACAGGATAAAACCCAGACTTCCTAACCACGACCTGCACTGTCCTGCACCTGCTGGTCCCACTGCCTTCTCCAACCTCCTTCAAACGCGCCACCCGGATGCACTGGGCATCGCTTCTGGTGCTTGCCATTCCCCATACATCCCTCCAGAATTTACATGGCCTCCTCTCTCGCTTCATTCAGGCTTCTGCTCAAATGTCACCCCTTCTAAAAGCCCCCTTCCAAGGCACCCTGCGTCAATTAGCCATACCCTTTATGAAGAAGAGAATGAAAACCTAAGACTCAGGGACGGGCTGCCAAGAGACTGTCTCAGCAGTCAGTGAGTATACAGTGTGAAGGGAAGTGATGCCTTGAGTGAGCTAGACTACACTGTTAGTAAATGAAAGATGTCCCTTTCCTAACAGCCCACATGTTACAACTCCAAAAGGACAGACTCTAAAACAGCCACCCTACTTACTATTTTCCAGAGTATAAAGCAGAGTAAGGAAGATGTGTAAACTGGTCAGAATAAAGTAGTAACTCAAACCAAAATTTTTAATGGGACTATCTATCAAGAAGGGATTACTTGGCATTTCTGCCTCCAGAAGAGTTCAGTAAGCCCCTGCCAGACCCAGTCCTCCCTCAGATGACAACTATAACCTCTGCACAAAAATACCAAAAAAAGAATTTCCAGAAGGCACTAGAGAGTGAACAAAAGACAACCAATTATGGAGGGGTGCTAAAATTCAGAGGGAGGGAATTACTGACACAGGGAGAATTACTGTTGCTTTCACCCTGAGAGTAGGCCAGAGTTGGTACCAAGAAAGACAGCTAAAACTCTCATACAAAACCCATGGTCTTTCTGGCCTGTAAAGGAAATGTGTAAGGTAACCACAGCCTGTAGAAAGAATGGAGAAAATTCCAGACAGGAGAAAGCCAGAGAGAGGGAGCTCCAAGTTCTGCGTAGAAACTGCTCTGTCTCTGGCCCACCCCTAAGCCATGCATGCTTGGTGCAGGCTGTAAGCAGACCAGCTACATATAAAAGAACTCAACATGAGAGTGGCCATTCACGAGACAGGGCTTTCAGTCTGAGTCAATACAGCTAACCACCTACTAAAACAAAAATATCAACACTTTCCAGAATAAAAATCAAAGAAAACCATGCTAAGGCATACCACAGTCAAACTGCTGAAAACCAAATACAAAGAAAAAATTTCAAAAGTAGCCAGAGAAAACCACACCTTACATATAAGGAAACAAAAATTTGAAAACCACTGATATATCCTCAGAAACAACGGAGGCCTGGAAACAGTGGAACATCTTTCAGGTGCCATGAAAGTGGTGGTCCCCAACATAGTGGAGAGTTTTTCAAAAGGCTAGACCTCAAATCCCTTGGCATAATAATACTCTCTAGTTGGCTTTCATTAGATATCTTTGTTGTTATGCTCCAGGAGCTAAGGGACCTGATCCATGTGTTTACAAAATATACAAGAGCAAGGGAGAGAGCAGACACTCACCATCGCCCCTCTGTTTGGTAGTCCTACCCCATTCAACGGGAGACCCACTTCAACTGGTGGCACTTCTCCCATCTCTCTGCAAGTCCTGTCTCCTTGCCCCGCCACCATCCCATTTGTGCTGAAGTTCTCTTTACACAGAGCATTTCAATCAGGAGTGTTCAAGGGTGGTGGCAATAAAGATCACCTTCACTCTAAGCTAGATCTTTTTATGCAAATAATTATTTAAAAGAATGAGGAATTTTAACATATAAGTCCTATGGGGCACCCCTAAGACAATCCTTCTCCACTTAAAATAGCTGGGGCTCAATACACTTCACAGCCCACAAACACCCAGCACTTATGCCTGTTGCTTAGTGGGAACCTAAACATAAGAGGAGCCCGTATTGCCCAGCACTTTCTGAAATGGCACGGAGGTTCCTGGGTAGATTCACTGATGCCTGGGAACAACCCTGGTGCTAAATTTATAAAAATTAACCTTAGCGTATTGAATTGGCTACGTCTACATCTAGAAGAAAAACCCACTCTGAGGTGTATCACAGTAGTGCCCTTTTTCTATAGCAGAGAGAGCTACCAGTCTCTTTCTAGCTCTGATAGCTGGGTACATCCGAGATGTCAGCAACTTCAACTGTTCCCCAGAACACCCGCCTCTCCTAGATAGAAAGCACAACCACAATATTTACAGGATGGAGTGAAATTCTCCATCTGAAGCTATTTCCTCTTTTTTAAAAGGACCAGAAAAAAAACTTGTATTGCTAATATGAGAAAGCTGTTTAGAATAGCCTATCTGTAAAGTTTCTGGCATTTTCCAATTAGGTATTATTGCGATGGGCTGCCCAATAGTCAGGACTACTTATTTCCCATCAGAGTTTTTAAAAAAAGATTCATTCTGGTAAGTTCTTGATGAATTTCAGTCAACTTAACTGGTATGGCACCAGCTTCTCTACATCCCTATCAAAATCAAAGAAAACTCAGGAAAAATGGAAAACAATGGCTGCTCTATTATTCTACTATTTGAGGAGCATCTATCTTTCACAGAGCAAATGCTTTCTTAATTTCAATGACATAAAGTTGTAACAGAAAGAAAAAAAGTGAACTTTGAGAAGTCTATTAAAAAAATTCCCTATTTACAAAACTTAATATACAAAATACACTGGGATAAAAAGGATTTATAACCCTACAGTCTTTGAATAGCTTCTAATTATAAATTCAATTAAATTTAAAAAAAGATTAGCAGCAGTAAGAAAAAATTTAAAGCAAAGAGGCACTTTGCACAGAAGGAAGTAGGCAGTAACAACTATGACACAAACAGAAATGATGTAGAGAGGATACAAGAAGCCTTTATGAGTGAAGTCAGTTAAAGCTGCCCAGAGCATAGGCAAGACAAACATACTGGCTTCCATCTCCTTTAACATTAAGGGATAAGAAGGAATCAAATAAGTGAGCACCTTTCTAGAATCCTTAGTTGTCTTATCGTAGTTTCCTCTTTAATGCTGAGATCAAAAAAGCTAATTATCAAAGATCACGAAATGACTACTTAATCCCAGGTCTGTATCACTCCAAATCTCATACTTATTACACCATGCTGCTGCTTAGAAAAATAATTCAAATGAATTGGCCTCCCAGTGAAGTACATTTTTTAAAAACCGAGACTTCTAGCAACGTGTGGCCCATCAGACTTTTTGCTACCTTCTGCCAGGAAGTAACTACATATGCAGCAGGTTAAATAGGTGGCAGTCTGCTTAAGACCTGCTCTAAGGCTGCACATTTAAGAGAGATGGTCGCCATCTCTCTCCTAGAATGCCAAGTTTAATTCTGAAGATGGTAAACTCCTCAGAACTAAAGCCCTGTCCTGCATATTTAGCTATTATTTTTCCTGTAAAATACAGCACTTAACCATGAGATGGAGTAAAGAATGAGAAAGAACCTACAAGACACCCTGGAAGGTTCAATTGGAGTTGGTTCTCCAACTCCAAAATATCAAACCCCAACTCCAGTCTTCCAAAAGACTTCTATGAATACCTGGAAAATGACACAGGCCTTCCTAAACCCTTTGGGAGGTGACTAAAGCTGCCGCTTCTGGAATCAGACATACTAAAGCTCAGCTTCTCCATTACTCACCATGATCTTGGGCAAATTCATTAACCTAAGCTTCAGCTCCCATACGAATAAGCTGAAGAAACAGCGATAATATGTCACAAAATGCTTATTATAGTGCCTAGAGGCTAAGTGCTTCCTAAATGGTAGCTTATCATTATCATCATCATCTTGTTATGACATGGAAGTCTACGGGATAACCGACAAGGTTTTGTATATTGAATATAAAATCAGTTTCAGTTTTGGGGATCCTCGATTTAGGAAGTGAGTAACAGCCACAGAACTGCCAAGGCTTGAAAAAGCAGCAAGCAAACCCTTCAGGAAGAAAGGAATCTATACAGGTTTTTCATGAGTATGCATGTATTCTCCTCTGCTAGAAGTTACGATTGCTAAAGTGAAGGAAGTTGGAAAAGGGATTAAGAGTGAAATACTATTTCATGCACCAAAACGAACTGTTCGTTTCTCTATTACCATGATGGGGACGCCAATGTCAGGCCACAGAAGGTCCTCTGATGGCAGCTTGGGAGAATTCCACACCACCACGACCTTGTTCAGGTAAGGGAGGCCATTCAGCCTCTCTAAAGAGTTCATAAGCACTTCCTCCCGCTCATAAGTCAACATCACCACCGTGAACTGCTCTCGGGGAACATTGCCTCCAAGCGCTGCCTGAAATTCCTTGCCAGAACCCCCAGCTCCACCACCAATAGGCCGAAAGCCAGTCCCTGAGCCCAAGAATTTGGCCTCTGAGGGCAACACAGGGTCAAAGGGAGTGTGGGGGAAAAGATGGAAAGGCCCTGGAGCACAGTTCCAGCTGCGGTAAAAGTCAGTGACAGTCAGAGTGAAATTGCGGAGGTATCTGGGTGAGGCGTAGGGCGGCTCCGTCTCCACTGGCCCCAGGTCCAGGTCCCCGTTGTCAGCCATGTTGGGGTCAGTTCCAGCCGCCTTGCCTGAACGGTGGGGGATCTCAGCTGCCGCCTCTTCCCGGATGGGAGCGGCTGGGATCTGGATGCGAGTCCTAATCATAGCCAGCACGGTATTAAAAATACTGTCAGCAGTGGAGAAGTAAGTCTCCCAGAGAAAGCGGCCTTGCCGCCTCATAGCCAGGAGGTCACTATCGGAGAGGCTTCTGAGCAGGAAATGAACCTCGGTAACACGAGGCTTTGGCACCACCAGGGCCGCCTCGTTCCACTGCAGCATGTCCTGGTAGGGAAGCTGGACCTGCTCCCCCAGCACCACCGGGACGGCACCGACTTCCAGGGCTTCGAAGAGCCGTGTTGCACACCCAGAGGAAATAACCAAGCGAGGGTCCCCGGGGGTAATGATGAGGGCGAAGGTGGAGAGCTTCAGCAATTCCAAGCGGTCCTCCCGCTCTCCACACAGTGCCCACTCAGTCGGCAGGCTGGGTTTGGGCTGGTTTTTGCAGGTGAATTCCACCAGGACCTGATCCAGCTTGCTGTCCTGCACCGCCTTCAGGGTGGCAATGATCCGGTCATCGTAGTCGGCGGGAGGGTCGCCCTCCATTTCCTCTTCGAAGGAGCGGGCCTCCTGAAGGCTAGACCTCAGAGACTCAATCTTCTCGCCCTGGAAGGTGAAGAGATATTTCCGCTTCACCGGCACCTGTGGTGGGATTTCCATGAAGTTGGGCTCAGACATGGCATGGACCAGCGGTGATACGACCAAGTCAAAGCCAGGTCTGTACTGGACAGTGTAGAAGGTGGACTGGGCCACCATGGCACGGCCAGTACTGACGTTATAGAGAAGGTTCTGTGTATCTGACTTACGTGACAGATTGATGATGACATGGTTGTGTCCATCCGTCCGCCAGTGTGGCAGGGAATACAACTGCTTCTCCAGCTCAGCAGGCCGCAGCACCACCGGCTCCTGCATCTCTCCCACTAGTATCACGTAAAGGCAGGCGATGTCTGCATTTTCTGTAACATAAACGTTAGCTCGTGCTGTCGCCTGAAAAGCCTGCTTGACCAAGGGATCCAGGTAGCTGCCAAAGACAAACTGGTCACTGTCATAGACGTAGACCGGGAAGCCAGAGGTGAGAGGGCAACGAGAATAATCAAAGCAGTTGTGTAGCCGGCAGCCCCGAGTGGCCTTCGGGGGAGGGAGGCCGGCATCGTCCTTCTCTGGGAGCAGTCGGATGGGCAGGGACAGCTTGGGCTGGTTCTGGGCCATGAGCTCCTTGTAGGAATGCTCGGTCTGGCTGATGACATTCTTGAGCTGGAGCAGGTCCTGCTTGGCGTTCTCAATGCTCTTCTTACAGGCTTCGATCTTCAGATTCAGCTTGGCGATCTCGCTGTTCAGCTCTTGGCGCTTGGCCTCCAGCTGCAGGAGCTCTTCACTCACCGACTCCCGGATGCGGCACAGATCCAGCACGTGCTTCACCTCGCACAGCTCGTTCCCCACCCGGGGACCAAAAATCCGCTTGCCTGCCTCATCAGCCTCATCCAGAGTGGTGAGGTAATAGTGGGCGATGAGCGGGAAGAAGACCAGGATGACAAAGAGCGTGAAGCTGAGCCACGTGAGGCGGATGCGGTTGGACCAGCGCAGCATGCAGGTCTGACCTCCGTTCCCCGCGCCCCCATTCCGCAGCATGGTATAGCCTGTCATGAGTCCTCTGCAGCCTGCCCCCCAGATCACGTCGGGTCACTCGCCATAACCATGGGTTGCTATTCCACAAAACGATCTCTGTTTCACTGACACGTTTCCAGAAGAGTTAGTGTGCTCCCCAGACAAGGCACCAAATAAAATGAACATTTCATTTTCCTCAGCTGCAGCTGAAATGGTCTCTGACCCTATTCCAGCAGATTTTAAGTTCTGGCTGTTGACCAAAGAACATGTCCTTAATCTTTATCAAACGATAAAAGGTGCCACATTCTTGCTGAGATGAAAGGGAGGAGGTACCTGATGATGAAACCCAGGAAAAACACCCTGGAATCAGACAGACTTTTTCAAATGCCATAGCTCTTGTTTCTTGGTTTTGCTGACCAACAAATATGCATAGTGTCTATTCACAGTTATACAGTAATAGGTTAGAACAGAAATAAATGCCAGCTTCTTATGATGCCTTTGCCAACAATCAGGCCTGCAAAAGAAAGAGAACCATGTCAGTCTTGAAGAAGTTATGTTCAACACCCCTGCCACCATACATTTCTAGAAAATGCTTAAATCTTAGATGGAACAATGGCTGGAACACTGGCTGTGTCTCAAAGAACATTATAATGACAATGCAGAGATGTTGTTTGCTGTTTGGTATAGGTCTTTTACTTGGGGTAATAAATGGATAAGTGCCCCAAAAAGCTGCAGTTTACAACCCCTCCCCACTTCTTATTTAACTGGATCTAGAGCGGCATTATAGCCCTGTAACACGATGACCAACTAAATTCATGGGACAAAGATGTCCATGGTCTTTTCTTATCCTGTTCCACACCTGGGCATCATCTTTAGATGAACAGAAATACCTTCCTAGCCAACCTGGGTAGTTTATGTTTATTCCTAACCTATAAGTCTTCTTTGGAAATACTTTACAAAAAAAGACTCTGAAAAGCTCAATTTGTTAAATGTAGAGTTGAAAGGGTTGAAGAGAACTCTTTTGATCTTTATCCAGTAGTAGATGCAGTAATCCTGAGACAAAATGTATTTCCCAGTTTGCTTCTCATTTATCTTCCATTAGCAGACATCATGTGCTCTTTCTTAAAATATAAATAGTAACTTGCTCTTTTAGAAAGAACACTATACTTAGAAATGAGAGGCATTCGTTCTCCTTCTTTGCTGACAGATTTGCTATCAGACCTTGGTTTCCTAATCTTCTAAAATGGAGATAGGTGCACGGAGACGGCAATGCACCACGTTGCTGTGATACAAAGTGCAGTGGATGGGAGGACGCTTGTAGCGACTCAGTCCCTCAGCAACACTCCCAGCCCTGCTCTCTCACCAAGCTTCACTGCCACTGGCTGCAGAGGCTTGCCACTTGCTTTCCCTCAAATTCAACACAGCTAGAAACAAATCATAATATTCTATGCCAGGGAATATTCCCGGTTTCTTTTTTTAATTCTTCCAAAAAATATTCACCATACTCTTAACAGGGCTAAGACATGCTAAGTATAACTGTGGGAGAATCTAGGGTGTATAATCCTTGACCTCATGGAACTTCCCTTACCCTAAGAGATAAGATATAAACAAACAAGGGTACACGTAGCATAAAATGAGTAGGACTTCACAGAGGCACAACCACTTTCTCTAGCTTCTACCTCTGTCAAAGATGTTTAACTATTAAAGGTGTAATAGTCTTCTCTCCTTTTTACCATTTTTATAAACATAATTTTAATTATGTTTCAGAATAAAGATTCCTTTAAACATTCTAACATTTTTTCAAGTAACATTTTATTTCATCGTAACATTGGACATTAAATTTTAATCTGTCAATAAATTATAATAACAATTTCTAAAGACAAGGGGATATTAGGCTGGGCATGGTGGCTCACACCTGTAATCCCAGCACTTTGAGAGGCCGAGGCGAGCGGATCTCCTGAGGTCAGGAGTTTGAGACCAGCCTGGCCAACATGGCAAAACCCCATCTCTACTAAAAATACAAAATTAGCTGGGTGTGGTGGCACGCAACTGTAATCCCAGCTACTCAGGAGGCTGAGGCAGGAGAATCGCCTGAACCCGGGAGGTGGAGGTTGCAGTGAGCCGAGATCGCACCATTGCACTCCAGCCCAGGCAACAAGAGTGAAATACCATCTCAAAAAAAAAAAAAAAAAAAAGAAAGAAAGAAAAGAGGATATTAGAATCAGCTAACAGCAAAGAATGAGAGGAGGGAAATGATGGTGTGAGTCACTTTGTCCATTACAAAGAACACCTGACAAGACATCAGACCTAAAGTTGATGATAATATTACTAAAAGGTTTAAGTATTTGGATAATCTAAACTTGGATAATTAGCAGCTGACCAAATACTCAAATTTACATTATCCTTGTGATTCAAATGTTTAAATCTCTTGCTTTCAAAAGAATCTTCTTTGCACTTATGACCAAATTGTAACAAAGAAACAACAGAATGGAAGAAAAAGAAAAGAAGGCGTAATCACAGCAATCCAGCTGACTCATTCCTTCCTCACCATGTGTTTCAGGACCCTTCCTTCCTCTGACTTGTGTAGCATTACACCTCAGCACACGACTTCTTGAAAGAGTGAACCTCCAGGGCTTGCTCTCCTGATTTAAAAAAAAAAACAAAAAACAAAAATAGAACAGTGACATACTATTAGAAAAATACTCAATACTGAAAGTGCTATTAAAGAACCTATTTACTGTCCCCTATGAAAAGATTTCTCTTATGTACATGAGGTCACCAAATAATTTACTGTCCAAACAGAGACTCTTTGAAGTGGAAAGGGAGACTATTAATAAATACACTGGGACAAGAGGTATACACGGGGACTCTGGCAGGCAAACCGTCCAGACAGACGTTACCTATTTATGTGCTCTAAGGGGGAATAAAACCAAACACTAAAATATGGAAAAGTCCTTACTTGTTGAAAGTATATACTGAGATATTTACAGATGAAATGATATACCTGGAATTTGCTTCAAAATAAACAGGATGAGGGTGGCGGGGAATGTTTGCGGGTAGAAATGAACCCAAGATCGGCCGTGAGCTGACTGCTGTTGACACTGAATGATGGGTACCCATGGGGGCTTATTATATCAGGCTCTCTTTTGTCTAAGTTTGAAATTTTTCATACCAAAAATTCTAAAAGATACTACATACAGAGTCTAAACAGAGGTTATTAAAAAGTCATTTGGAGACTGACTATAGTTAGTCTAATATTTCTAGTGCTACCAACTTACATATAAGCAGAGCTGAGGGCAGAAACAAATGTTCTCACAGAAACCAATAATTCAACAATGATTCAAAAGAATGCATCCCCACTAAATTCCCATCTCTTTTACTGGAGCCAGGCAAAAGCATCATCCATGTCCAATAGCATGAGCATTCCTTCCTAAACAGCTAATTAAATTATTTCAAGCACAAAAGAAAAAGGATACCCTCAGAATCTCTTCTGTCATTCTCTGGAAAATGACAATAAACATATCAGCCTCTAGAAATAAATGTCACTGAAACAATGATAAGGAGCCCTTCAGATTTTTTTTATTCCATATACAATGTACATGTCTAATTCATTCTCAGTCACCTGCCACAGCATTTCATGCTTAACTTGCCAGCTGGCCTCCATTCCTGCCCCTACAATGCACTCCATACACAGCAACCAGGACCATCGTGAAACATGAGTCAGGCCACGCCTCCCCTCTCAATATTTTCAAGGCTGCCCACTGTACTGCCGGGCTCCCCAGACCCATCTCAGTTACCATCGCTCTTCCCCTTGCTCTCTCAGCTTCAGCCACACTGGCCTCCTCTTACCTCCTCGACTGTGCCAAGCTTCTCGCTCTCAAAACTTTATGCCTGTTTTGTCTGAAATGTTCTTCCCCAGGCTTCTGCCTGGCAGACTCTTTCTCATCCTTCAGGCCTCAACTTTCCTGGCATTACCATTTAAAGTTGCCTTTCTTACCCCCCGATGCTCTCTGGCACCGACCCACTGATTTACTTCCTAATATCTTGTAATTTATTAATTCCCTCCCTTCCCCACCAAAGCCTAATCCTCGAGGGGAGGAACCCTTTGTGTTTGGATCACTGCTGCGTGGCCAGCACCCAGCCCAGTGTCCAGCACACTGTAAACACTCTATAAATATTTGTTAAATAAATGAATCCTATCACTGATCACTTCCTCATCCTACAAACTCTCAATTCTCCCCTGGACTTCCATGAAGCTGTGCTTTTTTAGTGTTCCATCTACTTCCCTGACTCATCCTCCCTTTCTGCTTTGCTGGGACCCAGTCCTCCTACCTCATACTGAAAGTGTTCCCCATGGCTCTCAACATAATGTTAATGAATCCATTAACAAATAATATATTGTATTGAATACATTATAAACTACAGAGAGAGAACTTCAGAGCCAGGAGGCAGCTGGATGGCCATATGGACCTGCAGCTAGACTACCCGGCTCAGGATGCAGCTCAGCCTTGAGAATTTGGGAATGTTACATAATCTCCCTGAGCTCATTTCCTCCTTTGTAAAGTGAGTCTGAAAATCTCTACCTACCGCCAGGGTTATTGCACAAATTAAGTAAGATATTATAGATGGAAGAAAAAAAAATGGGAACATGGCTAAAACAGTGCTAAGAGGAAAATTTATGCATAAATTCTTGCATTGAAGAAAAGTCTCGAATCAATAACCTATGCTCCTCCTTCAAGAACCCAGAAAAAAAACAAAACAAACCTAAAGAGCAGAAATCAACGAAATCGAAAACAGAAAAGCAGAAGAGAAAAATCAAGAAAACAAAGAGGTTTGTCACTGGTTTGAAAAACCTACAAGAATGACAAAGAAAAAAGGGAAAAGACACAAATTTCCAATAGCAGGAATGAAACAGGGGCTATCACCACAGTCCCTGCAGGCTACAAACAACTCTATACACTTCAGTGAAATAGACCAACTCCTTGGAAAACACAAAGTACCACAACTCATCCAATAGGGAATAATCTGAATTAGTTTTATAACTATTAAGTAAACTGACTTCATACTTTTGAAAATCCCAAAAAAGAAATCTCCAGCCCCAGATGGTTCACTGAAGAATTCTACTGAACATTTAAAGAAAAATAAACACCTACTCTACACTGTCTCTTCCAGAGGAAGGAACACTTCCCAGTTCATTTTATAAACCTAGCATTGCCCTGACTAAAGCCAGACAAAGACAGTACCAAAATAAAGAATACCACAAGCCAGGCGCTGCGGCTCATGCCTGTAATCACACCACTCCAGAAGGCTGAGGGGAGAGGATGACTTGAGACCAGCCCTGGCAACACAGTGAGACCCCATCTCTACCAAAAAAAAAAAAATTTAAATTAGCCAGGCATGGTCCCAGCTACTAGAGGCTGAGGTGGGAGGTGAGATCACACCTGGGTGACAGAGCAAGACCTTGCCTCAAAAAAAAAAAAAAAAAGAAAGAAAGAAAACTACAAAAAAAAAATCTCTCATGAATATAGACATAAAAATACTTAACACAATATTAGGGTAATCCTATCCAGAAGCATAAAAATTCTCCCCACTTACACCTTCATTTCTCCTATCAAAGTGTCTTGCGTTCTCACCCATGCTGTGCACCTCATATTAAGTCAGTCTGCATTTTACACTTCCTGCCCATGTCCTCTCCTGCTTCTCTTTCTCTGACCCCTTTTCACCACTCCCCAAATGTAGCTGTTCCTGCAGGCTTGTCCTCAACCTCTTTTCTGCCTTCACCTCCCAGAGCTTGCCAATGAGCTTCGCTTAGCCCCCTGATTGGCTGACTCTCAAATTTACTTTTCCCATCTTCACCTCCCTCCTGATAATCCTTTTTCCAGTGGTCAGCAACACAGACATCTACACCTCAGACGTTCAATGGCAGCAAGCACATCTTCTATGACTAGAACAGGATCATGACAGTGTCTTCTCCCAGGGGAAAAAAAATTAAAATAGTTGTATACAGAGATTTATCATTCAGATTGTGGCCAGCATTCTACCTTTTACTCTTTTCCCTAATCAGACATTTTTGCTGACAAATGCAAAGCAGAAGTCGCCATCTGCTAGCTCCTCATTGGAGGGCTGAACCAAGCAGTAGCCCTGGAAAGCTGTAATGTAATCACTCCATTCGAGAGTCTGAGCGGTGGGCTGAGAAGTCGGGGCTCAGAGTTCCAATCCAGAACTGTGCACGTGCTGGTGTTCCCCTTCACCTTCTCGCCCCTCCACCTCCACGTACCAGGGCCCTCCTCCTCTCACATCCCTTATCACAATAGCAAACTGCGATTATCTGCAGGAACATTACTCACGGCCTTGCTTTCAAGAGTTTGTTGATATAACAACCATCCTACAGACTCGACTTTTCTCCTTGTAAAACTAAAACACTGATATTGAAACTTCCCATTGCGGATCTGGGATATGTCTCTATTTAGGTCTTCTTTTGCATCTTTTAATAAAACTGTAAATTTTTTTATATGCAGAAAATTATCAGACTACTCCAAAAGAAAGAAAAAAAGTTAAACTACACTAAAACACTCACCCGGAGAGACAGGAGAGACAGGAGGCGCGACAGGGAAGAAGGGAGTCACTGCTCCATCTGGCTGTTATGCCTTCCACGTGGAAGGTATGAAGGGAGAACAGAGTGAGAAACAGAGAGAGAGGCTAGACGCTTTCCAGATGTTCCCAATGAAACCTTCAACGGCCTCTAATATCTTAAATAATTATGATAATAGCTAACAGGTATTGAATGCTTACTGTATGCCGGGTTAAACCTATTACCATATATTCCTCAACACACTCACTTAATCCTCACAGCAATCCCGTGAAGTGGGTTTACTGTTATTCCTGTTCTGTACACGAGGAAACCAAAGCACAGAGGCTAATGAGCCATGGGTCACCCATGTTATGTGGTAAAACTTGAATTCAAACCAAAGCAAGCTGGCTGTAAAGCTCATACCTTTAATGCCTTTATTATGTTACACTGTCTATATTAATTCAAGTAAGAGTGCGAGCAGGCACACACACACATGCCTATCATGTGTATCATTTTTACATTCTCCATATCACTGCTACTCCGCTGTAACCATGAATAATAATTACAATTGACACACATAATATTCCTCTAAAACCCAAAACCAACACTATATTCAAAGTATTTACCTGCTAAAGAGAATAGCAGACTCAGAACAAAAGATGTTTGCCACTGTGCCTATGGCCCACCTGTATATCTGTGCTTGTAGTACTATTTTCTCTTTTTCATTTAGGTCAAAATAGGCCCATCAAGTGGCAGAACTCCATGACAACCCAGGTGCGGGTTCTACAGAGCTGTCTGCATGCTGCTGTCATTGCTGCCATCACCAGGAGCCCTTCCAATTAGGTAAAGAGAGTTCTCCACAGGAAACCATTTCAGTGAGGTCACTGAAAGCAGTATTTCAGAGGATTGTTTTGTTTTTAAGTACTAACAACCCAAAAAAACATCATTTCCTGATTTCCTAACTACAGGCATGACAAACAGCCTGTCAAGGCAAGACAGTACCTAGTTCGTGAAGTCAGGAAGTATGTTAATAAGCACTAAAACACATTTCCCAACACTATCACTGATTTGTCTTCTGTTTAAAAAAAAAAAAAAAAAAAAGGCACTTCCCAGGGAAACTAATTGTAGATAAAGAGTAAGCTCTAAGAACTACATGTAGACACTTCCCAAGTTACAGGAGACCAAGGCCCTATGTTTTTCACAATCCAACGACCACAGTGGTTTCTTACTGTGTAACCTAGCCTGGATGAAAAAAGGGAAACAGAACATCCTCAGCAATTAAAAAGCAAAACGAAGTGTGAAAAACTGGTTGTGCCTTGACCTACTGACTGAAGAGTGAAGATTATGATGCAACCAGAGAACCAGAGTTTGAGCCGCCCTTATTACAGGGCTGTTTGAAAGGGAAAACAATTTATTCTTTGGGCTTAAGAGTAGGTTTCTAAATCCCAAGGTGTTCCACAAATGCCACTAGCAGACAAATCACAAAATACAAAAGGAACTCATCAATAAGTGGTGAGCATTCCTTCCGCTGCTGAATATATAGATATTAACAAGGAAAATGAGGCTATTGATTACTCCAAGTTATCTGTTTACTTGGCAACAAACCTGGGCCCAGAAGTCTCAACTCCCAGGATAAGTCCTCAATTTGAAAATTATGCCATTGCCTTATCTGCTTCCCTTCCCACCAGTTCGCTAATGTCCCACAAATCCAAATCGTATTGTTTTACCAGTCAGTTTAATTATGTGTAAAAATCAGATTCACCACTTAAGAATTTTTTCAAATAACAAACCGGGACCGTGCTACATTAACTAAATCAGAATTCCTAGGTGTGGGGGAAAACTCCTGCAGTTTGACAAAGTTCCCAGGTGATTTTAATGCAGAGCACACAACCCTAACTCCAAAACTATTGGTCTAATGAAGAATTGATAGTAATGGAGATTCAGATTGATGGCAGCTCAATCAACATAGACAGCTAAGGAAGACAAACAGCACTATCCCTTAGCTAACGCAGAAAGTCCGCACTTCAATGCACCACATACCCTTGGAAGATGGGGAGGAGAGGGCTTTTTCATAATTGCTACTGATTTATATTTACAGTGTGCTAGGCACAGTACTCTAGATAACACACTTCACACATACATTTCATCAGCCACATGGGAGTACTGTCATTTCCACTTCACCGATGAAGCAGTGGTGTATCACCAAGGATAGGAAACTTGTTCAAGGCAATACAGCAACCAAGTTACAAATCCAGGTCCGTATGACCTACAGCCCTGTATACTGCTTCTTGCTTATCTACCATTTGTTTACTTAGAGGATTCATTTTGTCTTAATTCATTTTACAATCATTATGTATTACTTTTGTAATTAAAAATATTACCTTGTTGCAATCTTTTTAAAGAACACCTCATTACATTTTTCAATAAATAATGTGACACATCTATTTGGGAAAAAAAATAAAGTCAGATTACTGCATGACAAACCAAATCCAAAAATAAGTTCCAGGTGGATTCAAGAGTTAATTATAATAAATGAACCGTAACAAGAAAAGGAAAATATACATGTAATCTCATCTCAAGTACAGCCACTTTTCCAGGAATCCAAGCAAAAGTAAAATCCAGAAATGTTCAACAGGTTTGACTATATAAGAATCAAATGATTCTATGTATTCAGAAGGAAAAAAAAAAAGCTTAAATTTGATTAAAAATGGGGAAGCCTGCTCAATATGACAGAATTAAAAGAAAGCAATCAACAGTGGTCAACGGACATAAATAAGAAGTTACACAAAAAAAGGGTTCAAGTGATAAACATGTTTATATGTTTAACCTTCCTAGCGATCAAAGAAATACACATTTCAAACAAGATACTGTGATATTTTCCACTAATAAATCATCAAAGTATTGTAAAATTATAATATCTGGTGCTAAGCAGGATCCAGGGTAAACATTCCCACACTTGGCTGCTGGGATTGCAAATTGGCACACCTTTCTGGAGCACAATTTGGCAGTAATAAAAACACTGAAACTGTGTCTATCCTCTTTCCCTGTAATTCTATCCGAGAAATTATTCTTAAAGAATCATGAGTGAGAAAAAAGATTTAACTTCCAAAATGCTCATACTAAAACATTAAAATAGTGATTAAAGTACAGTACAACTCTGAACTATGCTGGCTGCTACAATGTGGCAGGTACTCTTGTGTTAGTAGAAAGGTAAACTGAAAAGTAATTTGCCATTTGTAAGAAAAAAACCTTCAAAATTTTCTTATCTCTGATTCAGCAATTTCACTTTCTAGGAATATATTTTAGGTGAGCAAGATTTGTATGTAAAGATGCAATCACCTCATTATTCTTTATCATCTGTATAAAATATATAAATTAAATGTCCAAGACTAGGAGCAAGGTTAAACAAAGTGTGACTGTCACTGATATGACTATGATACCATTAGGAAGCTTTTCAATGGTTTTAAATAAAATGAAAACATGTTCACAATGTTAGCTGGAAAAATACAGATTCAAAGCCATATATGCAGTATAACATGTTTAAAATGCATATGTATATATTTCTGAATAGAAAAACAAACAGAAGCAAAAACACCAACAGAGGCACTTCTAGATTGTGAAATTATAGGTGATTTCTGCATTCTTCCTATCTTTCTCACTCTCCCTCCTAAAATGAGATGCGTCATTTTCATAAGGGCTGGGTAGCGATGTAGAAACAAGGTTTTCAAATAAGGTCTTCAGATGGATTTTGCTAACTTATTCTCAGAACAGTCAACTTAGTATGCAAGTGCCTAGAATATAAACTAATCTAACGGTTTTCGCTTCTCAAACATACATGATTTTTATTTTATGCTGTGGAGGCATACAATTGATATCGTTAGTGCCCTGGGCCTCCCTGAATGAGATAGAGAAAGTGAAGCAAGTTTGCTAAGCCATACATAAATCAGGTTTTTCCTTTTTTTTTTTTTTTAAGAGACAGGGTCTTACTATAATGTTGCTCAAGCTGGTCTTGAACTCCTGGACTCAAGGTGATCCTCTCACCTCCGCCTCCCAAAGTGCTGGGATTACAGGTGTGAGCCACCGTGCCCAGCCTTAAATCAGCTTATGACTCGGGCATTCTCCTTCACCCTTTGTGGGTGAATTCAGCTTGAGACGCTTTACCATCCCATCATCATTACCATATTTCTGATTCATCAGGTCCCCTAACTTCCCAATTCCTCGTTCTTGACTCATAAGCTCCTTGTCCTTTGTTAACTCGTAAATTAAGGGGTTAGACCGGATGACCTCAAAGATCCTTTTAGACTCTAGGCCCTCACTGACAATTGCCTTGCTCCCAGGAAGCACAAAAACATGTTTTGCTGTGGGGAAAATTTCACCACCCTACCTACTCAAGGCAGCAAGGCCATTCCCAAGACCTCCTTCTCGTTTCACCTCCAAGATTTCAGGCATAAGGCTTTAAGGCCCCCCTTAATTTTCCACAGACTCCATTAATAATTTGGGATCCCATCAACTATTTTCTCCATTCGAAGCCACTGTGCTTTTATATTTTACAGCTCTACTTCAGAAACAAAGGAAGCCGGATGCGGCGGCTCAAGCCTATATCCCAGCACTTTGGGAGGCTGAGGTGGGTGGAAGTTCAAGACCAGCCTGGCCAACTTGGTGAAACCCAGTCTCTACTGAAAATACAAAATTAGCCGGGTGTGGTGGCACACACCTGTAATGCCAGCTACTTGGGAGGTTGAGGCAGGAGAATTACTTGAACCTGGGAGGCGGAAGTTTGCAGTCACCTGAGATCATGCCATTGCACTCTAGCCTGGGCGAAAAGAGCGAGACGCCGTCTCAATAGAAAAATTGAAAAAAAAAAGAAAAAGAAAAGAAGCCATGCTGGAAAGAGTAGGTCAAAATTGCTGAAAAAACATTTAAAAGCAAGTTGGAAAAGAGACTTTAAAGGGAAAATGGTCAAAAAAGCAAACATCCAGGACGTTAACCATTAATATTATTGACCAGTCCAAAAGGTATTGGACACAGCCAAATGAAGGAATATACCAAAGGAAAGGCATGTGTGTGAGGGGTGGCACTCTAAGGCAGGCACCCGCAAGCGGCAGCTGCCTGCTTTTGTAGATAAAGTTTCACTGGAATACAGCTTTGCTCATTCAGTTATGGATTCCGTTTGTATGGCTGCGTATAGTAGGCATTCTTATATATTATGTATATGATGCTTTCACTCTCCAACAGATTCTACAGTTCATCTTCCTATGGCTCCACTTCTAGACTTTTGATGGGTCATTTGGGTGCATGTGAGTAGTATCCTACACTGCACTTTATGGCCTAACTGTGGGAGAGGGAAGTATGTTAGTAATGAGTCTCCCCAATCCTCTTCTATTTTCAAGATCACAGGTTTTTTAAATCCTGCTTCTCTTCTCCCTAGTAACATCACCCAAGAGGTCTGAATGACTGAAAATTTAAAAGGACTGTGCAACTGGTTCAGGCAAGAAAAGAAAAGATGAAGCTTACAGGTGAGCCCACCTCTGTCCCTCTTGAGCTCACAAACTCTCTCTGCCTGGGCTATGCTATTTCCATGAAACCTCCAAACGTGAAAAATCCTTTCTTCCCTCTCAGTCAGCTGCCCTATCATTGAAAGTCTTCGAAATGATAGTTGCCGAAATGAAGGGGTAACAAAAATAAAATAGAAATATGTTAATAGAAGTTTTCTGAGCTAAACTTAATAACCAGCGAATGGAGTAGGCAGTTTTAGGACGTTATGAAACGTCCTGGTTTCATATTCCTCGCCTCACTCTAGAGTAACATACAAAGGCGCTCGAACCTTTACCAAGAGTAGGTCTGATGGGACTTCATTTTTCTCCTAACACCTGAGTCTACATCAGGGAATCCCTCCCACCCTCCTCCAGAAGACCACCAGTCTCAACTGAGACAAGGACTCCGCATCACTCCTGCAGCCCCTCATCACCCATAACCCTCCAATCCACAGCTGGCCTAGGGCCCTGCGGAAAAGAACAGGTCTCTCTCTAGTCTTCTGCTGGCTTCAAACCACCCTCTGGACTTGCCCTCTCTCCTAGAAATACATTTCCCATGCTCGGCCTGGCCCGACTTACTTCTCTCCAAACTGTTCCCTTAAAATCTTTTTACTCCGAGGTCAAAACTCTTGAGGCCTAATCACTGAAAGATCCCAACTACACACCAAGTATTAACAGGGTTTTCCCCCACTAGAAAAGCGAGAAGTGGAGGGATACAGACATACGCCTGTCAATCATTTTTTAGGTAGGTATGCCCCTCACATCTCTGGACATTAAGCACGTTTCCGGAAGTCTGAAGAGCCACAATTCTGACTCTTCCAGAAAGCACTTAGGCTCGATTCTCTCTTGCTCGTGAGTTCTTATGATTCCTCCGGCTCCCCACAAGCAAACGAATGGGAAATTCCCACAGGATAAGGTATTTTTAACACATCAAATAACAGTTTAAGAAAACGGTTTTTCTTTCATCACAAAATATTTCAAAGTCCCTCTGCTAAATAGCAAGTCGCTGAGAAGGCTTCGCTTCGCTCCAGACTCTGTGCCCCGCAGTTACTATCCCAGCACACAGGTCACAGCGATAGTCACTGTATCAGAATGCAGGACTCACTGCCGAACAAAATACAGAAAACTGCAGAGTCTGCATGGCTGCAACACACAAAGCCTTTAAAAACAAAAGAAAGCACGGGGAGCTCTGCCAGTAAAAATGAAGCTACCTAAATTGGACAAAGAATAGGACAAAGTGACAAGAAATGCTAAAGACGACTCTTAAGTAAATCACATATGGGGGAAATAATGGACATGTTGTGGTGTTCTGCGCTTCCTCCTCCACCAAAGGAGTCGAACCAAGAGGACTTGATGAAGCTTTTAGAGTTTTTAAAAAGGGAAGAAAAATCCAGGTTGCGGGGAAGGGCGGGGGTGGGGTGGTGCGGGTGGCGGGGGAGGGGCAAAATCCACAAAATTTAAGTCTTCTGAGAGCCAAACAGATTTTATTAATAAAAGGAGCCGAAGCTCTCGCTCAATGTGGGGAAGAGAAAGCAGCACCCATCAGCAGCCGGGCAGCCCTGGCTCGCCTCCGAGGGGCTCGGAATAGGTGCTGTCCCCGTCGCTGGGCTCGGAGCTCCGCCGCGCACACACGCCCCGCGCACCCCTGTCCGGTCCAGCCCGTGCAGCGCGAGGCCGGCTCTAGGGGAGCTGGGCCTGGGAGCCAGGGTCCTGCAGCACCTGGACCCTCGGACAGGAAGCGGCTCCTCTGACTGTGGCTCCTGAAAGGAGGCGAGCCCGGCAAAAAGAGCCAGCGGGGAGGGCAGCAGGCGACTGCGTGTAGAAGCGGGGGGCAGATGTGGGAAGGTGTGCTCGGGAAGGGGTGGGGGTAGTCCGGAGCTGCGCCTCCGCCGACAGAAGATGCTCCGGGCCAGCAGCCAGAGAAACGCCGCGGGTCACAGAGGGTGGAGGGCTTCAGGGAGCAGAGGAAGCCCAACAGCTGCAGCCGAGCGTCCAAAAAAAGGTGGAGGCGGGTCCCGAGCAGCCCAAACTGGGACGAGAGAGGGCGTGTGGGGGCGGGGAGGGGGTGCCCCAGCCCAGGGACCCGTTAGCCCTCCCGGCTGCCGGCCGAGGGCCTGGCGGCCTCTCCCCGGGCCCCCGAGCCACCGGGCAGGCCTACTCCGCTCGGAGGCTGCATGCCTCCCGCCGCCGGGCAGCAGCAGCCTCCCCGGGGCACGGCGGACCCGGTCCCTCCCGCCGCGTCCCCAGCGCTCGGGGCCAGCCCCGGCACCCTCCCATGAGCCCTTCCGGGCGCGGCCCCCGCTCCTCGGGCTCACGCGCGGCCAGCAGTCCTACCGGCTTCCAGCTCAGGGACCCGCCGCCGCCGCCGCCGCCGCCTGCGCGAAAGTCGGCGTCCCAGAAGCCGTTCTGGCTGCCGGCCGCCCGCCTTCCAGGCCGCGCCTGATCCGCCGCTCCCCCTGCCGGCCGGCAGCCATTTCCGACAGGCGACTGCGGAACTTGCCGAAGGGCGCCGCGCCGGAAATGGCCGAAGCCGGCGTTCGCGAGCGGGGGCGCGGACGCGGGCGCGCGCTCGCCACTTTCCCGACCGCGTCCGAAGACCGCCGAGGCCTCCCGCAGCTCCGCGGTGACACCCGGGTCAGGGGCGCGGGGCCGGGCGCCGGGGATTGTGGGAGGCGCGGGGGGGCGCGCCGGCCGCCTTCGGAGCCCCCCAACTCGCGTCCTGCAAAGGCCGCCGGGCCCTGTCGAGAAGACCCGACCGCAGATGGCGGGGAGGATGCTCCCGGCGGCGTGGGAACCGGGTCTGACTCCCGAGCCACCGCCGCTTCCGCAGGGGCGCCGGCCCCGGGAAAGTCAAGTCATAAATCCCTGAATCTAAAACTCCATTCTCAGAGAAAAGGCCTCCAAGGACGGGCGCCGTGCGCGGCAACTGCCTGCAGTTTTGAAGCCCTTTGACTATTTCATAACAAAGACAAGGCCGGGCGGCTTGGACGCTTAGGAAAATCCTGGGGCTTTGCAAAAACAACAGGTTAATCTAGTCGTGTGGGATGATCACCAAAACAAGACAGGAAAGAAGAACACCGTGTCAATGCTGAAAAGCCAGCCCCTGTGAGCCCCAAAGTGCACGTTTTCCACAGTCCCAAGGAACACGTGACTGTGTGTTTCCACACTTGAGAAGTCAGGATAAGACCCCTTGGATAATGGAACAGGGGATGGGGGTGGGAGCAAGCACCCTACCTGGTCACCTGCTTAACTTAGAAACCAGCTTTTAAAACCTGTAACTGCAGTATGAGCTACGATCAAATTTGTCTTAACGTATTTTTTTTAATGTTTTTAATACCCAGAACACAGGGCTTCTACTCCAGGGTTTCCTCGCCAGGGAACCCCAAACACACAGGACCTGGAGAAGCCGGGTAGAGCTGGCTCCTGGCCCTGCGCTTGGGTGGTCGGCTGCCTTAAGAAGAACTGCACCCCAGAGACAGGCTCGCAGCTGCCGACCTTATCCACTCGCCCTTTCTGCTGGAGCCCAGGCCCAGTGCTCCAGCAAGGAGGCTGAGAAAATGCTGAAGACTGATGCCCACGGGGGACAGCTTGGGCTAAGGATAACGTTTGCAAAACAAACCTTTAAAAACCCATAGCAACCTGTTTCCTAGAGCACACTCTTCATCTCTCCACCCCCAAACTAGTCCCGACTCGGATCCTCCTTTTCCTATCCTCTTTCTCTTGCTCTCCCGTCTCCTATTCACTTTTCTTCTCCTTTCCTCTTGATTATTATAAACAAATGCTTTCCAAGTCTTACCGCCATCATATGTGTACATATGCAACCCTTACTGTTACCAATTTGTTGAAGTCAAGACAGGAGGAGGCAAAGTTTAAAAATCAGAAGTATTGCAGGAAATGAAAATGGAGTGAGTGTTGCCTGGGTATCATAATTTTTTTTTTTTTTTTAACAGTTCCTCTACTTGGCTCTCCTCCAAAGGTACGCGGCCACAGCAGGCAGGGGCTTGGCAGTGTGGGAGGAGACACCACAGAAGACAGGGAAGAACTACCAGGCCTTGGTTCATCTCCACACTGGCGAGAGAGGACGTGCAGTTACCTGCTACCTGTTCGACTCAGTCTTTTACGTTGGAGTAACTTAACACATTGCTGCCCTTAACTTTGACTTACTTGCTTTTAAAGATGATGAAGCTGGCCAGGCGCCGTGACTCATACCTATAATCCCAGCATTTTGGGAGGCCCAGGCAGGTGGATCACGAGGTCAGCAGTTCAAGACCAGCCTGGCCAACATGGTGAAACCCTGTCTCTACCAAAAATACAAAAATTAGCTGGGCGTGGTGGCGCGTGCCTATAATCCCAGCTACTCAGGAGGCTGAGGCAGGAGAATCACTTGAACCCGGGAGGCAGAGGTTGCAGGGAGCCGAGATCGCACCACTGCACTCCAGCCTGGGCAATAGAGCAAGTCTCCATCTAGGGAACAACAACAACAAAAAGATTATGAAGCCTTAGGAAGAACAGGGATATTCACCTGCTGCTGAGCCCCCCTCCGCTTTGATCTTGTGAGTCTGCACTCTCCTGCTCCCCTGTCTCAGTCTCCTCTAGCTCCTGTTCCTTCTCCTACCTTGTGTTCTCTGCCAATGATATGACTGGGGCTACTTTCTTTTTTCCTTCTCACACTCTCTTCTTGCTAATTTCAACCAATTTCCCTGCATCATCTCCACCTGCAAGCTGGTCCTTTACAGCAGAGCTTGGGGCCCTGCTGCCCAGTAGCACTCTGGACACCCTCACATCATCATCATCATCCTATTTTTATTTATTTTTTGGAAACAGGGTCTTGCTCTGTCGCCCACACTGGAGTGTAGTAGTGCAGTAGTGCGATCACGGCTCACTGCAGCCCCGATGTCCCTGGGCTCAGATGTTCCTCCCGCCTCAGCCTCTGGAATAACTGGGACCATAGATCCCTTCCACTGTGCCTAATTTTTGTTTTTTGTTTTTGTTTTTGTTTTGAGACGGAGTCTCACTCTTCTTGCCCAGGCTGGAGTGCAGTGGCATGATCTCGACTCTCTGCAAACTCTGCCTCCCGGGTTCAAGTGATCTCCTGCCCCACCCTCCCGAGTAACTGGGATTACAGGCACGCACTACTGTGCCCAGCTAATTTTTGTATTTTTAGTAGAGACAGGGTTTCACCATGTTGGCCAGGCTGGTCTCAAACTCCTGACCTCAAGTGATCCGCCCACCTCGGCCTCCCAAAGTGCTGGGATTACAGGCATGAGCCACCACGCCCGGCCTAATTTTTGTTTTGTTTTGTTTTTTTGTAGAGACGGGGTTTCAACCATGTTGACCAGGCTGGTCTCAAATTCCTGAGCTTAAGCAATCAGCCTGTCTTGGCCTCCCAAAGTGCTAGGATACAGGCGTGAGCCACCACGCGGGGCCTTCATCACCCTATTAATATATACTTTCTGATACTTAATTGCCAGGCAATAAGCTAAACCCTTTTATTCACTGTCTCACTTTAATCCTTACAGGGAAGTATCGGCTGCCAGATAGGGAGCTGAGACTTCAAGAAGCTAAATAAGGTGTCCAACACCACAGAGCATGGAGCAAAGGACACGGGACTGCAAATCTTCCTAACTCGTGTGCTCATCTGGCTATCTCACCAGGGCCTTAAATTTAATATATCCCAAACTGAACTCATCTTTACCCCTTCCCACTTTGCACTCCTCAAATGTCCTTGTTTAAAATAGTTACCTTTATCTTTCCTAACCCAGAAACTCAAAACCTGGCATCATCTTTGACTTCTCTCTTTACCTTCACATTCAACAGTTTCCAAGACTTAAAGGCTTTATTTGTAGGATCTCTACCACTGATCCTCTACAGTTTCACACCTACATCCCATTCTCGTTCCCAAATCCCCATAACTCCTCTCCTGGCCCATCCCTTAACACTGAAATCCTGGCTTGGAAAATATGGTCACATTCACAGCAGCTGTCCCCAAGAAGGAAGCCAAGGCAACAGTATGCACAATGAAGTGAGTCTTCACTGATCTCTCCATATTTTGACATTTTACAGCACTTATTATCTCTACTTTGTATTTTGAAACTGAATCCAAAATAGTTTTGCATTTGTTGTTTAACAGTCATGTATGTAGTTTTTTTTTTTTTTTCTTTTTTTTTGGAGACAGAGTCTGGCTCTGTCACCCAGGCTGGAGTGCAGTGGCGTGATTTTGGCTCACTGCAACCTCCGCCTTCTGGGTTCAAGCAGTTCTCGTGCCTCCCTGAGCAGCTGGGAATACAAGCATACACCACCATGCCCAGCTAATTTATTTTTAGTAGAGATGGGATTTCACCATGTTGCCCAGGCTGATCTTGAACTCCTGAGGTCAGGCAATCTGCCCACCTCAGCCTCCCAAAGTGCTGGGATTACAGGCATCAGCCACCACACCCAGCCCCTCCATGTGTGTAGATATTTATCCACATCCAAAAATTAGGAAAAGCAGGACGCATTGAACCTTTGGTACCCAGCAGCAGGAGCCTGTGGGTCTTCTGTCTGGAGCACAATCACAAGGACCGAGCATCAGCAGCATCCACTGTCCTTTCAGCTCCAAATTTTAAACTCCCGTAAGAGAGACATTATTGGCCCAGCTTGGGTCGTGTGTCCACCCCTTTAATCAATCAGCTTTGGCCAAGCAGCAGGTCATCCTGGTCCAAACATCACAGTTGGGGGCCTCACTTGTAAATAGAGCTTGTTCCCAAAAAAGAGGGAGGCACACACCATTCATTTGTTTATTCATTCATTCAATCAGCAAATAGTTGAGCATCTATAGAAATATATTTAAGGTTCTATTATGTACACAAAATGTATAAAACATGGCCCTGCCCTCACACCATGAAAGTTACCACATAAAAAGAAGTCACCAGATAAAAAAAGCATAACAGTATTCATAAGTACTCATGAGTGACCATCAATTCAGTTACACATGATGGAAGATAATTCATTATACCTAGTATAAGCCAGTGACGGTAAAAATAGTTAGCAGCAATGTGTACATGATCAACAAAAGCTCACAGCAGCACCATTTACACAAAAACAGAAAAGTACCCAGATGTCCATCAGAGGTAGACCAGATAAAATATAAAATATACCACCACACAATGGCTAACACCTGTAATCCCAGCACTTTGGGAGGCTGAGGCCGGCAGATCACTTGAGGTCAGGAGTTTGAGACCAGCCTGATCAACATGGTGAAACCCCGTCTCTACTAAAAATACAAAAATTAACCAGTTGTCATGGCATGTGCCTGTAATCCCAGCTACTCAGGAGGCCGAGGCAAGAGAATCGCTTGAACCTGGGAGGCCAAGGTTGCAGTGAGCCGAGATCACACCACTGCACTCCAGCCTGGGTAAAAAAGCGAGATTCCATCTCGAAAAAAAAAAAGTGTATATGTATAGTGTATGCATGCACAGAATACTTTACAGCAATAAGAATGAGTGTTCTGCAAATATACACAATATTGCTGACTCTCCCAATGTTAAACAAAAGCATCCAGACACACAACAATGTGTACAGTATATGATTCCATTGATAGAAAGCTTAAAAACAGGCAAAATTAATTCACCCTTATGGAGTCTTAAGTAAGGGGAACAAAAGGGGCCATCTGGGCAGTGATAATGCTGTTTCTTGAGCTGGGTGCTGGGTTCACAGGTGTGTTCAGTTTGTCACATTCATCAAGCTTACACTTCTCATACATCTTCTTTTCTATATGTATGTCATCCTTCAATAAAAAGTTTTTAAAAAATAAATAATTGGGCTTGTGTGGTGGGCTCACACCTGTAATCCTAGCACTTTGGGAGGCTGATGTGGGAGAAGCACTTGAGTCCAGGAGTTTGACCAGCCTGGGCAACACAGGAAGACCCTGTCTCCACAAAAAATTTTTAAAAGCCTGGCATGGTGGCACACTTAGGTGGGTAAGGTGGGAGGATCGCTTGAGCCAGGAGGTTGAGGCTGCAGTGAGCCGTGATCGCACCACTGCACTCCAGCCTGAGTGACAAAGCGAGACCATGTCTTAAAAAAATAAAAATAAATAATTGGCACTCAAAGTAAGACACCTTTAATCTCCCTTGAACATCAGCACCATGATTATCCTGGAGTTGCCAATTATTCCCACACTCCCCACCTCCTCCCCATCACCACCACCATTATGCCCCCTTCTTAGACACATAAGACACTGGAGCCTTTGGAAGGAGCCACTATATTTACCGCATGACCTCCTTCCCTCTGGTCCCAGCCTACTGGACTTCTTACCTGGAATTGTGGGAACAGGTCACTGTAACTAAGTCACGTGACAGAGTGCTTGATCTATTAATTTACACATATTTGCAAGAAAGAATTTCTGGGCATGTGCACAGTGATAAGCTCAGAAAGCTGGTCTGCAGAAAACAGAAGCAAATAGAGTCAGCATAGAGAGGGAAACAAACAAACCCACCAGAGATGGAGAAGCCTCAGAGGCTGTTGACATTGACCTGTGGTACCCACATGTCCCAGGTGACACTGGGTGTCCACGTGATTGCTTATGTAGCCTTACTATTTAAAAAATCCTCATAATCCCAGCACTTTAGGAGGCCGAGGCGGGTGTATCACAAGGTCAGGAGTTCAAGACCAGCCTGACCAACATGGTGAAACCCCATCTCTACTAAAAATACAAAAATTAGCCGGGCATGGTGGTGGGTGCCTGTAATCCCAGCTACTCGGGAGGCTGAGGCAGAGAATCACTTGAACCCAGGAGGCAGAGGTTGCAGTGAGCCAAGATGCCGCCACTGCACTGTAGCCTGAGTGACAAGAGCAAAACTCCGCCTCAAAAAAAAAAAAAAAAATCCTCATTTACTTAAACTAACATGAATACGTTTCTGTCTCCGGCCACCAAACATGACCCTGCATGTTCTTCCCTGGAAGAAACTAAGTAGTTATTTTGTTTGTTTGTTTATTTGGAGACAGAGTCTTACTCTGCCACCCAGGCTGAAGTGCAGTGGCGTGATCTCAGCTCAGTTTTGGCAACCTCTGCCTCCTGGGTTCAAGAAATTCTCCTGCTTCAGCCTCCCGAGTAGCTGGATTACAGGCATGTGCCACCACGCCCAGCTAGTTTTTTGTATTTTTAGTAGAAATGGGGTTTCGCCAGGTTGCCCAGTCTGGTCTCGAACTCCTGAGCTCAGGCAACCTGCCTGCTTTGGCCTCCCAAAGTGCTGGGATTACAGGTGTGAGCCACTGTGCCCAGCCCCTTAGTTATTTCAGAGCCAGACTCTTAAGCACTTTGCATGTGTCATCCCATGTGCTCCTTTAACGACCCTAAACAATAAGGACCATTATTAGTCCTTTGTCACAAATGAGAAAAATGAAGCCCAGGGAGGTTAACTAATTTGCCTAAATCACCAGCCTAGTAAGTGGTGGTGCCAGGTTTTGGACCCTGACAGTCTAACTCCAGAGCCTGAAACTTTACCAGCTGTGCTCCGCTGTGGTGCAAGAGAAATGCTGACCATGGCGATGTGAATTGTCTGCTGCATTAGTAGATTTAACAAAGGCATTTGATTTGTTAAATGAGTTCAAATGTAGAAATGATACAAAAGATCGGCTGTCTAGAGAAGCTGGTGCACACATTTCTTTCACAAGGGAATTATCGTTTGAGGTATACAAGCCAGAGAAATGTAAACTGCATAGAGTGTGACAGATATGCCAAACAAGTCTGTGTTCTCTTACCAATAAATTAGTTTACAGATTTCAGCAAATGCTCTCTTGGGGGCCCCCACTGATTGCTTATTTTTCCCCACGTGTTTAATATCCAGGAGAAGGGGATTTGAGTCCCACAGAAGGAGAAACTGGTGATAACAGTTACTTCAAGTCTCAGAGAGGGAGGTGCCTCATTTTCCATGTTAATGGCTGCCAGCCCCACAATCCACTCAGCAAGCCTTCTAGATCAATCCCAAACAAGCCATTGGTGACCCCCAGCAATCTTCAAAGGGAATTATCAGTGAGGTTAAGTCAGATAAGAACTTAGTCTATTTGTAAGGCTTTGATTTTAAAAGAAAGTGCTGACAGCCACTATTCAAGATCTTTTCTATATATAAATGACTGAGCAATTTTGTGGCTTATAATTAGAACAATGCATGACAATTTCTAGATTGAGGTTCCAAGGTTACTCTTCTCTTTGGTCTATCAGTGCCAAAAAGCCAAAAGGTCATCTTCTAAGGCTCCAGGGATAGCACTCATTACCCTGATAAATGGCTCACTCTAGAAGTCCTGGCTTTGATGTTACCTTTTAAAAGTGGCTGGTTTTTGTCTGGCCAAAGGTGGGGCCATTTGGGTGGCTCACAGATAATTTGTGGCAACACTGAGTTAATATCAGTTTCAAGACAAAACACATTTTATTGTTAAGAAACTATTTGTTAACTCATTACCTCATGTCATAGTATTCTCTGCCTTGCCATGTGGCTATAAAAAAAAAAATAAACATTCAAGTTTCACATTAGAAAGCTTAGCCTGATTCAAATCTGTTTTCTGTGGCTGGGCACTGTGGCTCATGCCTATAATCCCAGCACTTTTGGGAGGCAGAGGTGGGGGGATCACCTGAAGTCAGGAGTTTGAGACCACACTGGCCAACATGGCAAAAACCCACCTCTACTGAAAATACAAAAATTATCCTGGTGTGGTGGCGGGCGCCTGTAATCCCAGCTACTTAGGAGCCTGAGGCAGGAGAATTGCTTGAACCTGGGAGGCGGAGGGTGCTGTGAGCCGAGATTATGCCATTGCACTCCAGCCTGGGTGACAGAGCAAGACTCCATCTCAAAAAAAAAAAAAAAAAAATCTGTTATCTGCATAAGACACCTAACCTGTAATGACCAATTAAGACTCAAATTAGCTAGCGCCAACAGCGGGTATCAAAATGCCATCAAAATTTTCTAAGCTTGCACCTACAAATGTTCCCTAAGGCAAGCATAAAGGCATCTAACATTTACCCTAAATTATGCCAGTGAGTAGCAAAAATGTGCTCAGTTAGACGCAACATGTCACAACATGGTCTGACTGTTGGAAGAACTTAGTGCAGGGAGAGCTATACCCAGAGGAAAGAAGTAAAATTAGGCAGAGTGTTGATGGCTGAGTTCCAGTGTCACATTTATATACAGCTCAATGACTCTAGAATTGTCCTTACACCAAAAAAAAGTTATTCATAGATTCAAAAAATCAACTGCTCACTACTTTCATTTAAAAATGCCTTGTGTGAACAAGGCGTTCCAACTGAAAACTGGCAGAATTCATAGAGGTTCTTAAAGAACATCAATTAGATTCTTAGTCAACCAATTTGGCTGTAAAATCAAAACTGAAAGTGCAATTTCCAAAACTAATTATGCTAAATACTTTTAAATATATATAACTTGATAATAACATTTGGACTTTATGTATGGAAAGAAACAGTAGTTTCCACCACAGGAATTTTCAAAAGAAAAATATATAGGTTTTAAACCAATTTATGAAGATCTGCAATAAGATTTTATTGAAGAGAAAGTTTTCCCCTATTTTCCTAAATATTACTCAAAATTAATTCTCAACCCAAAAGGTGACAGCATGATTCTAGTAGGGTCCAAGTCAATCCCAGAACACAATAATAATTGATCCCTTCCCCAACCCAAGCCTTCAGCCTTGCAAACACTATGCCATAGATCAAAAGTGGAACCAAATGAAAATGTGACCATATTTCTACAAATCCATCAATTTGGAGGGCAAAAAACCAACAATCCAAAGCCCATCTCTAATGGACAGTGTTAGATATTTCACCCTCATGTCAAAAGAAACATGTATAATTACATCATCTAGGTTACTAAGAAAAGCATATCTTTAAAGTGAAGAGGTATTTAGAAAAAGGATACTTGACATAAATGATGCAAATACTCAAAAAATATATTAAATATCTGTGAAATGTGTTAACTATGAAAGCTTTTTAAAAGCACATGCTGAGCCTTGTCTTACTTTCGTGTACATTTAACCAGGCTTCAATAATGCTCTATTTATCTTTATTTCATTAATTAAATAATAAATATCTAAATTTTTTTATTTTTTGAGACGGAGTTTCGCTGTTGCCCCCCAGGCTGGAGTGCAACAGTGTGATCTCGGCACACCACAACTTCTGCCTCCCGGGTTCAAGTGATTCTCCTGCCTCAGCCTCCCGAGTAGCTGGGATTACAGGCTCGCGCCACCACGCCTGGCTAATTTTGTATTTTTAGTAGAGATGGGGCTTCTCCATGTTGGTCAGGCTGGTCTCGAACTCCCGACCTCAGGTGATCCACCCACCTCAGCCTCCCAAAGTGCTGGGATTACAGGCGTGAGCCACCGTGCCCGGCCAACATCTACATATTAGTAGGAACACAATAGCAAAAAAAAAAAATCACAAAAACTGATAAATATTTACCAACTCTGTGGCTTCCTTCCAGCTCATGAGCATAATTTTATAAAATTGCTATCTCTATGTGTCAACCATTTCAAGTCCTTCTTTTTCACTTACTTTGAATGAAGTATTATGTTTCTACATGATCTTCACAGTCATCTTGAAAGTTACTGGAGCATCCTATGGTCTAGCTCAGTGATTCCTGAATAACAGTTTATTGACCAAGCTAGGATGAAGTTTTCATCAGTCCACAGTTAAATGCGAAAAGCACAGACAAGTTTGTGAGTTTTTAACAAAGCTGAATGATTCAATTGAAAGGATTAGACTTTATTCTGAGATTATGTTATTCTCCCTTTTTTATGTTAAAATGTGTTTTTATGAAATGACCATGGTGGTGGTCAACGGCAGCTTTTTCTGTATCTTTCTCACTCAACAAAACACTGAAATATACTAATTTTGGTATCCCCTACCCAGTTATTTTTTATTTTACTGGTCTATTAAACCTAAAAGTCTGGTAACTATAATACCAGTCTAGCCTGTCTAACAACACACATATATATTAAGGCATACACTTCCCCCCAACTTCACCCCTGCAATACAGAATGTTTTTGGAGACTCCCATGGCAGCCAGCCTCTGAAAGGGCCCCCAATGATCCCTGCCCCCTGGTATTCACACAGTTGTGAAGTCTCCACCCACACCCTAACTAGGATCCATCTGTGTGGCCAATGGAACACAGCAAAAGTGAAGGTATGTCACTCCCAGGATTAAACGACACAAGGCATTTCAGCTTCCATCTTGGTTGCTTTCTCCTTCTTAGATCACTCTGGGAGAAACTCACTGCCATGTTGTGACAACACTATGGAGACGCCCAGGTGAGGGACTGAGGCTTCCTGCCAACAGCCACATGAATAAGATTGGGAACAGATCCTCCAGCCCCAGTCAAGCCTTCAGATGACTGCAGTCTCATGAAAGACCCTGTGCCAAAACCACCCAGCTTGATGAAATAATCTGTACAACA
Source organism: Homo sapiens (assembly GCF_000001405.40). Classification (NCBI taxonomy): domain Eukaryota; kingdom Metazoa; phylum Chordata; class Mammalia; order Primates; family Hominidae; genus Homo; species Homo sapiens. The sequence goes on along the minus strand of NC_000008.11, from coordinate 28,690,553 downwards.
AACCCCCATGACACAAGTTTACTACAACAAACCTGCACATGTACCCCTGAACTTAAAAGTTAAAACAAAACCACCACCACCACCACCACCACCCAGAAAAAACACCCAGCTAAGCCACTTCTGAATTCCTAACCTACAGAAACTATGAAATAATAAATATTTGTATTTTCAAAATTAGCTGGGTGTGGTGCCATGTGCTTATAATCCCAGCTACTTGAGAGGCTGAGGCATGAGAATCACTTGAACCTGAGAGGCAGAGGTTGCAGTGAGCCAAGATTGTGCCACTGCAATCCAGCCTGGGCAGCAGAGCGAGACTCTCTCAAAAAAAAGAAAAAAGAAAGAAAGAGAGAAGAAAAATTAAAATTAATGTGTAGAATATTTTTTAAATTAAAGTTAAATAAATAAATATTTGTACTTTCAACCATCAAGTTTGAGGTAATTTGTTATTGACCAATAGATAATAAATACAACCCTTTTATCCTATTTCAGCCACAAAATGAACATCCCTGTAGCCCCCCAGGGATGCAATGTGGTGCAATGCAGAAACTGTATTTATGGCTGAGTTGGAAGAGAGATCGGATCAGCAAAGACTGTGATCTCCTTTACCCTGGCTTTAGTTTACATACTCTGACTTTTTTCTTCTCTGTTGCTTTTTCTACTTTTCTTGTATTGACCAGGGTACTCAGTAAACTGAATAATCCATCTCTAGCAAGGGACTCAATCCTGCAAGTTTATATGCTTAAAGGAATTACTTTATGTAAATATGGTATTTTATGAAATTTTAGAAAACTGGTAAATGTCTATTGACAGAATCCCTAACCCCAGCTGTCCAAATCTTTGCTAGACTCATCCATACCTTAAAAGAGGAGCATGTCTTATATTTCACTAAGAAAATAGAAGACAACAGATATGAACTCTTTGAAATGCCTTCCTTCCACCTTTAAAACTATAAGTATTGAGGTGAAAACTATTATTTTAGTAGATGCTAGAGTTCTTAGGGATGGAAAATGCCTTATTTAGGAAACTACTTTGAAATGACATTTGAAGTATGGAAAAAGAGAGAATGACTTAGAATAAAACTCTGAAGCAAAGAGACAGCTAGTCAGATCTATATTTTTTAAAATCCAAAAACATGGGGACTGGAGGAGAGGAAATGGAGGTGGATAAGAAGAGATGGGGCTCAAATAACAGTGTGGGAGGCTGGAGCTGTGGGAGAGAGTTCCCAGTGATAGGGGAGCCGGAGAATGTTTAAAATAGAGATATCTATTGTCGGAATTTTAAGTTATTTGTGTTGCTAAGGATATAAAATCCCCTAAGCCTTCAGTAATATCTGTCACATGCACAAATGCCTTATGTGAGTGATTTGGGGGAGAATTACGAAAAAAGACTGCAAGGGGCTGAGCTCCACAACTGGGTCAGCAAAGAACCAAGAAATGAGAACAGCCACAGAAGTTCAGATACAAGTAAGATAAAGAATTTAATGGAAGCAGAAACTCAAAGCCAAAGAAACCATAAGAAGGAGAGCTTCCAGGAATTCACAGAAATCTTGGATTGAGTTTCCCAATGGATGCAGAATGGGGACTTAAGCCAATGTTACTTAAATCTCAGAAAAGAATGTTGCCTTAAGCTGACAGCTGAGTACATATTCACTGATTCTTCTTTCATCTCTTCCGGCCCTTGACAAAGAGATGTCCTTAACTCCTTTCTGAAACTAGGTGCTCCATTTTTGAATGTGATCTAATATCCTTCCTTTAACTCTTGCTTGATCAGTTATTCTCTTTGCTACATACATGGTCAATAACCTCCTTACTATAGCGTTTTACCCCCATTCTGCTTATAAACAGGTTCAGTCTCAGGCCTGGGGAAAATAAGAGAATAACTCAGCTCAAGCTACCATCATCTTACAACACGGGCTCTGAACCCAGAAAGATTTAGATTTGAATCCTTGTTCCACTATGTATTCATGGTGGAACACCCTGGGCATATTACATAACCTCTCTATACTCTCTCCACTACAATTTCCTCATCAGAACATGGGGATAATAATGGTACCTACCCATAGGAGTAGTGTAAGGATTATCCCAGATAATGCATGTAAATTGTTAGTCCAGGGCCTGGTATACAGTAAGCCTTCACTAACATCAACTGCTGTCATCATCATCATTTGCCCAAATTCTTGAGTCATCTCAGGCTGGGCACAGTGGCTCATGCCTGTAATCCCAGGACTTTAGGAGGCCAAGGTGGACGGATCACCTGAGGTCAGGAGTTCGAGACCAGCCTGGCCAACATGGTGAAACCCCGTCTCTACTAAAAATACAAAAAAAATTAGCCAGGTGTGGTGGCAGGCACCTGTAATCCCAGCTACTTGGGAGGCTGAGACAGGAGAATTGCTTGAACCTGGGAGGCAGAGGTTGCAGTGAGCCAAGATCGTGCCACTGCACTCCAGCCTGGGTGACAAAAGCGAAACTCCGTCTCAAAAAAAAAAAAAAAAAAGTCATCTCTTCTCTACTGTCATTCACTCTTTAATCCCTGGGGGGCTGGCTGCTGTCAATTTACTGAAACTGCTCTCATTAAGATAACCAGTGATCACTTCTAATATGAGGTTATAGAAAAAACAAATGAAAACACAAAATGAAAAAAAGAACCAGCAACTTCCTAAATTCGTTATCCCACTTAATCTTTCAGGCCTTTGGAACTCTTCTTTAGAATTTAACAGACCTAGTCACTCACCTTCTTGAAATGGTCCAGTCTTTGCTTTGCATGGCATTGCCTCTCCCCATCCTTTCTCTTTTCTTTCATTAAGTCTTAATTCTCCACCATCCCTTAAATGCTTGTGTGTCTGGGTCTCCACCCTTAGCCATCTTTTTATCACTAGGTGAACACTTCTAAGACTTCAGCAGCCAAATCTCTATCTTTAGCCCAGACCTTCCTTCTGAGCTCTTGAGCCAAACTGTCCACTAAATTTATTGTCTAAGGTTTTCACAGTCATCCAAACCAAATTTATAGAGACTATTAACTAAATCATTATTTTCTCTCCCTTCCCCAATTCTTTCCCTTCCCTAGTAATCATTTTCTTTTTTTCCTTTTTGAGATGGAGTCTCGCTCTGTTGCCCAGGCTGGAGTGCAGTGGTGTGATCTCGGCTCACTGCAACCTCCACCTCCTGGGTTCAAGCGATTCTCCTGCCTCAGCCTCCCAAGTAGCTGGGATTACAGGCGCATGCCGCTGCACCTGGCTAATTTTTGTATTTTAAGTAGAGGCGAGGTTTCACTGTCTTGGCCAGGCTGGTTACGAACTCCTGACCTCAAGTGATCCATCCACCTTGGCCTCCCAAAGTGCTGGGATTACAGGCGTGAGCCACCGCAACCAGCCCCTACTAATCATTTTCTCAAGTTTCCAGCTTGGACTGGAATGTCATTGTTATAGTCTAGCCAGGAGTCCAAGCTGGAAACATCAGTTGTTATCCTTATATCTCCCTCACCCAGCATGTCCAACTGGCTATCAGGGCCTGACAGTCCCACCTCAAAGTCTCATGGCTTCCCCGAGTCCTGCTCCATCCTACATGACCCCACTGTATTTCAGAGTGGGCTTTAGAGTCACATGGGCCTGGGTTCAAATATTAACTATGCCATAAACCTACTAATGACTGTTTTTGGTCAAGTGACTTAACCTCTCTGACCTCAGCTTTTTGTGATAATTAAATGAGATATCATATGTAAAATAGCTGGCACACAGTAAGCACTCAACAAACATTCCGCTGCATCCCCTTCCTTTGGGTCTCCATTGCTACCGGGTGGAATGCAATATCTACCTACTTGGTCTATCTTGTCCTTTCTCCTCCTAATTGCCCTAGAGTTAATTTTTCTAAAATAAATAAATAAATAAATCTGGTACTATCATCGCTGGCTTTAAAACCTTCAACGTTTTCTTTTTTCCTGTGGAATGAAGTCTCAATTCCTTAACATAAGTGGTAAGTTCCAGCTGCCTTTCTGGTCCCTGCTCCCCAAGCCCATTTACTCCAAAACATTGGCTTTTTGCCAGCCACTTCATGTACATACGGGCTTAATCTCCACACATGAAGAGCCCTTTGACTAATTCCCTTCCCCACACCAAGTTCTGTCCAATTGGCAAGAACCTCAAGGCCCACTTCAAAAACTATCATATAAAGGGTGATACCTATTCTTAAGTGGTTCAATTTTTTTCTTTTCTTTTTTTTTTTTTTGAGAGAGAGAGAGGATACTGTTATGTTGCTCAGGCTGGTCTTGAACTCCTGGGCTCAAGTGATCCACCCCCATGTCAGCCTCCCAAAATGCTGGGATTACAAGTGTGAGCCTCTGCACCTGGCCTGGTTCAATTTTTTAAAACTATTTTTTACATATACGCAAACATAGGCCAGGCACCGTGGCTCACGCCTGTAATCCCAGCACTTTGGAAGGCCAAGGCAAGCAAATCACTTGAGGTCAGGAGTTAGAGACCAACCTGAAAAACATGGTGAAACCCCATCTCTACTAGAAATACAAACATTAACTGGGCATGGTGGCAGTCACCTGTAATCCCAGCTACTCAGGAGGCTGAGGCAGGAGAATTGCTTGAACCCGGGAGGCGGAGGTTGTAGGTGAGGCGAGATGGTGCCACTGCACTCCAGCTTGAGTGACAAGACAAGACTCTGTCTCAAGAAAAAAAATAAAAATAAAAAATAAATAAAAATATAAAATATGTATATATATACACACACACATACATAATATACATATATACACACACACAAAGGAAGAGAGAGAGAAAAAGTGCTAAAATGTGGATGTGGCAAAACATCAAAAACTGGTGAATCTGGGTAAAAATTTCAAATGTACAAAAAACTTGCAAAATGCCATATAATTCTGGCAACATTTCTGTAAATTTGAAAATATTTCAAAAGAAAAAAGAAAGGACGGGCAGGGTGGTTTGTGCCTGTAATCCCAGCCCTTTAGGAAGCGGAGGCAGGAGGATCACTTGAGCCCAGGAGCTCAAGATTACAGTGAGTTATGATCCTGCCACTTCACTCCAGCCTGTACAACAGGGCCAAACAACTAGCCTATGTTTTAAAAATGTCAATGTCGTCAAAAAAAGCAAGGGCAGAAGGAAGGAAAGGAGGAAGAGGGAGAAGGGGAGGGGGGAGGAAGGAAAAGGGAGACAGGAAGAAAGAAGGGGAAGCTGAAGAAACGTTCAAGATTAGAGAAGACAAACATGAGAGCTAAATGCGATGTGTGATCCTGGATTGGATGTTAAATTGGCATTAAAAAAAACTGCTATAAAATACATTACTTGGCTGGGCATGGTGGCTCACGCCTGTAATCCCAGCACTTTGGGAGGCCGAGGTGGGTGGATCACGATGTCAGGAGTTCAAGACCAGCCTGGCCAACATGGTGAAACTCCACCTCTACTTAAAATATAAAAATTAGCTAGGCGTGGTGGCACGTGCCTGTAATCCCAGCTACTCAGGAGGCTGAGGCAGGAGAATCGCTTGAACCCAGGAGACAGAAGTTGCAGTGAGCTGTGACTGTGGCACTGCACTCCAGCCTGGGGGACAGAGCAAGACTCCATCTCAGAAAAAAAAACACAACATTATTGTTATTTAAGGGCAAAGGATCATGATATGTGCAACTTTAAAATGTTTCAGATAAATAGTCTGTGTTCGTATGTGTGTCTAGAGAGAGAAAAAATATAGCAAAATTTTAACAATTGATAAATCTGTATTAAGATTTACCACTTTTACAACTTTTCTGCACGTTTGAAATGTTTTCAAAATTAACTTTTTTAAAAAATATTTTTTCTGAGGCAGGGTCTCACTCTGTTGCCCAGGCTGCAGTGCAGTGCCAAAATCACAGCTCACTGCAGCCTCAAATTCCTCGGTTCAAGTGACCCTCTTACCCCAGCCTCCCGAGTAGCTGGGACTACAGCCATGTACCACCATACCCAGCAACATTTTTTATTTTCTATAGAAACAGGTCTTGCTGTGTTGCCCAAGCTGGTCTCCAACTCCTATCCTCAAGCAATCCTCCCACCTCAGCCTCCCAAAGTACTGGGATTACAAGGGTGAGCCATCATGCATCGTGCCCACTGAAAATAAAAAAATATTTTTACAGAACCACCTCAGATAGAAATAATGCCTTCTGAAAACCAAAAAGCACTGATGATAGATAGTACAACCACTGTGAAGAGTTTTGAGGTTCCTCAAAAAACTAAAAATAGAACTACCATATGATCCACCAATCCCACTGCTGGGTATATACTCAAAAGAAAGAAAATCAGTATATCAAAAAGGTAGCTGCACTCCCATGTTTAACTGAGGCACTATTCACAATAGCCAAGATTTGGAAGCAACCTAAGTGTTCACCAGTAGACAAACAGATAAGGAAAATGTGGTGCATATACACAAGGGAGGACTATTCCACCATATAAAAATGAGACCCTGTCACCTGCAGCAACATGGATAGAAACAGAGGTGATTATGTTAAATGAAATTAGCCAGGCACAAAAAGACAAACTTCACGGTCTCACGTATTTGTGGGAGCTAAGAATTAAAACAACTGAATTCATGGAGTAGAGAGTAGAACAACAATGGTTACCTGAGGCTAGAAAGGGCAGCGGTGGGGGAAAGGGGGGATGGTTAATGGGCACAAAAATATAGTTAGAAACAATGAATAAGATCTAGTATTTGATAGCACAACAGGGTGACTATAGACAGCAATAATTTTTTTTTTTTTGAGACGGAGTCTCACACTGTGGCCCAGGCTGGAGTGCAGTGGGGCAATCTCAGCTCACTGCAAGCTCCGCCTCCTGGGTTCTCGCCATTCTCCTGCCTCAGCCTCCTGAGTAGCTGGGACTACAGGCGCGTGCCACTACGCCTAATTTTTTGTATTTTTAGTAGAGACAGGGTTTCACCATGTTAGCCAGGATGGTCTCGATCTCCTGACCTTGTGATCCACCTGCCTCGGCCTCCCAAAGTGCTGGGATTACAGGTGTGAGCTACCTCACCCGGCCAACAGCAATAATTTATTGTACATTTTAAAATAACTAAAAGAGTATAATTGGATTGTTTGAAACATAAAGGATAAATGTTTGAGGTGACAGATATCCCCCCAAAAAATCAATGAAAGAAATTACAGACACAAATAAATGGAAAAATATCCTTTGTTCATTGAATGGAAAAATTAATGTTGTTAAAATGATCATATTACTAAAGTGATCTACAGATTCCATGCAATCCCTATCCAAATTCCAATGACATTTTTCATAAAAATAGAAAAAATAATCCTAAAGTCCATATGAAAACACAAAAGACCCTGAATAGCCAAAACAATCTTGAATGAAAAGAACACATCACGACCTGATTTCAAAATATACTGCAAAGCTACAGCAATCAAAATAGCATGGTACTGCTATGAAAACAGACACATAGACCAATGGAACAGAATAGAGAGCCCAGAAATAAATCCACACATTTATAGTCAATTGCTCTTCCACAAAAGTACTGAGAACATACAACGGGAAAAAGAGAGTCTTTTCAATAAATGGCACTGGGAAAACTGGATATCCACATTCAAAAGAATGAAATTAGACCTTTATCTCACACAATATACAAAAATGAATTCAAAGTAGATTAAAGACTTAAACACAAAACCTGAAGCTGTAAAACTACTAGAAGAAAACACAGGAGAAAAGCTTCTTGACATTGGTTTGGGCAATGATTTTTTGGATATGACCCTAAAACACAGGCAACAAAAGCAAAAATAGACAAATGGGATTGCATCAGACTAAAAAGCTGCCGCAGCCTGGGTGCAGTGACTCGTGCCTGTAATCCCAGCACTTTGGGAGGCCAAGGTGGGGGCATCACTTGAGGTCAGGAGTTTAGGACCAGCCTGGCCAACATGGTGAAACCTCATCTCTACTAGAAATACAAAAAATTAGCCAGGCATGGTGGCACACGCCTGTAGTCCCAGCTACTTGGGAGGCTGAGGCAGGAGAATCGCTTGATCCTGGGAAGCAGTGGTTGCAGTGAGCCGAGATCGCACAATTGCACTCCAGCCTGGGCAACAGAGCAAGACTCCATCTCAAAAAAATAAAATAAAAATAAAAAGCTGCTGCACAGCAAAGGAAACAATCAACAGTGAAGAGACAACCTACAGAATGGGAGAAAATATTTGCAAACCATACATCTGATAAGGGGTTAATAGCCGAAATATATAAGAACTCAACTCAACAGCAAGGAAACTAATAACCCAATTTAAAAATGAGCAAAGGACCTGAACAGATATTTCTCAAAAAATATGCAAAAATGGCCAACAAGTATATACATATACAAAAAAATGCTCAACTTCGCTAATCATTAGGAAAATGCAAATTAAAACCACAATGAAATATCATCTCACACCTGTTAGAATAGCCATTATCAAAAAGAAAACAAATGTTGATGTAGACGTAAAAAAAAGCAAACCTTATATATTGTTGTTGTTTGAGACGGAGTTTCGCTCTTGTTGCCCAGACTGGAGTGCAATAGTGCAATCTCAGCTCACCGCAACCTCCACCTCCCGGGTTCAAGCGATTCTCCTGCCTCAGCCTCCCGAGTAGCTGGAACTGGGACTACAGGCATGTGCCACCACGCCTGGCTAATTTTGTATTTTTAGTAGAGACAGGGTTTCTCCATGTTGGTCAGGCTGGTCTCGAATTCCCAACCTCTGGTAATCCGCCTGCCTCAGCCTCCTAAAGTGCTGGGATTACAGGCGTGAGCTACCATGCCCAGCCTATATTGTTGATAAGAATGGGACATGGCACAATCATTATGGAAAAACAGTATGGAGACTCCTCAAAAAATTAAAAATAGAACTACCATATGACCCAGCAATCGCACGTCTGTAGTATTTACCCAAAGGAAATGAAATCAGCATGTTAAAGATATATCTGCACTCTCTTGTTCATTGCAGTGCTATTTACAATAGCCAAAATATGAAATCAACCCGAGTGTCTATCAAGGGATGCATGAATTTTATTTATTTTTTGAGACAGAGTCTCGCTCTGTCATCCAGGCTGGAGTGCAGTGACACAATCTCAGCTCACTGCAACCTCTGCCTCCAGGGTTCAAATGATTCTCATGTTTCAGCTACCTGAATAGCTGGAATTACAGACACGTGCCACCATGCCCAGCTAATTTTTTTGCTATTTTTAGTAGAGACAGGGTTTCACAATGTTGGCCAGGCTGGTCTGGAACTCCTGACCTCAGGTGATCTGCCTGCCTCAGCCGCCCAAAGTGCTGGGATTACAGGCGTGAGCCAGTGTGTCTGTCTGGGATGCATGAATTTTTAAAATTGGAATACTATTCAGCCTTATAAAAAAGAAGGAAAATTGGCAAGGCGCAGTGGCTCACGCCTGTATCCCAGCACTGTGGGAGGCCGAGGTGGGCGGATCACAAGGTCAGGAGTTTGAGACCAGCCTGGCCAACATGGTGAAACCGTCTCTACTAAAAATACAAAAATTAGCCAGGCATGGTGGTGGGTGCCTGTAATCCCAGCTACTCAGGAGGCTGAGGCAGGAGAATCGCTTGAACCCAGGCGGCGGAGGTTGCAGTGAGCTGAGATCGTGTCACCGCACTCCAGCCTGGGCGACAGAGTGAGACTTTGTCTCAAAAAGAAGGAAATCTTATCATTTGTAACAACAAGGATGAACCTAGAGACATTATGCTAAGTGAAATAAGCCAGGCACAGAAAGACAAATACTGCATTGATCTCACTTATATGTAGAATCTAAATAAGTCAAACTCATAAAAGTAGAGAATAGAATGGTGGTTGTGAGGACTGGGGGTATGGGGAGATGTTAGTCAAAGGGTACCAAGTTGCAGTTAGGATCAATTAGTTCCGGAGATCTGCTGTACAGCATGGTGACTATAATTAATGTATATTTATAAATTGCTAAGAGATTGATCTTAAATGTTCTCACCACACACACACACAAATAAGTATGTGAGGTGATGGATGTGTTAATTCATTTGATTTAATCATTTTACAATGTGTACATAAAACATCATGTCATACCCTGTAAATATACACAACTTTTATTTATCAGTTACACACTAATAAAGCTGGGATAAAGAAAAGAAGAAATAAATAGTATGCTGTTTTTTTTTTTTTTTTTTTTGAGACAGAGTCTGTGTTGCCCAGGCTGGAGTGCAATGGTGTGATCTTGGCTCACTGCAACCTCCACCTCCCAGGTTCAAGTGATTCTCCTGCCTCAGCCTCGGAGTAGCTGGGATTACAGGCACCTGCCATCATGCCCAGCTAATTTTTGTATTTTTGTAGAGATGGGGCTTCACCATGTTGGCCAGGCTGGTCTTGAACTCCTGACCTCAGGTGATCTGCCCGCCTTGGCCTCCCAAAGTGCTGGGATTATAGGCATAAGCCACCGAGCCCGGCTGAGGAATTCCTTCTTTTTTAAGGCAATAGTATTTGTCTTACACCGGAAAAAAAAAAAGCACAAATATTAAATTCTAGCTTGCTTTTCAAAAAATAAAAAAGAACTAATGCTGCTTGGTTTAAGCTGCTGTAAATGTTTTTACTTTTACTATAAAAAGCCTGGATTGAGTTGTAATTATTGGTTTAAGCATTTGTCTTATTCTATTAGACTGACAGCTTCTTGATGCAAGAACTTAAATTGCCTTTTGGAATTGAATAGTGAGACAAGTATCCTAATTCAGGGCAGTATTATTTTCCTGGCATGGCATTATTAGAGTACTAATATGCTACAATTTAGGATCATAGTAAACAAGGCTGGACATTCTTTTTTTTTTTTTTTTTAAGAGGTAGGGTCGGGTCTTGCTTTGTCACTCAAGCTGGAATGCAGTGGCATGATCATAGCTCACTGCAGCCTTGAACTCCTGGGCTCAAGCGATCCTCCTGCATAGATGGGACTACATGAGTGCCTCACGACACCTAGCTATGTTTAGTTTTTTGTAGAAACAGGGTCTCCCTGTGTTGCCCAGGCTGCTCTTGAATGCCTGCCCTCAATGAATCCTCCCACCTTGGCCTCCCAAAGTGCTGGAATTATAAGCATGAGCCACCAGACTGGACATTCTTTTTTTTGAGACAGCATCTTGCTCTGTCACCAGGCTGGAGTGTAGTGGCACGATCTTGGTTCACTGTAACCTCTGCCTCCCAGGTTCAAGCGATTCTCCCGCCTTAGCCTCCCGAGTAGCTGGGACTACAGGCACGCGCCACCACACTCAGATAATTTTTGTATTTTTAGTAGAGACGGGATTTCACCATGTTAGCCAGGATGGTCTCGATCTCTTGACCTCGTGATCTGCCCGCCTCAGCCTCCCAAAGTGCTGGGATAACAGGCGTGAACCGGCACGCCTGGCCTAGACTGGACATTCTTAAAACGGGAACAAGAATAGAAAATGACCCTTTGGTTTGGAGCATAGAACAGTGCTGGCATTAATCTACTCAATGTACTGTTCTGTGTCTTTACAGAACCTTCTGCAGGCAAGACTGGAAAGTCCACCCCTGGTCCCAGGCAGATGCACAAAGAAGCTGGTATAAGGGAGAGGCCTCATGAAAGTTGGAGCTGAATTTGCCATTGATGCCTAGGATTGCAACCCCTGGTATTTGTTTTATCACTTCCACTACACACAGTGCAGGAGGGCAGCCCATCCTTAGTTGGCCAGAGGTTTTACTTTAAAACCCATGGGCTAAGACACCAAACAGTTGGAACATATAGGGGAAATCATGCTTTTCCCTTCTCCCCATGCTTGTTTTGATCAAGAAGCTAGGAAACTTTCTCTTCTCCACAGTATTGAAGCGATGGCATCTGTCTTAGTCCATTTGTGTTGCTACAAAGGCTGGGTAATTAATTTATAAAGAAAAAAAGGTTTATTTGGCTCGTGGTTCTGCAGGCTGCACAAAAAGCATGCCACCAGCATCTGCATCTGGTGAGGGTCTCAGGCTGCTTTCACTCATGGGGGAAGTTGAAGGGGAGCCAGCGTGTGCAGAGATCACATGGAGAGAGAAAAAGCAAAGAGAGAGGGGAGAGGGGTGCCAGGCTCTTTTTAACACCAGTTCTCTCAGAAACTAATAGAGTGAGAACTCACCCACTCCTTCTACCATTAATCTATTCCTAAATGATCCACCCCCATTACCCAAGCATCTCTCATTAGGCTTCACCTCCAACATTGGGAATCGAATTTCAACATGAGATTTGGAGGGGACAGACATCCAAACTATCTCAGCATCCATCCTTCTCTCTGCGTACTCTGCTGACTTACTCTTCCTTGTAGAAGAAAACAATTCAGTGTGTGATCGATGAGACTAGGTGCAGGGTCACTGCACACTCACCACTCAGGCTGCCTTTGAATTCCTCTTTTGTAGATGTCTGCCCACAGGCCACGTGCCTTCTTCTCTCCTCCACTCAGCAGCAGATACAGCAGTTTCCGGCGACTATGCCTATGACCAAGGTCAAGTTCAATTCATGGAGAAAGAAATGAGAAGCCTGTTTTGGCCTTGGATCCAAGCCACCTTCTCCAGGCCAGCTTCAGTAGCAATCAAGCTGACATTTTAAACCCAGTCTGATTCCTGTGACTGTACCATTTGGTTCAGGACTCAAAAGAGAGAAGAAGATGAAGGACCTCTCAGAATCCCAACAGTATTTTACTAATCTTTGGATCCCAGCACCTCTCCTGGTGCTTGTTCTATTACAAGCCCTCAATAAATTTTGTTGTCTTGAACTCAGAGTGTGCAGCACACAGGCAGATAGCTGCTCACAGCTATTATTGGGGTGGTTGTGTTTTTTTTTCGTAACAGAACAAAGTGATTTTTGATGCTTTTCTAGTTTGTCAGAGGGCTCTGAGGCTATACAGAAGCAGCTTTAGTGAACAGAGGAGAGCGAGCTGTGTCTTTGTGCTTCACAATGATTGCAATGCCAGAGAGTGATGTCCCAGGGGAGCTGTCAAACAGCTTGACAGCAATTCTAGCAAGAAGTGGTAGAAACACAATTTTGCAATAATGATCATACGTTTTTTGAAATTTTCCTTTATCCTTGAAATGCCTTGTGTTGTCGAAAATCTATTCATTACTGTTCAGTCATCTGTAGCGAGTCATCCCTTTAGGTCTCTGTACTCGGAAGTTACAGCCCTGGGAGTATTTTGGCAGAGAGACAAAGGCTCCTAGGCACAGTGGGGGAGTCAGAAAGGTACAAGTAAATAGCGGCTCCAAGGAGTTAGATTTTTAAAAAAATAATAAAAGGACGGGAAGTGACAAGAAATCATCTTCCTCAAAGCGGCTTTAGTTTTCTAAAAGCAGGCACCATAGCTCTTTGATATTTTTACCATGCACATCTCTGGTGCTTTCATTTTCTTTTTCCTCTAATCCCTTCCATGCATTTCCTTCATTAATTATCCCTTTTCTCTCCAGGATGTTCAACTTCTCCCTGTCTCTACTGCCTCCTTCACCTCGACCTATAAACATGTACAAGTTTCTTACATCCTCAGAAACTTCCAGCTACCCTCAAATGCTCACTCTCTTCCCTTCTCTTTGTAGCCAAGAGACGAGCCTATTCCAGTGCTACCCAAAGCATGGTCTGCAGACCAGCAGCACCAGCATCCCAGGGAAGCCAGATTTGAAATGCAGTTCTCACGCTCACCCAGACCTACTGAATCCGAATCTCTGTGGGTGGGGTCCAAGAATCTGTTTCAACACACTCTCCAGGTGATGCTTAGGCACACGGGGGTCTGAGAAGCACTGCCTCTACTTCCTGTCTCTGGTCACCACTTTGGGCGATCTTCCTCTGTCCCTTTAAGGTGTGCACCTTCCCCAGGGCTCTGTCCTGGGCCTTGGCTTCATTGCACTCAATCATTTCCCTACGTGATCTCATCCACCAAAGGTTGATTTGGTTATTTGTGTGTTTTAACATAGGTTTATACCAGTGGTTCTCAAATTTATGTCTCTATCCCAGACCTCTTTCTCTGAGCCCTAAGAATGTCCAGTTGCTTTCTGGACTTGTTTACCAAAATGTTGCACAGTTCTCTAAACTATGTCTAAAACCAACTTAGTATCTCCTAAACCCACTCTGCATCAATGTCAATAATCTGGGTTGTGTGACAGCTTTGCCACCCCCTTGGCGCCTGCCACCCTGGGATCCAGCTACACCCACTGCCTTTATGCTTCCCAGTTCACTGACTGAAGTGCACACCACAAGGTCTGGCCTATAGACAAGAGCAATCACAGAGCTCTTCAAGGATGCCAGGGCACCCCTCATATATTTATTTCTCACATTCTTGATGAAATGTATGCCTTCTAGACCCTCCCAGGGTGGGTGAGTAGGCCTCAAATGACAATTGCACTGTAACTGCCAGTCCCTTAAGTCTTTGAATCCCTTCCTCCACATTAAACCAAGACATGTCCACCATCTCCAGTTCACTCACGTGGACCACCTTTGAGTCTATGTTTCAGCCAGCCAACCAACCAATCAGATTCAACACTTCCTTTTTTCTTCTTTTTTTTTTTTTTTTTGAGATGGAGTCTCACTCTGTCACCCAGGCTGGAGAGCAGTGGCATGATCTTGGCTCACTGCAACCTCCGCCTCCCAGGTTCAAGCGATTCTCCAGCCTCAGCCTCCCAAGCAGCTGGGATTACAGGCGTGCACCACCGCACCCAGCTAATTTTTGTATTTTTAGTAGAGATGGGGTTTCACCATGTTGGTCAGGCTGGTCTCGAACTCCTGACCTCAAGTGATCTGACCGCCTTGGCCTCCCAAAGTGCTGGGATTACAGGCATGAGCTGCCGCGCCCAGCCAGATTCAACATTTTCTAACGCCCAAAGCTGCAACGCTAAATGGAGAATCCCTGCTTAGTGAGCCCATGTCAAAACATTCAGCCCCATCCAACTTTATGTTCCTTCCACCTACTGGGTGAAGTGTCAGAGCCCCAGCATCAGAAAGTGGTCAGCTCATGGGTAGTAGGGTAGTAAGAAGAATTTACTGACAACAGTATAGGTTAGAAAAAGACAGTTTTATTAGATAGAAGAGTGTAGCTGGGCACTACTGCAAGAGAGGACCGAGCGTGCTGCAGTGGACTTTTCCTTAGGGGTATTTATGAATCTTAAAGAGGGAGCTTAACGGTAATTGGACTATACTGACCACAGAGGTCATGATACATGATTACATTTGTAGACATTTTGGTGCCTTGATGTCAGCAAGTGTTGCACGATGAGTTTCGACATGCATGCATTCTGGAGATGTATAGAAATTCTAGTTATTTATACATTTTGGAGAAAGCAGCCCATACCAGATGCCTGCTTTAGATCATAGGGAATCTCTTATTTCTAAATCCCTCAGCTGAGGAGTTTGGCCTCTGGATGGACTGTTTGGTGCCTCTCCCAGGTGATCTTTGCTCTCCTCACCACCATTATCCCACACTCATAGTATCCATTCCCATACACATTCCCTGAATTTCTGTCTGTAGAAATTTAAAAAGTCAAGTAGTTCAGTGGAGTGCAGCACACCTCTTATGGGCCAGTCACACAGTGTACCTCATCTTCAGGGGCTGCTGGACTGAAGTCTAACAAAGAGGAGTGGTGGGGTGGGTCCTGAGGAGTTCAACATTGTGTTGCTCAGCACCTGCCTCAGGGGAGGCCATTACTATTTCCTCAGGCAATGCAGGCTTCATCCTCTCAGAGGTGGAAAGACCAATACCACTGAGGGTTGGGAATGCCACTGTTGCTGGGGTTGTTGGGAAGCAAAGGTGGGAGTGCTCCTTCACTGATAAAGGAGACATCAGAATTTAGGGGCTCAATGTCCTCAGCTTTATCAAAGTTTTCCCAAACATCCCCATCCCAACTTGCAAGATCCCATTCTTTCCCAATTAATGCTCTCACTTTAACTGCACATAGCCTGCAAAGCTGTGAGTTCAACTTGCGTTGTAATTCAGCCACTTGCAGGATGAGGTTCTGCATTTGACTTTCAGCAATTTCCGCCCTTCTGTACAGTAAATAAAGGTCTCCCTCAGGGCACACATAAAAGTTCCTAGGTCATTTTTGTGGTGCATGAACTAGGAATGTGAATCCCTGACCTCATCCTTTCCTTCCACCAGCATGACATTAGGGTTCCAACCAACATCATTATATTCATTCATTTTCCAAAATGTTCGAAAGTATCATATATAAGCCAGGCATGGTGGCTCACACCTGTAATCCCAGCATTTTGGGAGGCCAAAGTGGGAGGATCACTTGAGCCCAGGAGTTTGAGAACAGCCTGGGCCACATGGCAAGACCCTTGTCTCTAAAAAAAAAAAGCTGGGCAAAGTGGCACATACCTGTAGTCCCAGCTACTCAGGAAGCTGATGTGGGAGGATCACTTGAGCCTAAGCAGTCAAGGCTGCAGTGAGCCATGATTGTGCTACTGCACTCCAGCTGGGGTGACAGAGTAAGACTCTACCTCAGAAAACAAACAAACAAACAAACAAAAGGTATCATATATAACATTACTGAGCTCATTGATTCTATAGTTGGTTGATTAGGAGTATCCAACACAGTATTCTGTGTATCTCTACAAACAGCTCACGTTATGGACTATTAGCACTCTTTTTACTACTGGAAATACAGTCATTAGTGCCTTTAAATCTAATCAGATTAGAGAGCCAATTCTAGAAACCCCAGAACCAGTTCAGAAAATTCATCCTTAAAATTCTGCTCCTCTAGAAGCACTCTCAGTGCCAAAATCTATACAAAGTTTTCCAGAGAAACAGAACAAGAAGGAGATATCTCTATATATAGATAGACATAGAGATATCTCCAGATATCTCCTTCTGGTCCTGTATATAGATAGATACAGAGAGCTAGTCTCATCCACAAACACTCTCAAAGACACAATGAAAAAGAGAGAGGGATTGATTAATTGTAAGGAATTGACTCACACGATTATGGATAGTAAGTCCCATGACCAGCCTTTCTGTAAGCCAGAGACCCAGGAAAGCTCATGGTATAATTAAGTCTGCATCCAAAGTCCTGAGAACCAGGGAACCAACGGTGTGTAAATCCCAGTCTGGAGATGTTCCAGCTCAAGCAGGCAGGCAGGAAACCAAAACAGGGCAAACTCCTTCTTCCTCTGCCTTTTGTTCTCTTCAGGCCCTCCATCGATCAGATGATGCCTGCTCACATTAGGGAAGGCAATCTACTTTACAGAATCCAATGTCAATCTTAGCCAGAAACACCCGCAAAGACACATCAGGAAATAATGTTTATTCTGGGTATCCCATGGCTAGTCAAGTTGACAGATAAAATTAACCATTTCATGGGCATATGACTAAACTGAGCAACCACACAGTGATGAAAATGCCTGCTAAAAGGAAGAGTGTCATCTATACAGTTTTGAAGTTCTCTAGAATTCTGCTTACTCTATTAGTCCATTTTCAGGTTGCTGATAAAGACATACCCAAGACTGGGTAATTTATAAAGAAAGAGGTTTAATGGACTCACAGTTCCATGTGGCTGAGGAGGCCTCACAATCGTGGTGGAAGGCTAAAGGCACATCTTACATGGCCACAGGCAAGAGCAAATGAGAGTTTGTGCAGGGAAACTCCCCTTTATAAAACCATCAGATCTCTCTATCTCAAGAACTGCACAGGGAAGACCCACCCCCCGATTCAATTACCTCCCACCGGGTCCCTCCCATGACACGTGAGAATTGTGGAAGCCACAATTCAAGATGAGATTTGGATGGGGACACAGCCAAACCATATCGGTTACCTTTCTAGGTTTTAGGTCAATTTCAAGATGCATACATCACCACCAAGCAACTACACAGCAAATATACTCAGTCCGTGATTCTGAAACATGGGCATGCATCAGAGTCACCTGGGTGGCTTGTTACAATGCAGATTTCTAGGGTCCACCCCTAGAGTTTCTGATTTAGTCGGTTTTGGATGGGACCTGAGATTTCCTAGTGCTAACAAATCCCCAGGTGATATTGATGCTGATCAAAGGAATACACTTTGAGAACCAGTAAATTCAAGAGTACAATTGCTACACCTGACAATCTTCACAGCCAAGAGAAGCTAATCTGATCTCCCTTAATAAAACCATATTATTTTTTTTCTTTCTCCCCCCGCCCCCCCACCCCGAGAAGGAGTCTCGCTCGGTTGCCCAGACTGGAGTGCAGTGGCACGATCTCGGCTCACTGCAAGCTCCGCCTCCTGGTTTCATGCCATTCTCCTGCCTCAGCCTCCCGAGTAGCTGGGACTATAGGTGCCCACCACCATGCCCGGCTAATTTTTTTGTATTTTTAGTAGAGACAGGGTTTCACCATGTTAGCCAGGATGGTCTCGATCTCCTGACCTCACGTGATCCACCCACCTTGGCCTCCCAAACTGCTGGGATTACAGGCGTGCACCAAACGCTCCTGGCCAGAAAACCATATTCTAAGGAAAGCAAACAGTTATCACAATTACACACTTCAGCAACCTCCATCTCCTCTTTGCTACTTAAGGGATGAAAACATCAACTGTGTATGTAAAAGTTAAATGTTGGGAAAGCGGAGGAACATAAGTTTTTGTTTTGTTTGTAGAGACAGGGTTCTCATTATGTTACCCAGCCTTGTCTCAAACTCCTGGGCTCAAGCACTTTACCTGCCTTAGCCTCCCAAATGAGTTCTAACACTTTAAATTCTGTTCATCTCTGAAAAAATCACTGCAAGGCTGAATTCACCGTACGATAAAGAAATCATGCCCACAATGTTATTTTTCTAGGGTTCCCTTTTCCTCACAAAGTGGTGCCAGTGGAAAGCAGCATTTCAGTAACTCCTACCTTTATCCTAGTTTAGTGACTGATGCATTAACATGGGGTGAGTTTGATTAAAGGGGGCAGCCAACATTTACAGGTACAATTAAAATAGGAGCTATGGGCTGGGCATGGAGGCTCATGCCTGTAATCCCAGCACTTTGGGAGGCGAAAGCAGGTGACCACCTGAGGTCAGGAGTTCAAGACCAGCCTGGCCAACATGGTGAAACCCCATCTCTACTAAAAACACAAAAATTAGCCAGGCATGGTGGCACACACCTGTAATCTCACCTACTCCAGAGGTTGAAGCACAAGAATCGCTTGAACTCAGGAGGCAGAGGTTGCCGAAATCTTGAGAGGTTGCGGAGGAGAGAGTGAGCAGAGATCGTGACACTGCACTCCAGCCTAGGCAACAGAGAGAGAGTCGGTCTCAAAAAAAAAAAAAAAAAAAACAAAAAACAAAACATAAAAATAAAATTAGGCCAGGCACAGTGGCTCATGCCTGTAATCCCAGCACTTTGGGAGGCCAAGGTGGGCATATCACCTGAGGTCAGGAGTTCAAGACTAGCCTAGCCAACATGGTGAAACTCCGTCTCTACTAAAAATACAAAAAATTAGCTGGGCGTGGTAGCACACACCTGTAATCCCAACTACTGGCGAGGCAGAGGCAGGAGAATCGCTTCAACCCGGGAGGCGGAGGCTGCAGTGAGCCAAGATTGTGCCACTGCACTCCAGCCTAGGTGACAGAGCAAGACTCCGTCTCAAAAAATAAATTAATTAAAAAAAAAAAACAGAAGCTATGGTGCTATCAGGAAAGGGAGTAAAGATTTGCTCTCATTCTATTCTCTCCTTTATGTTTCAGACAGTTGAAGGGACTACCCAAATACCAAAATGATATTGAGGAGGAGGCACTTTGTGATGGCTAATTTTATGTGTCAGCTTGATTGGGTCAGGAGTGTCCAAACATTGGGTCAGACGTTATTCAGGTGTCTGGGGATGACATTAACATTGGAATCGAGAGACTGAGTAAAGCCTGCTGTGCTTGGGCCTCATCCAAACAGTTGAAGACCTGACTAGAACAAAATGGCTGAGTATGAAAGAACTCCTGCCTCACTGTTGAGCATCACAGTTGACATCAGCTGTTTCCTGCCTTTAGACTTGAACTGAGACATCGCTTCTTCCTTCTGACTTGAACTGAGACATCACCTCTTCCTTCAGACTTGCACGGACACATCAGCTCTTCTTGAGTCTCAAGCCTGCTGGTTTTCGAACTAGAATTTACATCACCAGCCCTTCTGGGTCTCCAGCCATCCAACTGCAAATCCTGGGACTTGTCAGCCTTCATAATTGTGTGAGTCAATTCTATACTAAATCTTTATACACTCACATACTCTGTTGGATCTGTTTCTCTGGCAATCCCTTAATACAGAACTGGACCAAAAATTCCTTCTAAATCACTGTTTGCTGCCTTAATTTCTACCTCACTAAAAATTAGCACTATTCCTAGCAACCTGTCTCAAAGTCCCCCATCTCCCCCCAACCTTTTTTTTTTTGAGACAGAGTCTCACTCTGCTGCCTAAGCTGGAGTGCAGTGGTGCAATCTCAGCTCACTGCAATCTCTGCCTCCCTGGCTCAAGCGATCCTTCTGCCTCAGCTCCCCAAGTAGCTGGGACCACAGGCACACAACATCATGCCCAGCTAGTTTTTGTATTTTTGGTCGAGACGGGGTTTTGCCATGTTGCCCAGGTTGCTCTCAAACTCCTGGGCTCAGGTGATCCACCTGTATCAGCCTCCCAAAGTGCTCAGATCACAGGCATAAGCCACTGCACCCGGCCTCAAAGTCCCTTTAAAGGACATCTGCAACCTGGCATCTCAGTACAGGTGATTCAGATTCAATGACTCAGTGGTGATTTCAGCCCTGTTGTGCCATCAGCCCTGGGAGTGAAGCCAAGGTTGAGGCTTGCTGAAAGTGGAACGCATGTTCATTTAGACACCCATTGTAATATTCTGGGTGATGCTAATTTTTCTTGCTTAATATCAGAGAACAGAGAAGTTAGAGATGATATCAAAAATGGAAACAACATGTACAGTCCCCATAATTTGTGAATTATGGGGACAGATTCCATTTCTGTCTTTTGTCTTGAGCTTCTATGTGAGCTACTACAAAAATGACAGGGCTTTCTGCCCTCCATTTCCCCCTTAGTTTGCACAACACACACACCCCTTCTCAAACTTCTGAAAGCTCTCAGACATACTTTTGAAAGTAAAGAGGCTATAGAGGACATATCAATTTATCTAATAGAGTAATAGCATTATGCAGGAAATGGTAACTTGAAGAGAAGCATTTGATAGGCATGAAAGAGCAGCAAAGCTGCATAGCATTAACACCCCACTCCACTTTAAGTACTGATGTAGGTAACTGCTGCAATAATTATGCCATTAAGAAAGAGTGTTCCAATGGCCTTGATACATGCTACCATCGGAATAAAGTTAGGACATTTTCCTTATAGTTAGTGCAGTGCGAATTGAAGAAGACCAAGAAATGCTTTTCAGAGTAAGAGAGGTACCATAAAGGGCCTCAGAGATTTGCTTCTATCAGGCCAGGCACAGTGACTTATGCCTGTAATCCCAGTATTTTGGGAGGCCAAGGCAGGTGGATCACTTAAGGTCAAGAGTTTGAGACCAGCCTGGCCAACATGGTGAAACCCTGCCTCTACTAAAAATACAAAAATTAGCTGGGCATGGTGGCACACACCTGTAGTCCCAGCTACTCAGGAGGCTGAGGCAGGAGAATTGCTTGAACCCAGGAGACGGAGGTTGCAGTGAGCTGAGATCATGCCAATGCACTCCAGCCTGGGCAACACAGTAAGACTCTGTCTCAAAAAAAAAAAAAAAAGAGATTCTATCAAAGGAGGCAGGGGTATGCTATTGGTTACTGGTGCATATTAGATGCTTGCCAGATGCCAAGCCTAGGTAAACTTGTACACTAGCCATGATATGAGAAGTATGTTGGGGCTGATGCTGGCTTCAGGAGATCTACATGGTGTGAGTCTGGATCAATAAAATGTGAAAATTAATGGTAGCTTCCATTTAGTGAATAATAACATCAATAGTTAACAACTCTGGGCTAGGCACAGTGGCTCACGCCTGTAATCTCAGCATTTTGGGAAGCCGAGGCAGGCAGATCAACTGAGGTCACAAGTTCGAGACCATCCTGGCCAACATGGGGAAACCCCGTCTCTACTAAAAATACAAAAATTAGCCAGGCATGGTGGTGGGCACTGTGGCTGTAATCCCAGCTACTGGTGAGGCTGAGGCAGGAGAATTGCTTGAACCTGGGACGCGGAGGTTGCAGTGAGCCGAGATTGCACCACTGCACTCCAGCCTGGGTGACAGAGTGAGACTCTGTCTCAAAAAAAAAAAAAAAAAAAAAAAAAGTAACAACTCTGGAAAGAAAGTATTCTTTGTCTTTTCTTTTTTCTTTTCTTTTTTTTTTTTTTTTGAGACAGGACCTCATATTTTGTTGGAGTGCACTGGTGCAATCATACCTCACTGCAGCCTTGAACTCCTGGGCTCGAGCAATCCTCTCACGTCAGCCTCACAAGTAGCTGCCACTACAAGTGCATGCCACCATGCCCGAATAATTTTTTCAGTTTTATTTTGTAAAGACAATGTCTCAGCATCTTGCCCAGGCTGGTCTTGAACTCCTGGACTCAAGAGATTCTCCCACCTCAATCCCCCAAAGTGCTAGGATTACAGGCGTGAGTCACTGAGCTTGCCCAGGCTGCTTTTGAACTCCTAGACTAAAGAGATTCTGCTGCCTCAATTCCCCAAAGTGTTGGGATGACAGGTGTGAGCCACCACGCCCAGCCAAGGGAAGAAAATATTCTTTTTTTTTTTTTTATACTTTAATTTCTAGGGTACATGTGCACAATGTGCAGGTTTGTTACATATGTATACATGTGCCATGTTGGTGTGCTGCACCCATTAACTCGTCATTTACATTAGGTATATCTCCTAATGCTGTCCCTCCCCCCTCCCCCCACACCAAGGGAAGAAAATATTCTTAAGTGACCTGCCCAAAGTCATACAGCTAATAAGTGGCAGAGACAAGATCTGAACCTAAGTGCTTCTGATTCCAAAGCCTGGGCTTAAACACAATTTGATTCTGCTTGCCAAAGCATTACAGCTGAGTAAGCTTTAAGGAAACCTCACCAATCGGAACCATGCAAAATAAAGAAATATCAGAGGCCTGAGCTATCAAGTCCAGTGAGGAGGGTAGCCACTTGGCCAAGAGGCCCAGTATTGAACAGAAATATTCACAGTACCTTGAATGAAGGAGGGGCCAACAGTGACTCCTGGTCCTTGACCAAACTTGAGTCAGGCTCCTCTGAATGCTCTTCTTGACCAGGCCTCATCCTTGGCCTGCTGAATCTGGTTCTGCAAGAATCCCCCACCCTTGTTACTTTACCAAGTTCCTTGCATTACTTTTCCATCCACTGGCCCCTGCACCTTGTCCATTGTCTACAAATCCCCAGCTGCCACTGTTATATTCAGGGTTGAGTCTTGACCCCCAATGCAATAGTCTTGAAAAAAGTTTTCTTTGCCTACTTAACTTGTTCAGCGCAATTTTTCTCTGACAGGTAAACAATGAGGGAGCTCCATTAGCACAACCAGAGTCTTTCATCCTTGCCGCCCCAGAGGATCTGGTGTCTGGGTCAACAGACTGACCAGCACAGGAAGCTCCCACACCTTCAAGTTGAGTCTGCCAGAGGACTCTCCAGGTTGCATTGCTGTGGGGACCTTTATGCAAGGTAAGGAGACAAACCAGGGAGTCGAAGGCAGGAGGAGAGGACTGGAATACAATTTTAAGAAAGGAGTGGCTGGGGCTGGGCGTGGTGGCTCATGCCTGTAATCCCAGCGCTCTGAGAGGCCGAGGCAGGCAGATCACCTGAGGTCAGGAGTTCGAGACCAGCCTGGCCAACATGGTGAAACCCCATCTCTACTAATAATACAAAATTAGCTGGGTGTGGTGGCATGTGCCTGTAATCCCAGCTACTGGGGAGGCTGAGGCACAAGAATCACTTGAACCCAGGAGGCGGGGGTTGTAGTGAGCCAAGATCACGCCACTGCACTCCAGCCTGGGCGACAGAGTGAAACTCTGTCTCAAATAAAAAAAAAGAAAGAAAAGAAAAGAGTGGCTGGGCGTAAGCACGCCTATAGTCCCAGCACTTTGGGAGGCCAAGGTGGGAGGATTGCTTAAGTCCAGGAGTTTGAGACCAGCCTGGGCAACATAGTGAGACTCCATCAAAAAAAATTAGCCAGGCTTGGTGGTACACGCCCATGGTCCCAGCTATTCAGGAGGCTGAGGCAGGAGGATCACTTGAGCCCAGTTGTTTGAGAATGTAGGAAGCCATGATCATGCCACTGCAGTCCAGCCTGGGTGACAGAGTGAGACATTGTCTAAAAACAAAAAGAAAGAAGGAAGGAAGGAAAAGAAAAGAAAAGAAAAGAGACAGCAAGAAAGCAAGAAAGAACCTTCCGGAGTTTAAACTGATGCACTGAGTACCTAAGATCTCTCTCATCTCCCATTCAAGGACCCATTGAAATGATGAAAAAGGCATTTTGAAAAAGAGTGAAATAATAAGAGGCGCAAAAAGAAAGGCTGCCATCAGCAGGCAAGAAATCTTAAAAACTCCTGGAGGGCAGAAAGCATTAGGATGAGATTGACAAAGAAGCAGACAAGAAAACCACAGATTCAAACGCCACCAGGAAGGCCAGATCTTGAAAAGAAGTCCATGGAAGCTTCTAACTGGATGACGCCAGACAGAAGGCACAGAAGTGCACCATGGCAATCATTAGGATAATTCATTAAAGCTGGGAGAGTTGGGACTGCCAGTGTCTTAAACACATTCAGCTTTTGCCCTCCAGCTAAACATAGAAAACCTATCCAGAAAAGAATAAAAAAGCGTACTTGGTAATTAAGGTATGATTACAGGGCATAAGAAAAAAAATCAGATGGCAGGACTGCCTTCCTTAGAATGTACACAAGTAGGACAGGCACAGTGGCTCATGCCTGTAATCCCAGCACTTTGGGAGGTTGAGATGGACGGATTGCCCGAGCCCAGGAGTTTGAGCCATGGGCAACATGGTGAGACCGCATCTCTACAAGAAATACAAAAATTAGCTTGGTGTGGTGCCATGTGCCTGTAGTCCCAACTACTTGGGAGGCTGAGGTGGGAGGATCACTTGAGCCCAGGAGATTGAGGCTGTAGTGAGCCATGACCACACTCCAGCCAGGGTGACAGAGCAAGACCCTGTCTCAAAAAAAAAAAAAAAAAAAAAGTAAACAAGTGACGACTGAGCTTGAGATATGAAAGTAAAGGTGGCCAGACGTGGTGGCTCACGCCTATAACCCCAGGACTTTGGGACGCCTAGGTGGGTGGATCACCTGAGGTCAGGAGTTTGAGACCAGCCTGGCTAACATGGCAAAACCCCGTCTCTACTAAAAATACAAAAATGAGTCAGGCATGGTGGTGGCAGGCAACTGTAATCTCAGCTACTCGGGAGGCTGAGGCATGAGAATCACTCTAACCTGGGAGGTGGAGCCTGCAGTGAACTGATGTCACACCATCGCACCCCAGTCTGGGCGATAGAGTGAGATACCCTCTCAAAAAAAAAAAAAAAAAAAAAAAAAAGTAAAGGAAAACTTTCAGAATAAAAAGGAAACAGACAAAAATAGGTAAATGTGAGAGAAAAGGCTCAAGGGTGATAGAGTCAGGTAGTCCAATATTCCTTTCATAGGAATTCCAAAGGAGACAAAGAAGGAAGGGGAGGAAATCATCAAAGATATGAGAGAAAAAGACCCTGAGCTGAAGAGGAACTCATCTTCAGATTACAATGTCCACTGACTGCTGTACAGAGTGAATTAAAAAAGACCTAATGGTGTTGCATTCTTGTGAAATTTCAGAACGCTGGGCAATTTTGAAAGCTTCCGGGGGGAGATGTATATAAAAAGGAAAGGAAAGGGAATTAAACTGCCATCAAATTTCATCAACAATACTGGTTGCTGGAAGACAATGGAACAATATCTTCAAATGCCTGGGGAAAGGAATATCTTGAACTCTGGATTCTATAAAGAATCATCCGACACAGTTCAAGAATCAATATGAAAAAAAATATTGAGACCTGTCAAAACTCACATTGTTTACCACCACTCATTCCACGTGAAAAAAGTACTTTAGGTGTTTGCTTACTCAAAATGAAAAAAGACCCCAGAGGCCGGATGCAGTGGCTCACGTCTGTGAGCCATGATCACGTCACTTCACTCCAGCCTGGGTGACACAGCAAGACCCTGTCTCAAACAAACAAACAAACAAACAAACAAAGATGGAAAGAAAGATTCTGTCTCTGCCCATGCACTCACCAAGGGAAGGCCACATGGGCACACAATGACAGGCAGCCACCTGCAAGCCAGGGAGAGGGTCCCTACCAGAATGTGACCATGCTGGCACCCTGATCCCAGACTTCCATCCTCCAGAATGGTGAGAAAATAAATGCCGGCTGTTGAAGCCACCCAGCCTGCTGTGGTATTTTGTTAGGGCAGCCCAAGCAGACCATGACAGCCCGCCAAATCCGGGTCTTTCTCTCTGCTCATTCTGTAACCCACTGCCTGTCAACTGTGTCTTCACCAATAGTCATTCCGTCACTGGTGAAGAAGGTGTCACCTGGTCAGGGCCCACGTGTATTTTCAAAAGATAAAGAGACAGCAATGTTTTCTCACTTATTTTCTTCCTCTTTTCCCAGGAGTCTATTCACTTCGTAACGCCTGTCTAACTGAGCAGCCAAATTTAGCCTGCCGCCAGCAATGGCAGCCTCCTCAGCCCTGCCCCAGAGAGGAAAACTGAGAGACACCAGCCTCTGCCTGAAACTGTCTTGCTGAGGGGAGGTTTGAGAACGCTGTCTTGTAAAGTGGAAGAGATTAGGGGTTTCAAAGAATAGTGGTCTTCAGGCCAGGCACAGTGGCTCACACCTGTAATTCCAGCACTTTGGGAGGCTGAGGTGGGCGGATCACTTGAGGTCAGGAGTTCGAGACCAGCCTGGCCAACATGGTGAAACCTCGTCTCTACTAAAAATTTAAAATTTAGCTGGGTGTGGTGGTGTGCACCTGTAATTCTAGCTACTCAGGAGGCTGAGACAGGAGAATTGCTTGAACCCAGGAGGTGGAGGTTGCGGTGAGCCAAGATCACGCCACTGTACTCTAGCGTGGCGACACAGCGAGACACCATCACAAATAAAAATAAAAGAATAATGGTCTTCAAATGGAGGTATAAGAACACTTCCTCTTCAGTACAAGGGCACCAACAGTTTGAAAGGAATTGATTTCCAGGCCCGCTTTTCTGCAACTGATCTGCCTGAGCCCTTGCCTGCGAGGGAGGGGCAGGGTCTTACTTTCCCCAGTAGCCCTTTTCTACTTTATAAAAAGAAGAGGACACCCCTTACCCATCCTAATCTTACCATGGCATGTTTCCTGGGGCACCAAACCCAATCCTGGTATTAGTGCTGAACCAACATATAACCACAAGGACTGAGTAAAATTTGCTTTTGCAAAGTCAGGGGCTTTCCAACATTTTTCCTTTCCCTCAAGCCTAAGGAGATCTCATTGAATTGCATGTGGATAGAGCATTAAAAATTATTTTTGACGATAAATCAGCATAGGGTTTTTGGCTCAGAATGAGCTCAAAGAATTAACTGATAGTACGGTAATACAATTATTTCCATTTCTATCTACTTTTTAATTTTTTGGAGACAGGGTTTCACTCTGTCTTCCAGGCTAGAGTGCAGTGGCACAATCGTGGTTCACTGCAGCCTCAAACAACTGGGCAATGGTGCAATCGCAGCTCAGCTCACTGCAGCCTGGACCTCCTGGGTTCAAGGAGCTCCCACCTCAGCCTCCCCAGTAGCTGGGACCACAGGCACGTGCCACCACGCCTGGCTAATTTTTGTATTTTTTAGAGACAGGATTTCACCATGTTGCCCAGGCTGGTCTCGAACCCCTGGACTCTAATTATCCACCCGCCTTGGCCTCCCAAAGTGCTGGGATTACAGACGTGAACCACCAAGCCTGGCTCTACTTTTTATACAAACAGGTTTCCTCTGCAGTGTCATGGAGAAACAGAATTGATTCTAGCAGTGAGTAGGAACCAAACCTAGACACATAAACTAACTGGAGAAAAAGGCCAACTGTCCCATTAAGGAAGATATTTCTAACTTAAATCTAACTCCCTATTTAATAGGACTTATTCATTGGAAATACATATTGTTGTTTTGGCCAATTTGTATTACTACTACTGATGACAACTTCATCAGAAGAAATGATTAAACGCTTGTTCAATGGTCACAGGAAATAAAAATATCAATATAGGTCTATACTTTTTGTGCAGTATGATAGGGTGACCAGCAAAAGACTTTCAAGGATAAAAATATATGTGAGGAAAAGCTGTGTGGGAAGTGGAATGGAAATTCAAATTTAGAAAAAAAAATGATATAACATTTCTTATGTTTCAAGGAGAGCTTGTCCAGGTATTATTTTAATGGATGATGGCAGGAATCAAACACGATGAGATTCCTTTGTATACCATCAAAAAAAATAATAATGTAACAGGTTTCTGTGCATGCGTAGGTTACACTCATATATACACATACATCTATACACATATTTAAGGACCTATTATTTACCCTCTATAGTTTATATAAGTATATATTTTATATTGTATTATATATTTATACTTTTCATATTTAATATTGTTTATGTAATATGTGAAACAATATGTAATATATACATTTATATTTTATCTTTTATTTTAATTTTTTTTTTGAGAAGGAGTTTCACTCTGTTGCCCAGGCTGGAGTGCAGTGGCGCAACCTTGGCTCACTGCAACCTCTGCCTCCCGGGTTCAAGCAATTTTCCTGCCTTAGCCTCCTGAGTAGCTGGGAGTACAGGTGCCTGCCACCACAACCAGCTAATTTTTTTTTTGTATTTTTAGTAGAGGCGGGGTTTCACCATGTTGGCCAGGCTGGTCTGGAACTCCTGACCTCAAATGATCCACCCACCTCGGCCTCCCAAAGTGCTGGGATTACAGGCATGAGCCACCTCACCTGGCCTACATATATAATTTATATAACATACAGCCTTAATATCAATACATATGTATACTATATATATATGTGTGTTTATATACGCCCCAACATATATATATTCATGTTAAGGCTTTATATTTAGGTATGTGTATTTAGATATTTTTTATTATGTATACATATACTTATCTATTCATATGCATATATGCATTTGTATTTATGCTAAAGCTTTATATAATACATATATTGTGTGTATATGTGTGTGTGTATATATATATATAAAACATAAAGCTCATATACATAAAGCCTCAACATGAATATGCTCTGATTGTGATGAGATTATACAGCTGTATACAATGACCAAAATTATCAAATTATACACTTCAAATTGGTAGACTTTATTGTATGTAAACAATAGAAACAAACAATCACACCTGTAATCCCAGCACTTTGGGAGGCTGAGGCGGGCGGATCACGAAGTCAGGAGATCGAGACCATCCTGGCTAACACGATGAAACCCCGTCTCTACTAAAAATACAAAAAATTAGCCTGGCGTGGTGGCAGGCACCTGTAGTCCCAGCGACTTGGGAGGCTGAGGCAGAAGAATAGCGTGAACCCGGGAGGCGGAGCTTGCAGTGAGCAGAGATCGCGCCACTGCACTCCAGCCTGGGCAACAGAGCAAGACTCTGTCTCAAAAAAAAAAAAAAAAAAGAAACGAACAAAAGAGAGGAAAACTTTCCCCATTAAAATAGCAATAGCAAAAAAAAAAAAAAAAAAAAAAAAAAAGCCAAAAATCGGAATAGAGGGCTATTTCCTTAGCATGGGATAAGTAAGTAATATTGTACGTGCCTATGTGAGGCACACAGAATAGTGAGAATCAAAGGCAGAGAGTGGAGTGGGAGTTGCCGGGGGATGGGGAATGGAGAGTTAGTATTTAGTGGGTACAGAGTTTCAGTTTTACAAGATGAAAAGAGTTCTAGAGAAGGATAGTGGTGATGGTTGCACAAGATTATGAATGTATTTAATACCACTGAACTGTACACTTAAAAGTGATTAAGATGATAAATTGTGTTATGTATATTTTAACACAATAAAAATTGGGAGTGTGTGTATGTGTATATATATATGTCTGTGTGTACACACACACATATATATAATTGGGAGTGTGTGTGTATATACAGTATGTGTATGTTTGTATGAGAGCTTAACGTACATACACTTGTGTACATGTCTACCTAACAACTTTTTTTTTTTTTTGGAGACAAGGTCTCACTGCTCTGTCGCCCGGGCTGGAGTGCCGCAGTGCAATCACAGCTCACTGCAGCCTCAACCTCCCTAGCTCAAGCAATCCTCCCACCTCAGCCTTGTAAGTAGCTGGTACTACAGGTGTACACCACTACACTGGGCTAATTTTTTAAATTTTCTGTAGTGATGAGGTCTTGGTATGTTACCCAGGCTGGTCTCAAACTCCTGGCCTCAACCGATCTTCCTGCCTTGGCCTCCCAAAGCACTGGGATTACAGGCATGAGCCGCTGTACCCGGCCCAACTTTATTTTTTAAACTAAGTTGAGTGTCAATATTGACAATATTCTGTAAAACATATCCTTACAACTATTTAAACGTATAGTAAAATGTTGCATGTAGATTGTCAACATGCGAGGGGGCATGCAATTTTACAAAGTTCTTTCAGGGGATATTCAAGCCAAAGAGTGTGAAAACCCCTGGACCCCCAGGCAGAATTAGACACAGGGGAGACTCCAGTACAGTGGCAACTGAGACAACAAAGAAACACTGAGGACATTTTCACTACCAGGATATAGGCAAACGAAACTGCAATGATGTCATGTTTGCATATGTGGCAGATACAAAAAGCTTAAAAGCAGCTCTTTGTTCTCTTGCTGAGTTTGGGGCAGGCACTGGCACAAATTGAGGAAAGTAAGTGACAGGACCGGCAGCAATTAGACTTGCTGATGTTGGGGCGACCCTGGGGTTGCATCTGGGAAACCGACACCCGGATCCAGGATAGAAGCTGACATAGAAGTAAGCAAAACTGCTGTAGGCCCCGGTCAAGGGCTCTCCTCTCAGGATTCCTCCCATAACTACCTGAAACAAGGATTTGGAATACCTTGACTTTGGAGAGAGAAATCGAAATCAGTTCAACTGAACTCTAATCAGGCGTGAGAATCCTCTTGTCATTCAAGTTTAATTGGCTTAATCTCCCAAATGATACTGAAGGCAGTAGTAGTTCTTATGCTCCTAGGGTGCAGTATTATATTATTTATAAATGCAGACACTTCAAAAGCAATAAAACACTTGGCCCTTGCTCTCAATAAACTTGCCCTCTAACTGGGAGGACAGCATCCAAATGGAAAAAAAAAAAAATGAAGAACAGTTCAAAGCAACATATAAGAAGTATGTAATAATCCCCCAAGAGAAACAAAGACTGCATTGCATACTTTCCCAGTAGAAGTACAAATTGGCACAGCACCCCATGGAGGGAAGTGGGCCACAGAGATCAGAATTACAAATGAGTATCTCCTTTGACCTGGTAATTTAACTTCTGGGAATTTATCCTTCAGCCGTACTTAGGAAATAACATATACTCTAAGTTACTCACTGTAGCATTGCTCAAAATAACAAAAGATTGGAAAGAAGGCAAATATCCTTGAGTAGAAGACTGATGAAATACATTGTGCTACATACATACGATGGAATATTTCGAAGGTATAAAAGTGCATGAGGAGGGCCGGGTGCAGTGGCTCATGCCTATAATCCCAGCACTTTGGGAGGCTGAGGTGGGTGGATCACTTGAGGTTGGGAGTTCAAGACAAGCCTGAAAAACACAACACAACCCCATCTCTACTAAAAATACAAAAATTAGCCAGGCATGGTGGTGGGCACCTGTAATCCCAGCTACTCAGGAGGCTGAGGCAGAAGAATCACTTGAACCCAGGAGGCAGAGGTTGCAGTGAGCTGAGATTGTGCCACTGCACTCCAGCCTGGGCGACAGAGCGAGCTCAAAAAAAGAGTGCATGAGGAAACTTTCAAGGTACAGATATTTTTAGAGTCTCCAAGATAAGTGCGGGGGCAGGGGGGGAACAGCAAGGTACAGAAAAGGTGTATAAGACACTTCCTTTTGTTTACAAGGAAGGGAAAAAAAGAATATAGAATATATTTTTATGTGCTTTAGTATTCACAAATAAAGTCTAGATGAATACACACAGAAATGAAAAGCTGATTACCTGGAGTGGATTAGGGAGGGTGAAAACAGGGTGGATGGGGCTGAGCAGGAGGGAGACTTCTGCTCCATGAACCATGTGACTGTGTTCCTACTCAAAACAATTAAGAGAATAATGAAAAAATATCCCCTGCTGAGGCCTGACATAATAAGCAGGAAGTTGGTTTCTGAGGGACCCCCCCCACCCACCGTCCGGTGTCAAGCATATGCCCTCAGCTTTGGCTGGCTCTGAACAGCAGGGAAAATGTGAGAGCAGGACCACGTGGCTTCTGCACGGGCAGCCCTGTGTCCAGGCCCCTGCCCAGCTGCTGAGCTTCCTGCCCGGTGCCCCTGCATCAGCCAGAGTCCAACCCCACCCTCTCAGCCTGCCCTCTTGCCAGCGGGCTCAGAATCAGCTGTCCTCACCAGTTACCAGAATCCTCAAGCAGCTGGCTTTAATTGTGTCTATGGGAAGGCAGAAAGAGGAAGGGAAGGTCGATTAAGTAAACCTCTATTAAGGGAGGAGTGAAGCCCAGGAGGTCAAAGAGCCCAGGATAGAAGCAAGGCTAGCTGCCAAGCCAAGCTTGGAACTCTCCCAAAAGATACCACAGAGAAATATGCCCAAATGTGAATGCTACTGGCTTCAAGTTGTGTAATAATGGGTAGGTTTTTTCCCCCCGGGTCTTTATGCTTTGATGTGCTTTCCAATTTTTTTTTTAAATAAGCACAGATGACTCTTACAAAGCAAAAAAATAGAGTGTACAATGTGAAAGATGTATACATTAAAAATAAAAACCAAACCATGATTGTTACCAAACCATGTAGTCCAGAAACCTTGAAGGATAAAAAAGGAAGCTCAGATGGACAGCATAAGAATGTTACAGCTCTAAACAAAATTAAAATATTACAATAAAAAAAATGTTCCCATAATGCTGAAGATGTCATTGGACAGCAGGTCAGTGGGGCCCACTTAGTCGGGCCAGGCAGAGTGGAGCTGTCCAAGGTGCCAGAGTAAGAAAGGGCAGTGGATGCAGAGATGACTGCGTTACTCAGTGCACTGGCAAGGCCAATAGCTCCTCCCCAGTCTTCCTCCCACTGAGTTTAAAACTCTCTATCCAGCAATTCAAACCACTTTCTTCCTTATACTTGCTAAAGTCCATAATGAGACTGGGCACAGTGGCTCATGTCTATAATTTCAGCACTTTGGGAGGCCGAGGCAGGTGGATCACCTGAGGTCAGGAGTTCAAGAGCAGCCTGGCCAACATGGCGAAACCTCCACTTTACCAAAAAATACAAAAAAAAATTAGCTGGGTGTGGTGGTGGTGGTGGGCGCCTGTAGTTCCACCTACTTGGGAGGCTGAGGTGGAAGAATCACTTGAACCCAGAGGCAGAGGCTGCAGTGAGCCAAGATCATGCCACTGCACTCCAGCCTTGGCAACAGAGTGAGACCCTGTCTCAAAATAAACAAAAAAAAAGTAAGAGAGAGAGAGAGTGTGAAGAAAGAAAGAAAGAAAGAAAGAAAGACCAACCATAATAATGGTCACATTCATCTCAGAAACAACAAATAATTTTTTAGTCTTCATCAATTTTTTTTCTCAGCTCTTTAGGGGTTATGAAAGGAGTAAGCAAATATTTAAACTATTTGAGGAGGTTTTAGGCATATTTGAAGCTAGCAAAGTTTCCCACCATTTAACACAAGGCTTTACATGAAGTCAGTAAAATTAGATGCAAAATCAAGCCCCTGAATACTTGAAAAAATACAGTAGACCTTGACGTGTGCAAGGTATTTATCCCAAAACCTTTCCTAATCCCAAGGTTGGGAACAGCCCTATAGCAAAAAACTTCCCCCTTTATTAGTCAGGACTCTTTTGATTATAAATTATAGAAACTCAAATGACACAGAGGGGAATGAATTGGAGGATAAAATTAAAAAAATAGTTGAACAGGTTGGGCGCAGTGGCTCATGCCTATAATCCCAGCACTTTGGGAAGCTGAGTCAGGCAGATTACTTGAGGTCAGGAGTTTAAAACCAGCCTGGGCAACAATGGTGAAATCCTAAAAATACAAAAATTAGCCGGGTGTGGTGGCTCACCTGTAATCCCAGCTACTCAAGAGGCTGAGGCAGGAGAATCACTTGAACCTCCCAGGAGGCAGAGGCTGCAGCGAGCCAAGATCATGCCACTGCACCCCAGACTGGATGACGGGAGAGAAATCTTATCTCAAAAAAAAAAATGGTTGAACAACCTTCTGATTGCTCACGGATAATAAATTATAAATTATAAATGACCAGGGTCTAGCATGCCACAGAGAAAATAAGTTTTAATGGCAGTTGCTTCCCTGAAATGGATTTATTGTCTAAAAGGCAGAAGGTTCTCAATGATCCTGCATCTGGACTCATCTTGACACCACCTGCTCTTTCTCACCCACCCATCATCAACTAACTCCTATTATTTCTAAGCCAATAATAGGTCTCCAATTAGTCCCTTCCTCTCTCTCAACTACTGTCCTTGTTCAGGCCGCCATCATGACCAGGTTGAATCATTCTGTAAATAGCAGATTGAGAAATGTGATGCCTGGGCTTGTTAGCTAAATACCTATTAAGAAAGAATGATTTAGGCCAGGTGCAGCAGCTCATGCTACAATCCTAGTACTTTGGGAGGCCGAGGCTGGTGGATCGCTTGAGCCCAAGAGTTCAAGACAAGCCTAGGAAACATAGCAAAACCTTGTCCTCTACTAAAAGTACAAAAAACTAGCCAGGTGTGGTGGCACACACCTGTGGTCCCAGCTACTCCAGAGGCTGAGGTGGGAAGATCGCCTAAGCCCAGGGAGGTCAAAGATGCAGTGAGCTATGATCGTGCCACTGCACTCCAGCCTGTGCAACAGGTGTGAGACGCTGTCTCAAAAAAAAAAAAAAAAAAGGAAGATTTTTATTCTCAAGGTATATTAAAGAAGACTAGGAAAATCACAAGAGCATGGGTTTCAGAATCAGATCGTTCCGGCTTAAATGTAGCTCTATCACTTACTCTATGGATGACCATGGCAAAGTATTCAATCTGAGTTGACTTTCTTATAAAATAGGCATAATAATATTTGTCTTGCAGAATTTTTTTTCTTTCTTCTTTTTCTTAGACAGAGTGCCTCACTCTGTCACCTAGGCTGGTCTTGAATTCCTGGACTCAAGTGATCCTCCCACCTTGGCCTCCCAAAGTGCTAGGATTACAGGTGTGAGCCAGCAGGCCTGGCTTTGTGAACTTATTATGAAGATTAAATCAGGTGGAAGATTTTTAAAGTGCTCAAAATATTGAGAGAATATTCAATATATGCTGCTAATATCAGAGGCCTCATGCTAACCTTACAAAAGTCAATAAACAAACACAAGGTAAATGATGAGGGTCAGAAAAATACATCGGCCTTACTCTTCTCACCTTGCTTTGCCTCCCAAACAAAGGTCTGCCACCATTTTATTTCTCTAAGCCCAAAAGGTTTGACTAAATAATAGTTCTCTGTTTGCCTTGTTAGGCAGTGTTTGATGTGGCACCATTACCTGAAGAATGAAGTCAAGAGTCATTCTTGGAAGAGGGTTAGAATGTTTGAATGTTCAGGTTTGAATGTTTGCAGAATTACAACAAAATTGGGGTATGAAAAAGAAGATGGGGCTCCAGAAAGTCAAACATCTAAAGTGTTTGTTCTATATTATTATATGATATAGACTGCAATGTGGATATAATAATAGAAGATGGTATTAGAGATGATATTACAATATTGAACATGGATTCAACAATAATATCTTCCTGAAAGATTTTTTTTAAAGCTAGACTCCCCAGCCTGGGCAACATAGTAAGACCCCATCTTTACAAAATATAAAAAGTTGGCTAGAAGTGATGGTGAGTAGTCCTAGCTACTCAGGTGGCCAAGGTAGGAGAATTGC
This sequence comes from Homo sapiens, assembly GCF_000001405.40. Lineage (NCBI taxonomy): Eukaryota > Metazoa > Chordata > Mammalia > Primates > Hominidae > Homo > Homo sapiens. Next base: position 28,654,479 of record NC_000008.11, on the reverse strand, counting down.
TTGAGCCCAAGAGGTTGAGGCCGCAGTGAGCTATGATGATGCCACTGTACTCCAGCCTGGGCAACAAAGCAAGATCCTGTCTTTAAAAAAGCAAAACAAAAACAAACAAACAAACAAAAAGAATAAAACCATTCAGCACAGAGTAAACTCAATGAAATCAACAAAATCTCCTAAGAATCTGAAAGCCATACAAGTTTCTTTTTCACCTTGTTTAATAATTCTCAAAAACCATGACTGGGGAAACCAATTCTGGTATTAAAAATAAATACTGCTTTCTCCCTTTTTAGCTAAACTTTATAAGACTCAGCATCTCAGAAAGACCCTCTTATATTCTAGAGATATGCTACTGTCTTCCTAGAGAGCATCAGCAAACAACTAACTTAAAATGTAATCAGTGAAAAAATATAAAACATTTCCAAAAGAAATTTTAACAAGACCCAAATAAATTGAAAGACATCCCATGTTCATGGATTGGAAGACTTAATATTGTTAGGATGAGAATACTATCCAAAGCTTTATACAGATCCAATGCAATCCCTATCAAAATCTCAAGAGCATCTTTTGCAGAAATGAAAAATCCCATTCTAAAATTCATAAAGAATTAAGAGACTCAAAATAGCCAAAAATAATCTTGAAAAAGAAAAACAAAGTTGGAGGGCTCACATGTTCTGATTTCAAAACGTATTACAAAGCTACAGTAATCAAAAAAGTGTAATCAAAACAGCACTAAGTGTGGTGCTGGCATAAAAATAGACATATCAACCAATGGAATAAAATTTAGAACCCAGAAATAAACCCAAATGTCTCTAGTCAATTGATTTCAGCAAGAGTGTCAAGGCCACTCAATGGGAAAAAGAGAGTGTTTTCAACAAATGGTGCTGAAAAAACTGGATATCCACATGCGAAATGAAGTTAGACCCTTACCCTATACCATATATAAAAACTAACAGTGAATCAAAAGCCTAAATTTAAGAGGCAGAACTATAAAACTCTTAAAAGAAAACATGGGGCAAATCTGCATGGTCTTAGATTAGGCAGTGGTTTCTTAAGTATGACACTTAAAAAGCACAGGTAACAAAAGAATATATAGATAAACTAAACTTTTTGAAAATAAAAAACTTGTATGCATCAATGGACACTATCAAGAGAGTAAAAACACAATCCACAGAATGGGAGAAAATATGTATAAATCATATATCCTATAAGGGTTTGATGTCCAGAATACGTAAAAAACTCCTACAACTGAACAACACAAAAACAATCCCATTTTAAAATGTGCAAAGGGAGGGATTAGCAGGAAGGAAGAAATGAATAGGATGAGCACAGAGGATTTTTAGGGCAGTAAAACTATTCTATATGCTACTATCATGTGGATTCATGTCATTATACACTCATCAAAACTTGCATACCAACACCAAGAGTGACCTCTAACGTAAATATGCATTCTGGGTGCTAATGATATGTCAATTTGGTTAATCAATTGTATTAGATGTACCACTCTGATGAGGGATGTTGAATGTGGGTCAGCCTATGCATGTGTGGAGGTGAGAGGTATATGGGAATTCTCTACTTTCTGCTCAGTTTTGCTGTTAACTTAAAAACTACTCTAAAAAATAATACAGTGGGGAGAAAAAGAGGACAAAGAGCTTGAACAGACATTTCTCCAAAGAAGATATACAAATGACCAATAAACACAGGAAAAGATGCTCAACATTGCTAATCATTAAGGAAATGCAAATGAAAACCATAATGAGATAGCATTTCACACCTAAGATGGCTATATATATATATATGGCTATATATAAATATATCTATATATTTTTTTTGAGACAGGATCTCACTTTGTCGTCTGGGCTACAGTGCAGTGGCACGATCATGGCTTACTGCAGCCTCCACCTCCTGGGGTCAAGTGATCCTCCCACCTCAGCCTCTTGAGTAGCTGAGTCCATAGGCATGCACCACCACAGCCAGATAATTTTTTTTTTTGTAGCTATGGGGCCTCCCTGTGTTGCGCAGGCTGGCCTGGAACTCCTGGGCTCAAGCAATCCTCCCACCTTGGCCTCCAAAAATGCTGGGTTTACAGGCATGAGCCACAACACCAGGCTATAATTTTTTTTTAAAGGAAAATAGCAAATGTGGAAGAGGATGTGGAAAAATGGGAACCCTTGGACATTGCTGGTGGGAATGTAGCGACGCAACCACTGTGGAAAACAGCTTGGCAGTTCCTCAAGAAGTTAAACATAGAATTACCATATGATCCAGCAACTTCACTCCTATGAAAACACCCAGAAGAAGTAAAAAGGACTCAGGCAAATACTTGCACACCAATGTTCATTGAGGTATTATTCACCAGAGCCAAAAGCTAGAAACAACTGAAATGCCCAACATGGGAAGAAACAAAACGTGGTTCAGTATACATACACACACACACACACACACAGACACACACACACAATGGAATATTATTCAGCCGTCAAAATTAAGCTCTGATGCATGCTACAATATGGATGGACCTTGAAGACATGCTAAATGAAAGAGGCTAGACACAAAAGGACCATACTGTATGATTCCACATATAGGAAGAGACGCAAATTCGTAGATACAGAAGTCTAATGGTAGTTGCCAGAAGCTGGGAGGAGAAAGGAATTGGGAGTTATTAACCTTGGTTAATGGGAAGAGAGTTTTGTCAGAGTAGTGATGCTTGCACAGATTATGAATGTAATGAATGCCACTGAGTTATACACAAAAGTGGCTTAAGTGGGAAATTTTATGTTATATGTATTTCAACACATTTTTTAAGAGAAAAGTAATATGTGCAAAATGACCTATGAATACAGGAATTAGAGACTGTTGCTGGTCAGGCATGGTGGCTCATGCTTATAATCCCAGCACTTTGGAAGGCTGAGGCAGGAGGATCACTTGAGCCCAGGAGTTTGAGATTAGCCTGGGCAACATAAGGAGAGCATGTCTCTACAAAAAATAAAAAATTAGCCGGGTGTGGTGGCATATGCCTGTAGTACTAGTTATTCTGGAACCTGAGGCGGGAAGATTTCCTGAGCCTAGGAGTTCGAGGCTGCAGTGAGTCATGATAGTGCCACTGCACTCCAGCGTGGGGGACAAAGTTAGACCCTGTCTTTGAAAAAAACAGAAGAAACTGTTCTGAAAGCTTATCAGGAAGGATAATGTCACAGGGTCTAGTGCAAACAGCAGCATGGTGGGCTAGATGAAGCCTAGGAAAATACTCAGGATTATGTATTCTGTTTTTAAAGGTACAGATTGAGCATCCCAAATCTGAAAATCCAAAATCCGAAACTTTTGAGCAACGACATGGCACTCAAAGGACATGCTCATTGCAGCATTCTGGATTTTGCAGTTTGGGATTAGGGATGCTTAATCCGGTAACAGTGCAAATATTCCAAAATCCAAAAAATCAAAGATCTGAAACATTCAACACCGGTGAAAAGAAGGAGAAAAAGAAAATTTGAAACACTTCTGGTCCCACTCCCTTTTCACATAAGGGAGACTCAACCTGTACTAGATAAGCTGATTCTAAAATACATATGGAAAAACAAAGAACTGAAAATAACAAGAAGTAAATTTGAAAAAAGAAAAAGAAGGTAGGCCTTGTTATCCCTACGAGATATCAAGGCTTTTAACAAGGTATGGTATTTAGACTGTATAATATTAGCCCAGAATAGATAACTAGATCAATCAACTAAAGGGGCCCAAAACCAACTCCTACCTGTATGGAAACTTGGCATCAGACGGACATAAGAAACTAGTAGGGAAAGAATAGAGAAATAATCAGTAAAGAATAAATACAGGCCGGGCACAGTGGCTCATGCCTGTAATCCCAGCACTTTGGGAGGCTGAGGTGAGCAGATCACAAGGTCAGCAGTTTGGGACCAGCCTGGCCCAACATGGTGAAACCCCGTCTCTACTACAAATACAAAAATTAGCCAGGTATGGTGGCGCGTACCTGTAATCCCAGCTGCTCGGGAGGCTGAGGCAGGAGAATCGCTTGAACCCAGGAGGCAGAGGTTGCAGTGAGCTGATATCGCGCCACTGCACTCCAGCCTGGACAGAGCAAGACTCTGTCTCAAAATAATAATAATAATAATAAGTAAATACAATAAAGGTGCTGAACCAATCAATTATCCATATTAAAAAGAAAAGAAAAATGGACCTCTACCTCACACCAATCACAGAATAAATTGTGAAATTGGGGAGAGGTAAAGAGAGGCCTTAGACAACATCTGGATTTTTTTTTTTTTTTTTTTTCCTGAGACAGAGTCTCACTCTGTCACCCCGGCTGGAGTGCAGTGGTGCAATCTCGGCTCACTGAAACCTCCGCCTCCTGGGTTCAAGCAATTCTCCTGCCTCACCCTCCAGAGTAGCTGGGATTATAGGTGTGCGCCACCACACTCAGCTAATTTTTGTATTTTTAGTAGAGATGGGGTTTCACCATGTTGGCCAGGCTGGTCTCAAATCCTGACCTCAGGTGATCCGCCTGCCTCAGCCTCCCAAAGTGCTGGAATTACAGGTGTGACCCACCGTGCCCGGGCTTTCAACAACATCTATATTTTGGATTACCTTACTGCTTATAGCTTGATGTAAAAAAAATCAAAACTTTATAGAATTTAAGAAAGAAAACATAGAATAATGTATACATGATTTGGGAGAAGAGGAAGAATTTTTAGAATAAGACTTGAAAGCATAAACCACAAAGAAATTATTGTGAAATGGCTGACTACATTAAAATTAAACTTATCTACACACTGAAATATACCATAGACAAAGTAAGGAAACAAACAAGCAAGAGACTTAGAGAAGATACCTGCATGGCACATGGCTGGTAAAAGTTTAGTAACCAGAATATATAAATAACTACTTCAACCAATCAGAAAAATGATGACACAACAGACAAAAAAGCAAAGAATATGAACAGATCATTCAACAAGGAGGAGGTGCAAATGGCCAATAAACATAAGATGCTCAACTTCATTAGTAATAAGGCATGTACAAACAATTACGAGACACAATTTCACAGGCATCAGATTGGCAAAAAATTTAAGTCAGCCAACAGTAGTAAGCATGGTAGAGACAGAGGAGAAGCAAAAGCTGTCATACACACCATCAACTGGGACAAGCACTGTGGAGAGAAATTTGACCAGATCAGTGTGCACTCACTAAGCCCAGCAATTGCAGCTCTAGATAAATACCCTAGAGGAACAATTGCATACAGGTACAAGGAAATGACACATGAATATGACTTATGTGGAGCACAGTGGCATATGCCTGTATTCCCAGCTACTTGGGAGGCAGAGGAAGAAAGCTCACTTCAGCCCAGGAGTTCAAGTCCAGCCTAGGCAATATAGTAAGATCCTGTCCTGGCTCTATAAAACAAAAACAAAAAAACCTTAGCTGGGAGCGGTGGCGGGCATCTGTAATCCCAGCTACTCAGGAGGCAGAGGCAGGAGAATTTCTTGAACCCGGAGGCAGAGGTTGCAGTGAGCCGAGATTGCACCACTGCACTCCAGCCTGGGCGACAGAGTAAGACTCTGTCTCAACAAACAAACAAACAAACCAAAACAAACCTTAGCTGGGTGTGGTGGTGCACGCCTACAGTCCCAGCTAACAGGATGCTGAGGTGGGAGGATCCCTTGAGCCCAGGAGTTTGAGTCCAGCCTGGGCAACATAGCAAAACCCTATCTCTAATAAAAATAGATTAAAAAAATAAAAGAATGTGCCTTATGATCTGTGCATGCATATGTAGTAACAGGAGGACAGCATGCCCTGTAATGACACACACCTCACTCAGGACAGTAGTGGCCTCTGGAAGGGAGGGAGGGAGGGAGGAGAGTGAAATTGGAAGTGGTGCATAGTGGGTGTTCATGACTTTTTCTCTTATTATTTAAGAAAAGGATCTGGAGCCAAAAGGCAGAATGTTATGATGTGTCAAAGATAAGTAGTGACTACGAGATGTTATTCTTCATACTTTTCTGAATACTTGAAATATCTCCAAATGATAATTTTTAAAATTTGTGCAGGACTTATTCAACATTACCTCTGGAGGACATGAACATTCCAGAGGGTTGGGCAACTGCAGACTGGCAGAGGAAGAGGGATATGGGGGAGCTGGAGGAGCTGAGGAATCACATCTTTCCGAAAGACTCAGGGCCAGGAAAAAAAATCCAAAATTACAAAGTATAGTATTTAGACTGTACAATATTAGCCCAGAAATAGATAACCAGACCAATCAACCAAAGGGGCCCAAAACAAACTCCTACCTGTATGGAAACTCAGCATCAGAAAGACATAAGAAACCAGTAGGCAAAGAACAGAGAAATAATCAGTAAAGAATAAATACAGTAAAGGTGCTGGACCAATCCATTATCCAATATTCATACAACACTGTGCAGTGTACAGGAGGCGTCAACTCTTGGATTTCTTCACCCTAGCCAGGTAGCATGACCAGCATCAAAGGACCTCCACTGA